>NC_000011.10:61797801-62100831 GCF_000001405.40 Homo sapiens | reverse complement strand
TTATGCCCAAAGGTCTCATTACCTCAGAAGAGATGAAAAAAAAATTGTAGGTGGCTGAACGAGGCAGAGAGGGAAGTTGATATAAGAAGAAAAATTGTTTAGGATTGTCAACCTAAAGGAAAAAACAGAGGCACAAAATATAATTTTAAAGAGTTTCCTTGGGCAGAGATAAGGACGGCTGCCCGGAAGACTCAAACCCAAGTAATCTTGATATGAGCTCTCGCTGGTTTTGTGTGTGTGTGTGTTTTTGTTTTGTTTTGTTGTGTTGTGTTGTGTTGTGTTTTTTGAGACAGTCTCACTCTGTCACCCAGGTCAGAGTTCAGTGGCACGATCTCAGCTCACTGCAACCTCTGCCTCCCGAGTTCAAGCGATTATTCTGCCTCGGCCCCCTGAGTAGCTGGGACTACAGGCACATGCCACCATGCCCGGCTAATTTTTGTATTTTTAGTAGAGACGGGGTTTCACCATATTGGCCAGGCTGGTCTCGAACTCCTGACCTTGTGATCTGCCCACCTCGGCTTCCCAAAGTGCTGGAATTACAGGCATGAGCCACCAGGCCCGGCCTTCTGGTTGGTTTTTAAAGGCAAAAAGAGGCACAAGGAGTGGGTTGATAGCAAAGTTGTTTATTAGGATTCTCACTGATTTACAGAAATAACATTGATTGATGATTGGCTATTCATTTTTGAACTATAGTGTATGAGTTATGGTGTCCAGTGTGCAGCATTGTTCGATTAATTTATAGCTACTTGTGGCAGCAGTCAGTCTAGAGTCCACATAACAAGCAGCTTGAAGAAATGGTTACCCAGCTCAAGGCGGGAGTCCCCAGCACTGTGGGAGGCCAAAGGGGGCGGATCACCAGGTCAGGAATTCAAGACCAGCTTGGCCAACATGGTGAAACCCTGTCTCTACTAAAACTACAAAAATTAGCTGGGCATGGTGGCGTGTGCTTGTAATCCCAGGTACCTGGGAGACTGAGGTGGGAGAATCGCTTGAACCGAAACCTGGGAGGCAGAGATCACAGTGAGCCACGATAGCGCTACTGCACTCCAGCCTGGGTGACAGACAGAGTGAGACCTGATTTTTTTTTTTTTAGACAGAGTCTCACTCTGTCACCCAGGCTGGAGTGCAGTGGCGCTATCATGGCTCACTGCAGGCTTGACCTTTGAGCTCAAGCGTTCCTCTCACCTCAGCCTTCCGAGTAGCTGGGTCTACAGGCATGCACCACCACATCCAGCTAATTTTTTGTATTTTTTTATAGAGACAGGGTTTCGCTGTGTTGCCCGGGCTGGTCTCAAAATCCTGGGCTCAAGCATTCCTCCTGCCTCAGCCTCCCAAAATGCTGGGATTACAGGAGTGAGCCACCGCACCCGGCCTCAAGATTTCTAATCATGTGTTCATGGGGGCATGCCCATGACATGTCTCCAATAAGGCTGAAGCATTCTCCCAGTGAAATGCGTGGAGCTATCTTCCTGATGGCCAGGCAGATGAAATAGCAGGTTTCCCCCAGATAAAATCTCCATTTCTCCATGTAAAATAGATTGGTGGTCAAGCCTAGAAAACAGTTTGAAGGAACTTTTCTCAAAAGTTCCAGTGTTAGGTTTCTTCAGAGGTACATACAGATAGAGGGGTGACCAAATATCTTTTTTTTTCTCATTTATTTATTTTTTTAATTTGAGACAGAATCTCAATCTGTTGCCCAGGCTGGAGTGCAGTGACACGATCTTGGCTCACTGCAACCTCTGCCTCCCCTGTTCAAGTGACTCTCGTGTCTCAGTCTCCCAAGTAGGGGATTACAGGCTGTGCCACCACACCGTGCTAACTTTCTGTAGTTTTAGTAGAGATGGGGGTTTCACCATGTTGGCCAGACTGGTCTTGAACTCCTGGCCTCAAGTGATCCACCTGCCTCAGCCTCCCCAAGTGCTGGGATTACAGGCATGAGCCACCACGCCCAGCTGTGACCAAATATCTTAAGAGACACTGCCCTTCAGTTTAGCAGCAGGGGGGGTGGTAAGCAACACCTGATATAGTCCCTCCCAACAGGATCGGAGGGAATCTTCTATTTGATGGTGATTGTAATAAACAAAATCTTCAGGTTGGAGGCCATAATCTTTTATGTCTTCATCTCCAGGGAGCTTACTGCTAAAATAACCTTTAATTAATCTAGAATTTTTAGTGAGAGGCTTTATAAGGCCTTGGCAATAATGAAGAAAATCAGCTGGGCACAATGGCTCATGCCTGTAATCTCAGCACTTTGGGATGCCAAGGCAGGAAGAACACTTGAGCCCAGGACCTCAAGACCAGCCTGGGCAACACAGTGAGACCCCATTTTCTACAAAGAATTTTTTAAAAAGTTAGCCGGGCATGGTGGCACGCACCTGTATTCCCAGCTACTTGGGAGGCTGAGGTGAGAGGATGCCTTGAGCTCAGGAGGTAGAGGCTGCAGTGAGCCCAGATAGTGCCACTCCACTCCAGCCTGGGAGACAGAGCAATACCCTGTGTCAAAAATAAAATAAAATAAAGAAAATCACCCTTAAGGAAAGCTAGTTTGTAGGCTTCTTCACTCAGGCGCATGGGTGAAGTAGAAAATTCCTGTACATTTTGCCAATTGATTTTTATTACCCTCTGTGCATTCCACCAGTTCAGAAGACCTAGGGTGATGTGTGTGTGTGTGTGTGTGTGTGTGTATATATATATATATGTATATGTGTATATAGATATATATATATGTATATATATATAACCAAAAAAAACTTTTGAGTAAACTGCAAAAGAAAAAAAGAAAGAAAAGAAAAGACCTAGGGTGGTACGCACAATGGAAATGCTGGAAAATCAGCCATGTGAACAAATAGACCAAAATAGACCAAATTATTTGACCAGTGAAATGGGTTCCTCAGTTGCTGTGAAGCACAGAAGGAACTCCCCAAGAAGGAAAAGGACAACACTTAAAATGGCCATGGTTAAAGATGCCAATGATGAAGGAATTTGGTCAATTTGGTCATTTTCTTTTGTTTCTTTTTTTCTTTTGCAGTTTACTCAAAAGTTTTTTTTGGTTATATATATATACATATATATATACACATATACACATATACATATATATATATACACACACACACACACACACACACATCACCCTAGGTCTTCTGAACTGGTGGAATGCACAGAGGGTAATAAAAATCAATTGGCAAAATGTACAGGAATTTTCTACTTCACCCATGCGCCTGAGTGAAGAAGCCTACAAACTAGCTTTCCTTAAGGGTGATTTTCTTTATTTTATTTTATTTTTGACACAGGGTATTGCTCTGTCTCCCAGGCTGGAGTGGAGTGGCACTATCTGGGCTCACTGCAGCCTCTACCTCCTGAGCTCAAGGCATCCTCTCACCTCAGCCTCCCAAGTAGCTGGGAATACAGGTGCGTGCCACCATGCCCGGCTAACTTTTTAAAAAATTCTTTGTAGAAAATGGGGTCTCACTGTGTTGCCCAGGCTGGTCTTGAGGTCCTGGGCTCAAGTGTTCTTCCTGCCTTGGCATCCCAAAGTGCTGAGATTACAGGCATGAGCCATTGTGCCCAGCTGATTTTCTTCATTATTGCCAAGGCCTTATAAAGCCTCTCACTAAAAATTCTAGATTAATTAAAGGTTATTTTAGCAGTAAGCTCCCTGGAGATGAAGACATAAAAGATTATGGCCTCCAACCTGAAGATTTTGTTTATTACAATCACCATCAAATAGAAGATTCCCTCCGATCCTGTTGGGAGGGACTATATCAGGTGTTGCTTACCACCCCCCCTGCTGCTAAACTGAAGGGCAGTGTCTCTTAAGATATTTGGTCACAGCTGGGCGTGGTGGCTCATGCCTGTAATCCCAGCACTTGGGGAGGCTGAGGCAGGTGGATCACTTGAGGCCAGGAGTTCAAGACCAGTCTGGCCAACATGGTGAAACCCCCATCTCTACTAAAACTACAGAAAGTTAGCACGGTGTGGTGGCACAGCCTGTAATCCCCTACTTGGGAGACTGAGACACGAGAGTCACTTGAACAGGGGAGGCAGAGGTTGCAGTGAGCCAAGATCGTGTCACTGCACTCCAGCCTGGGCAACAGATTGAGATTCTGTCTCAAATTAAAAAAATAAATAAATGAGAAAAAAAAAGATATTTGGTCACCCCTCTATCTGTATGTACCTCTGAAGAAACCTAACACTGGAACTTTTGAGAAAAGTTCCTTCAAACTGTTTTCTAGGCTTGACCACCAATCTATTTTACATGGAGAAATGGAGATTTTATCTGGGGGAAACCTGCTATTTCATCTGCCTGGCCATCAGGAAGATAGCTCCACGCATTTCACTGGGAGAATGCTTCAGCCTTATTGGAGACATGTCATGGGCATGCCCCCATGAACACATGATTAGAAATCTTGAGGCCGGGTGCGGTGGCTCACTCCTGTAATCCCAGCATTTTGGGAGGCTGAGGCATGAGAGTCACTTGAACAGGGGAGGCAGAGGTCGCAGCGAGCCAAGATCGTGTCAGGTCTCACTCTGTCGCCCAGGCTGGAGTGCAGCCTGGTCTCTGTTGCCCAGGCTGGAGTGCAGTAGCGCTATCGTGGCTCACTGTGACCTCTGCCTCCCAGGTTTCGGTTCAAGCGATTCTCCCACCTCAGTCTCCCGGGTACCTGGGATTACAAGCACATGCCACCATGCCCAGCTAATTTTTGTAGTTTTAGTAGAGACAGGGTTTCACCATGTTGGCCAGGCTGGTCTTGAATTCCTGACCTGGTGATCCGCCCCCTTTGGCCTCCCACAGTGCTGGGGACTCCCGCCTTGAGCTGGGTAACCATTTCTTCAAGCTGCTTGTTATGTGGACTCTAGACTGACTGCTGCCACAAGTAGCTATAAATTAATCGAACAATGCTGCACACTGGACACCATAACTCATACCCTGTAGTTCAAAAATGAATAGCCAATCATCAATCAATGTTATTTCTGTAAATCAGTGAGAATCCTAATAAACAACTTTGCTATCAACCCCACTCCTTGTGCCCCTTTTTGCCTTTAAAAACCAACCAGAGGGCCGGGCCTGGTGGCTCATGCCTGTAATTCCAGCACTTTGGGAAGCCGAGGTGGGCAGATCACAAGGTCAGGAGTTCGAGACCAGCCTGGCCAATATGGTGAAACCCCGTCTCTACTAAAAATACAAAAATTAGCCGGGCATGGTGGCATGTGCCTGTAGTCCCAGCTACTCAGGGGGCCGAGGCAGAATAATCGCTTGAACTCGGGAGGCAGAGGTTGCAGTGAGCTGAGATCGTGCCACTGAACTCTGACCTGGGTGACAGAGTGAGACTGTCTCAAAAAACACAACACAACACAACACAACAAAACAAAACAAAACAAAAACACACACACAAAAAAAACCAGCGAGAGCTCATATCAAGATTACTTGGGTCTGAGTCTTCCGGGCAGCCGTCCTTATCTCTGCCCAAGGAAACTCTTTAAAATTATATTTTGTGCCTCTGTTTTTTCCTTTAGGTTGACAATCCTAAACAATTTTTCTTCTTATATCAACTTCCCTCTCTGCCTCGTTCAGCCACCTACAATTTTTTTTTCATCTCTTCTGAGGTAATGAGACCTTTGGGCATAACTTCAAGTTCAGGGGACACGTCATGGCAAGAAGCCCTCTACATCCCAAGCAGTTATTGTTTCCTGTTTGCTTAGAGGCAGAAATACCCCCGGGCTCCTGGTTTTATCAGGCACACACAGTGTCTAGGGAGCACTCTGAATGCCCCTACTAATTGCCAGCTTTTTTTTTTTTTTTTTTTGAGATGGAGTCTCACTCTATCACCCAGGTTGGAGTGCAGTGGTGCGATCTCAGCTCACTGCAACCTACGCCTCCCAGGCTCAAGCGGTTCTCCCACCCCAGCAGCCCAAGTAGCTGAGACTACAAGCATGCACCACCATGCCCGGCTAATTTTTGTGTTTTTTATAGAGATGAGGTTTTGCCATGTTGGTAGGCTGGTCTCAAACTCCTGGCCTCAGGTGATCCGCCTGCCTCAACCTCCCAAAGTGCTGGGATTACAGGTGTGAGCCCCCATGCCAGGCCAAATTTCCAGTTTTAAGAACTATATTTAGGGTTTATCCATAATACTTTCCGATCCACATATATTTTGGGTTAAACTTTCTTTTATGATTTGAGTATTTTCTTCTGTGTATTTTTTTCCTCCCGTCCCTCTTTCCCTCCCTCCTTCTCCTCCACCTCCTCCTCTTCTTTTAACGTGTTGGAGCTACAGTGCAAACCAGAAAACATTGATTTATTTATGTCCTCAGCCTAATAGGGATCTCCAGCTGTATGTTTATTTCCCAAAGAAGACTCTCATGACCAAACCATTCACTGTGGCCATCTGAAGAATCTGTAAAATATAGCTAAGATGGTCAATGCTATAATGAAGAGAGATTATTTATGCAAGGCCTCAATTTATCCTCAAACCAAACTTATGAGCACAATGATACTGATCTCCAACCAGGGCTATTTCTGGGCTTGTCATTTTTGATGAATAAGGAAGAACGATCTGCTAGTATGATCAAATCCAAGCTTTTATTCAATCCGTAACTATTTAATTTGACTAGCTCAATTTATGCATCCTTCTGACAGTACAGTTAGGAAGGTCTGAAAAATTCGTGTAAAAACCTACAATGGTGGCTAAGAAGCTGAGCTATGATGGGTTTCACAGGCTTACTAGTGTGCTCCCTGACAAAATGTAAAAAGGACCGTGTTTTATATTTAGTATCAAAGACTTTACTAAATTATTTGAGCTTGGCAGTCCTCACACAGTGTTTCTTTTTAAAAATTTTACTTTTGAAGGACAAGGTTTCATTCTGTCACCCAGGCTGGAGTTCAACAGTGTGATCATAGCTTACTGTAGCCTCGAAGTCCTGGGGCTCAAGAGAGCCTCCCACCTCAGCCTCCTGAGTAGCTGAGATTACAGGTGTGTGCCACCATGACTGGCTACTTTTAAAATTAATTTTGTGGAGATGAGGTCTTGCTGTGTTGCCTAGACTGCTCTCAAACTCCCAAGTGATACTCCCATCTTGTCCTGCAAAGTGGTGGGATTACCAACGTGAGCCACCATGCCCGGGCAGCACTTTATTTATTTATTTTTTTAATAAGATGGAGTTTTCGCTCGTTGCCCAGGCTGGAGTGCAGTGTCGCGATCTCGGCTCACTGCAACTTCCACCTCCCAGTTTCAAGCAATCCTCCTGTCTCAGCCTCCTGAGTAGCTGGGATTACAGGTGCCCACCACCAGACCCGACTAATTTTTTTTTTGTATTTTTGTAGAGAGGAGGTTTTGCAATGTTGGAGGCTGGTCTCAAACTCCTGACCTCCAGTTATCTGCCTGCCCCGGCCTCCCAAAGTGCAGGGATTACAGGCATGAGCCACCACAGCTGGCCCAGCATTTTTAATACTAGTGGGATCTTTTCAAATTGGAATAATTCTAAATTAGAAAACATTGCACTGGTAGGAAATCCATATAAAGAAAAATACATTCCTTCTACTCTTACAACACTTCTGACATCAACTGTGTGAATTTCCTACACCAAGTCATTCTCCAACTCTCTTGTAAACCAAAAATAAAATTCTAAGCCCTCTATCCAACTGAATAGATCCCCTCTTGGCCAAGAGGACCCCAGAGAAACCTGAAAAATGGAATTCCCAGCCATGACGGGAAGGGAGGTCAGATACACTTCATGATACCTTCTCCCTTTTGGAGTTTAGGCCCAGCTGACCAGCATGAACATTAAAATATTTTACATATATATATATATATTTTGAGTCAAGAGTTTCACTCTTATCACCCAGGCGGGAGTGCAGTGGTATGATCATGGTTCACTGCAACCTCCGCTTCCCAGGTTCAAGCGATTCTCCTGCCTCAGCCTCCCAAGTAGCTGGGACTACAGGTGCCCAGCATCACGCCCAGCTAATTTTTGTATTTTCAGTAGAGAAGGGTTTCACCATGTTGCCCAGGATGTCTCCGTCTCTTGACCTCATGACCCCCCCGCCTCAGCCTCCCAAAGTGCTAGGATTATAGGCATGAGCCACTGTGCCCAGACTGGTTTATATTTTTTTGTTTTGTTTTTTTTGAGAGAGGGTCTCATTCTGTCACCCAGGCTGGAGTGCGGTGGCATGGACCATGGCTCACTGCAGCCTCTACTTCCCTCTCAAGTGATCCTCCCACCTCAGCCTCTGGAATAGCTGGGACTACAGATGTGCACCACCACACCCGGCTAATTTTTTTTATGTTGCCTAGGTTGGCCTCAACTCCTGGGCTCAAGTGATCCTCCTACCTCAGCCTCCCAAAGTGTTGAGATTACAGGCATGAGCCACCACGCCCGGCCTACTCAAAAAGTCTTTTATTAATATTTCATGAAAATCTTGTTTAAAAGAGAAAACCAAATTAGTGTATTATTAATATTAAAGCTAATTTTAATAAAGCTTTATAAACTTCTATCCAATATCAATCAGCTTTGACCACACAAGATAAATTTCTACAAACCTTTGATAACCTCTTACAATTTTTCCCATTTTCTTTCCTTCTCCAATTTTCCATTTCCATTTGGTTTATCTACGTCATTTTTTCCTTCTTTTATTCCTTCAATTTAATACAACCTAAACCAGACAAAATTACTTTTCCTTTAACAAAACCACATCTTTATGACTTTTTTCATAACCTTTTCACCAAAAAAAATTATTTTCTTTATATGCTCTATATAGAATTGTTTCTCATCTCTAGTTTTAGTTACCATATATTAGTCAGAATTTTAACTTTTAGTAACCTTAATTCACATTGGAAACCCAAGAAGCAAGCGATTTTTTTTTTTTTTTTTTTGAGGCATAGTCTGCTCTGTTGCCCAAGCTGGATTATAGTGGTGCCATCTTGGCTCACTGCAACCTCCACCTCCCAGCTTCAATTGATTCTCATTCCTCAGCCTCCAGAGTAGCTGGGACTACAGGCATGCGCCACTATACCTGGCTAATTTTTGTATTTTTAGTAGAGACAGGGTTTCACCATGTGGGTGAGGGTGGTCTCAAACTCCTAGCCTCAAGTGATCCGCCCTCCTTAGCCTCCCAAAGTGCTACGATTATAGATGGGAGCCACACCACCCAGCAAGAAGTAAGCAATTTTTAAATGTTAGTCACATGCTAACAACTTATGAATACACATTTTATAATTTTTAGAAACATAGGCTTTCTAATGGAAGAATATTTTGGTGTGGAACAGGACATATTTACTAACAAATTGAAAATTTTTTTTTGGCCAGGTGCGGTGGCTCATGCCTGTAATCCCAGCACTTTGGGAGGCCGAGGTGAGTGGATCACCTGAGGTCAGGAGTTTGAGACCAGCCTTGCCAACATGATGAAACTCCATCGCTACTAAAAATACAAAAATTAGCCAGGCATGCTGGGCACCTATAATCATAGCTACTCAGGAGGCTGAGGCATGAGAATCACTTGAACCCATGGGGTGGAGGTTGTAGTGAGCCAAGATCATGCCACTGCACTCCAGTCTGGGCAACAGAGTGTGACTCCAACTCAAAAAAAAAAAAAAAAGAATAATTATTTTTTACATAGGCTTTTAAATTGACTTTGATGGAACTGTGTTCCATAGGAGGAATCTCGGATAAGACTTTTTTAAAGCTGAGCCCAGCCATGGATTTGTGCCATCAAGTATCTTATGAGTTGAGTGTTCCTCTCTCTTGGGGTTCCAATACAAATTTGGGGCTCCTAAGCCTGTCAGAAAGTGACATTCTTTACCTAGCGAAGGTCAGGAACCCTGTACAGGGGCGAAGTAGACAAGGGGTATGAGGCCAGTTTTTCCAAGGGGCTTTATTTGGCTCCATAATTCAAGTTTGATTCCTTAATGGAAAGCACACCATTCCAGTCAAAGTCTTGGTAAAATAACCAGTTTCTCCAATTGTGTCCTGTTACAAATGAAAACAGATTATTACTGCACTTATGCAAATAACTTTATTGTCATAAGTTAAGAATAATCACAGCTGGGCGTGGTGTCTCACACCTGTAATCCCAGCACTTTGGGAGGCTGAGTGAGGCGGATCACCTGAGGTCAGGAGTGCGAGACCAGCCTGACCAACATGGAGAAACCCTGTCTCTACTAAAAATACAAAACAAAATTAGCCAGGCGTGGCGGCACATGCCTATAATCCCAGCTACTCGGGAGGCTGAAGCAGGAGAATCACTTGAACCCAGGAGGTGGAGGTTGTGGTGAGCTGAGATGGCGTCATTGCACTCCAGCCTGGGCAACAAGAGCAAAACTCCATCTCAAAAGAAAAAAGAATACTCACAAATAGTTTCCAAATTATTGAAAAATCAGGTAGAGTGAAACAAATATGCTCCAGATTTTGTTCATAGGAATATAATTTACTCACTTGTTAAAATCTGTAAATAGCTTAAAAGTTTTCTTGACTCTGAAAAACAAAACAAAGGATCAGCAACGTTTTAAGCAAAAAGCTAAAAAGATCACTTCAGACTTCTATTAGTTTATTCCACACAGTTAATTCCTATTCTGCTTGATATTCATGAACATTTCAGCAGTCCATGAGTCCTGAAAGTTTTTCCTCTATTCTGATGTCACAATCTCCAAAGTTATTAGAAACCTGCATTCAAGAGGACGTGTTAGAGTGTTATAGCTGATTATAAAACCACATTCTAAAGAGGACCAAAACAAGACAATTGTTCATGGATGACAAAAAGTTCTAGGGCAGCCATAGTCAAAGACACAGTTGACAAGGGAATGTGTTACCTCTGTGGCACACAATAATTTAAAATAGTAATTATAATTATTACTGATAATATACACTAAGTCATATCAGAATTATAGGAGGCTCCCATAATTTTAGAACACATACCAATAACATTTTATACAAATATAGCCCAAAGAAAACCAAACCCCATTTCATATTTGACAATGCTTCTGGTATAATTTTAATATCCAATAAGCCAAATATGTCATTTTTGGACTTTAGGGTAACTATTAATAATATCTTAAAGGATTAGCTAGATCAGAAAAAACATGATTTATAATTTGATTTTGGAAAGTTTGTCAAATATCAAAGGTTTAAAACACATCACAAAATAAGATTACAGGTCATTGTAAAATAAGTCATTCATTTAACCAAAGTGATAACTCAAGGATTTCCAAAAAATAAAAAAAAAGGTAAAAACCTTCATTCTTTGAGAGAGAAGACTTAATTTTCCAAACAATAAGCCCAAATAAAAACAGCGTGAAGCCAATTTGTTTTTCAAAATTGCATAAACAATCTATAAAATTTTAATCTTGATCATAAGATATAACTTCCATAAGTTTTTGATAACCTTTATTAAGGAGTTGGTTAATGCTTCAAGAAAATCTTGTTAATCTGACACAGGGGCCTATATACTGGTCTTGCATCAGTGTGGCTTTGACATTAATGGTTAATTTGTAGAGAAACTGGACTTATTTTATCTGTTAAACTTGGCCGTTACAATCTCTAATACGCCCACCTCTTCCACCACAGTCCCTGGACCTTGAGGAGCTAAATGGCTGTAATTTCTGGCCCTGTGTCTCAGGAATGCAGTTATTTTGACTGGCATCTTCTATGGGGCCTGAAGACAAGGCTTTAATTGTTGTCAGTCTTTGAGATATAGCAGGACTTGGTGTCCTTTTTAGACCCAGGAGTCAAAGCCCTGTAACTCAATGTCACGAGTATGTTAAAAGCACATACAGAAAGATACACAGATGTAATAACCTTAATTAAAAAAATTTGTAATCACAGATTTTCCTAAGCAAGCCAAAACTTAATAATAATGCCACAGGAATAATTTTGATAAAATGTAAAATCTGTTAGACTAGTTACCAAAAGGCAAAAGAAAAGACCTTCTGCAGTGTACAGAATATTATATTGGAAGAAAACATTTCCTTTCAATCTTTAAGAAAATATTATTAGCATCAGGCCACAACAAACAGAATTTGAGGGAAAAAAAAAACTTCTATGAGCTGAAAATGAGTTGAAGGAGAACATTATTATTTCATGTCTTTTAAAAGGGGAGAGAAAACCGAAAATGGCAAGATGCAATAAAAGTTGAAATTGGGGTTAAAAAAATTAAAATATCTTATTATTTATTATGAGTAAATAAATCCTGTAAGGAAACTTTGTTGTTCTAATCAATTCTTTAGTGTACACATGTTTTTCTTACATCAAACCCAATCTCTAGAAAAACCAGTATAATTTCCCTTTAATTATAGACAAGTTGATCATGTAAAAGTTTTTTTAAAAATAAATCCTTTTATTGTGACTTACACAGACCATTCATGACATGCTTGGACTTTCTGGTTTGTCCCAAACATTCCTCTTTCTTAAACAACTAGTCATTTTATTCTAGGTCTAAATTTACCATACAAGATTCTTTCTTATATAAAATTATTTCTCTTTAAGCTTTCTTACCCCCCCAAAAAAACCCTCTTTATTTCTATAACTTTCTTTATATCTCTCTTATTTCCTGGTTCCTTTTACCTTGTTTTATACATAACCTTTAAATAAGCTTTGAATTTGACAAAATTTGTTCACCTTTTTAAAAAGGACACTTTTCTTAAGAAACAATTTTTTCATACAATATATATTTTTATTTGAAAATACCCAAATAATGAAATATCTACTATTTAATTTAACTCTAGATTCTAAATTATGACCAGTTTGTCTACAAGTATTTATCTCATTACATTTACCTAGTTATTTTATTTTGTTTACCTAGATTATTTATGAAAACTGTGATAGTCATCATTTAAAGCTATGAAACTTGCCACTGCAAAATTCTAACTGAGACAATGAAAAAGATATGACCTAACTGACTCCATCTTGCTTCTAACCTCCAAGCTGTCCTTGTTCATTCCTGAATTTTGGGAGGAACTTAATTTATAGTTTAGCATTGAAACAAAGACAATAGCAGTCCTTTCCCAAAACAAACCTCCTTACTGCCTGTAGACTAGACTGCCTAAAGCCACAAGATTAGAAGTTATGGTAATTTTACTAAGTAATTCCAGATGTAGCTATTTTTGTTAAACAATATCAATGTCTTGTTTATTAAAGATCGGCAAGCAAGAATCATTCTGTTTTGGGCTGGGTTTATGGTTTTGTAACCCCTGTGCCAAATTTTGACACCTTATAGTATTTGGCTAGGATAAGTATGAAATTGCTAGATTAATAAATGCAAATAAAATGTATGCTGGAAATTCTTAAGACATTTCTAATATTATTTTACCAATAATTTTAAAGCTAGCTTACTTATTAAAGATTTTACTTAAGTCATGTAAACTTGAAAAATAATTTGACTAGTTTTTCCTTTTTCTGATAAAGTATTTTATTTCAATGCTTTTATTTTTCTTTAAGCCAATTAATTAGACCTCTTTTATATATTTTTGGTAGTGAAACATTGTGTATACAACACATAAATACATAGATGTATTAGGAATGCCAATAGAAATACATCTTATAGGTTGGGTGCAGTGGCTCACGCCTATAATCCCAGCACTTTGGGAGGCTAACATGGGTGGATCACCTGAGATCAGGAGCTTGAGACCAGCCTGACCAACATGGTGAAACCCCACCTCTACTAAAAATACAAAAAATTAGCCGGGCATGGTTGTGGGCTCTTGTAATCCCAGCTACTCAGGAGGCTGAGGCAGGAGAACTGTTTGAACCTGGGGGATGGAGGTTGCAGTGAGCCAAGATCGTGCCACTGCATTCCAGCCTGGGCAACAGAGAGAGACTCTGTCTCAAAAAAAAAAAAAAAAAAAAAAGGCCAGGCGCAGTGGCTCATGCTTGTAATCCCAGCACTTTGGGAGGCTGAGGTGGGCAGATCACGAGGTCAGGAGTTTGAGACCAGTCTGGCCAACATAGTGGAACCCTGTCTCTACTAAAAATAAAAAAAATTATCTGGGTGTGGTGGCGGGCACCTGTAATCCCAGCTACTTGGGAGGCTGAGGCAGGAGAATCGTTTGAAGCTGGGAGCGGAGGTTGTAGTAAGCCATGATTGCGCCACTGCACTCCAGGCCAGTGGACAGTGCGAGACTCCATCTCAAAAAAAAAAAAAAAAAAAAAAAAAAGAATTACATCTTATAGACTTAATAAACACACCTTTTTTTTTTTTTCCTATCTTAGACTTTCAGATACTTGATAACCTGTTTCACAACACTAGGCAGTTGTCAGTTAAATAGCCTTAAATGTGCATATTAAAGGAAAGAACTCAGCTGAAAATCAAATAGAAAAATTTACATCATAAGGTACAGAGAGTAAAAGTCTGGTGGTGCTAGAGGAAGATTAAAGATGGATGCCAAATTGAACATAAAATTATAGAAATCTATCATAGGATTGTATAAGGGGATCAATTTTATTTAGATAGGGCCTACTTATCTTTTAACTGGATCTCTGAGCTCTGGGAAAGCCCACGTTGAATCTTGGGTCTCCAAAAAGGGAGAATTATTATGAGGTTAGACCATGTGATGCTTTTACTGTACACTTAAAAAACATTTTTTTTCGACAAAGACATTTCCAAGTGTCTAAACCACACTTTTCCTCAAAAACCCAAAAGTAAGGCCAGGCACAGTTCCTCATGCCTACAATCCCAGCACTTTGGGAGGCCGAGATGGGTGAATTGCTTGAGCCCAGGAATTCAAGACCAGCCTGGGCATTAGAGTGAGACTGCATCCCTACCAAAAAAAAAAAAAAGAATTAAATAAAATAAAAAGAAGGGATGCAGGCCTGATAACACCTTGGTTTTTAGCTCATAAAGACCCATTTTGGACCTCTGACCCCAGAACTATAAGATAATAAATGTGTGGGGTGGTTTTGGTTTTTGGAATTTTTTTCTTTTTCTTCTTTCTTTCTTTATTTTTTAGAGACAAGGTCTCACTGTGTTGCCAGGCTGGTCTCAAACTCCTGAGCTCAAGCAATTTTCTCACCTCGGCCCCCCAAAGTGCTGGGATTACAGGCATGCACCACTGAGCCCAGCCTTGTGTTGTTTTAAACCACGAAATTTGTGGTAATTTGTTTCAACAACCATAGGAAATTATTTCACCCACCCTGCTTGTTTGTTTTCTCTTTCTGCTGTCTGAAGTTTCTCCCTTTCAGTTTTAGAGCTGAGAAGATCTATCAAACATGAATTTGGCCACAAGCTGACTCTTTCTCTAGGGGTAAATCTTGACCATTTACTAAAATGGGGAAAACAGATCAGTAATGACAGGAGTGAAGAGAAGGCTAGCTAGTGTATGTCCAGTGCTTTGTAAAGTTGCAAGGCTTTTTTCCTAAACCACACATATCCCACATATACACCTAAAAACCTAACACTACAAGGCCATACATGAATTGCCAGAATTATACAGACCTTTTCTGAAATGGTTATAACCTGAATGGTATAAGCATTGGACAAAAACACGTTGAAATCTGAGATCTCTGCAGTTGTATCCCCACAATATTTGAAGAAATAATTTATTGCCAGGCATGATGGCTCACGCCTGTAATCCCAACACTTTGCGAGGCCAAGGCGGGCGGATCACGAGGTCAGGAGTTCGAGATCAGCCTGGCCAATATGGTGAAACCCCGTCTCTACTAAAAATACAAAAATTAGCCAGGCATGGTAGTGGGAGCCTGTAATCCCAGCTACCTGGGAGGCTGAGGCAGGAGAATTGCTTGAACCCGGGAGGCGGAGGTTGCAGTGAGCCGAGATCACGTCACTGCACTCCAGCCTAGGTGACAGAGTGAGACTCCATCTCAAAAAATAAATAAATAAATAAATAAATAAATAAATAAATAAATAAAATAAATATGATTGGGTACGATCTAACACTAACAGGCTGAATGGGGAAACCCAACAAGGCCCATCTGATCAGATTCTTCTTGGTCTCTCTGTGCAGCATTCCTTCCAGGGAATAGGGCAGGACCTGTCTGAAATGAGGGTATTGTGACCTACAATCAAAGTAGGCCAGAGAATTTCCTCATGACCAGCTCCTAGACAGAAAGATAGGAAAAGAAGCAGGTAAAAGGTGGGGAGAAAAAAGGAGCAGGTAAAAGGTGGGCAGGAGAAGGTCAGAGAGAGAGAGAGAGATTCTGTTTCCTGAAGCCTGCTTGTGAGAACTAAAGTGCCCTAACATTATAACAGAAACTGTAATAACAAGAGCTATGGGAGTTATAAGCCAAGAATCATGGGTGAAAACATTTTATATATATATATATGAAAGACATATATATGTTTATAACACATATGTATATGAAATGCATACATATATGAGACACACATATATGTTTTTTCATCCATGGTTCTTGGTTTTATATAAATATCACAACATGTATTTTCAAAAGTGTGAAGCAATTGAAATTCTCCTACTTGAGGACCATAAATAGTTTAATCACTTTATTTTATTTATTTATTTATTTATTTATTTTAGACAGAGTCTCGCTTTGTTGCCCAGGCTGGAGTGCAACAGTGCAATCTCTACTCACTGCAACCTCTGCCTCCCAAGTTCAAGCAATTCTCGTGCCTCAGCCTCCCAAGTAACTGGGATTACAGGCGCCTGCCACCACGCCTGGCTAATTTTTGTATTTTTAGTAGAGACGGGGTTTCACCATGTTGGCCAGGCTGGTCTCAAACTCCAGACCCCAGGTGATCTGCTTATCTTGGCCTCCCAAAGTGCAGGCATTACAGGCGTGAGCCACTGCGCCCGGCCTAGTTTAATCACTTTAGAGAGCACCAGCAACATCCAGTATAGCTGACAATGCGAATAATACACACCCCAGCAACTCTACTCTTGGTCTGACCTTAAAGCAAAGATTCTCAGCCCTGGCTCCATGTTAAAAAACGCCTGGGAGAGTTTTGTTTTTATTTTTTAAATCTGATGTCTCAGGTCCACACTCAGAAATTTTGATTTCATCTGTTCTGTGATGAGGCCCAGAAATGGTCTTTTAAAAGCTTCCTCGGAGCTTTTAAATGTGTACCCTGCCCAAGAGAAAGTCACCCATACAGATAAAGAAGCATTCACCTTGCACCAACTACATAAATAAAATCAAGGGGATTTAAGCATCTAAATGTAAAAAGCAAATTTTTAAAATAATTTTCAAAATTAAATGACTATCTTATGACTTTGGAATACAAAAAGATATCATAAAGACCAGGCACAGTGGCTCACACCTGTAATCCCAGCACTTTGGGAGGCCAAGGCTGGAGGACTGCTTGAGCTCAGCTATTTGAGACCAGCCTGGGCAACACAAAGACCCTGTCTCTATTTTTCTATTATTTTAATGAATTTAAAAAAAAAAGTCCAGGCGCAGTGGCTCACCCCTGTAATCCCAGCACTTCGACGGGCAGATCACCTTAGTTAAGTGAGAGATGGCGAAACCCCATCTCTAGTAAAAATACAAAAAATTAGCCAGGCATGGTGGCAGGCACCTGTAATCCCAGCTACTCGGGAGGCTGAGGCAGGAGAATCGCTTGAACCTGGGAGGTGGAGGTTGCAGTGAGCAGAGATTGTGCCATTGCATTCCAGCCTGGGCAACAGTACAACCTGTGTCTCAAAAAAAAAAAAAAATATATATATATATATATAGATACACACACACACACACACATATATATACGTGCATAGTTATACGAGGAATTTTTCAGCGGTAAACGTGAATCAACTAGAAATATATGTACCAACATGAATAATTCTTAAACACAATGTTGATCAATAAAAGCAAGATATGGCCAGGTGTGGTGGCTCGTGCCTATCATCTCAGAACTTTGGGAGGCCAAGGTGGGCAGATTACTTGAGGTTGGGAGTTCAAGACCAGCCAGGGCCAACATGGTGAAACCCCATTTCTACTAAAAATACAAAAATTCGCCAGATGTGGTGGCACGCACCTGTAGTCCCAGCTACTCAGGAGGCTGAGGAAGGAGAATCGCTTGAACCTGGGAGGCAGAGGTTGCGGTAAGCCAAGATCACGCCACTGCACGCCAGCCTGGGTAACAGAGCGAGACTCCATCTCAAAAAACAAACAAACAAACAAAAAAGACCTTCAGAATGGTACAGTGTGACATCAATTTTTTAAAATTGAAACACAAATCAATACTCTGTGTGTTTATGGATACATATGTAGGTTTTACAAGTATGAAAACAAACATAGGTCTGAAAAACATAATCCTGAATTTTATTTTTACCTCCAACGAAAAAGGGAAAACATCTAAAAATTAAACCCAGTGTCTTTTGGAGGCATGATACTCTAGAGCTAAGTTGTAGATTTTTTTCGTTATTTTAAATGGTATTTTAAGATGCGCAAAAAGAAGTACAGGTGATGATACAACAGACTTAGCTGATATTTATGACTCAGCGGTACACCTAAAATATTACAGGTTTATTGGAAGCCCTAATCCGATTTTCCTTTCTCCTTGACCGGATGGATTATCCTGCCTCTGTGAAGTGTAACTTTAAAGAGAAGGCGAATGAGCTTCTAGAGAGCTACCAAGACAGTCACTACTTCATCATCAGTAAAAGCTGTTTACTTCCGATGTGTAATAAACCCACGTGACCATTTGGGGGCGCCAGAGTCCAGCACAGGCCGGCCGAGCCCGCGTTCTTCCCGGGGAATGCAACAGCTGATTCACCTGCTCCACGCTGATTAATAATCAAACTACCATTGTGTGGGGCCTATCTTCCTACTGGACCTCAAAACCCACCTACTCCACAAGTTTATCTTCACAATTATGAGCTACCTGCTTCACGTCACACTACAGCACCTAAAAGCAAATAATAAAGTTTATTCTTGAGTTAACCTGCCTCTGTGTTCAGCCAATCCCTCCTGCACGTGAGTGATGCACCTGGATGCTGCATAAGGAGAGATGGAAATACCTAAGGTGTGGTCCTTACTTCCAAGGGGCTTATAGCAGAACGAAGACTCGAAAGCAAGCACACCCACAACCACAACACAGCCGCTGGCACACACAGCAGGAAAGACACCGGGTTTAATGGAGCAGAGAAAGGGGGCGTCATCTCCAGGCACAGCTCCATGAAGAAGATGACATTGACCTGGGAGCTCTGAGCCTTCATATAATGAGTAAGCTTTCAGCTGGAAGAAATCCCAAGTGGAGAAACAGGAAGCTATAAAAGAGCAATGGTTTTGGATTCACAAAACCTGCCTGAGTGAACCTGGGTAAGTTGCTTCCCCTTCTTGATCTCAGGAAGGGTTTTGCAGAGCTGGCAGCCACAGGCACAGGTGAGCAGATGGCTTGAGCTCAGAAGTGCAAGACTAGCCTGGGCTACATGGCAAAACCTGGTCTCTACAATCTGTAGAAGTTTTCCTTTCTAGCTACAAATTAATAAATGTTAATTTGAAAATAAAAATTAGAAAATCTAAGAAAATATAAAGAAGAAAATTAAATTACACCTAGTTCTGAAGAGGCGCAGTGGCTCACGCCTGCAATCCCAGCACTTAGGGAGGCCAAAGCGGGAGGACCGATTGAGACCAGGAGTTCCAGACCAGCCTGGGTAACATAGTGAGACTCCCTCCTCTACAAAAAATTAAAAAATTAGTCAGGTGTGGTGGTATGTGCCTACAGTCCTAGCTACTGGGGAGGCTGAGGTGGGAGAATCGCTTGAGTCCAGGAGTTTGAGGTTATAATGAGCTATGATTATGCCACTGCACTCCAGCCTGGGCAACAGAGCACGATTGTGTCTCAAAAAAATATATATATATGCTTAATCTTTTCACTTAGAAATATTTTCTTCTTATTTTTTCTATCAGCTCCTCCAATTTAATGTACAAAATGAGACTATACTGAATATACCTTTTATATCCTGTTATTTAACTTAACATTATATTGTGACTACTTTCTCGAATCAATGCATATAATTTTGTCTGGTTTTGCTTTCTTTTTCATCAAAGATGTACATGCACATAATCTAAGAATCAGTAGTTCAAGTCCCTCTTCTATCCTGCTCCCCAGATCAAAACTTGAAATATTTTAGTCAATTCCTTTGGGATTTACTTCCATGTCTTAAAATAACACCGTATTCATATTCTACTTACCAGCACGTGACTATCAGACATCACCTACTGACTTCTGACTCTGGAAATGGGGGTTTAGCCCTCTCCCCACCCCCATCACTCAGCCCCACCTTTTATTTTTCCTAGATTCAATGCTGGTCTTATTTTTTATTTGTTTGCTTTGCTTTCTCTGTACCTATCTCTGTTTTTTTTCCCAAATATTTCCTGAAGGTGTGAAACTCCACTCTGTATATTTAAGCACATTAGGCATTTTACTATGGCCACAAGTGGTGGCTCATGCCTGTAATCTTAGCACTTTGAGAGGTCCAGGTCAATGGCCTGAGCTCAGGAGTTTGAAACTAGCCTAGGCTACATGGTGAAATCTCGTCTCTATAAGAAACATAAAAAAATTAGCCGCAGGGTGCGGTGGCTCACGCCTGTAATCCTAAGACTTTGGGAGTCCATGGTGGGCGGATCATGAGGTTAGGAGATCGAGACCATCCTGGCTAACACGGTGAAACCCCGCTCTACTAAAAATACAAAAATTAGCCAGGCATGGTGGCACGGGCCTGTAGTCCCAGCTATTCAGGAGGCTGAGGCAGGAGAATCACTTTAACCCGGGAGGCGGAGGTTGCAGTGAGCTGAGATCACACCATTGCACTCCAGCCTGGGTGACAGAGCAAGACTCCATCTCAAATAAATAAATAAATAAATAAATAAATAAATAAATAAGCCACAGGCTGTGGTGGTGTGCAGCTGCAGTCCCAATTACTCAGGAGACTGAGGCAAAAGGATTGCTTGAGCCTGGGGATAGAGGCTGCAGTGAGCCATGTTGGCACCACTGCAAACTAGCCTGTGTGACAAAGCAAGAAAGTGAGACCCTGTCTCAAAAAGTAAAAAAGAAAAGTGCACTTTACCAGTATCATCTTCTTGGGCTATTTTTCCCAGCACCTTCTGACTGGCTCCCAAATGGCCAGGTTGCTGTCATCCTGGGATCTCCCTGCACCAGCACCCTGAGGATTTCCTTTTCTTCTCTCCTGTGTTGAGCCCTAGATTCCTGGGTCTCATGGCTTTCTCTTTCCTGGTTTACTCCTTCATTTTTATAGAACGCATCCTCAAGACTTCTGGAGGTGGATGCTCGGTAGTGAAAATTTTTGAAAACTTTCCATGTCTTTTAGTGGCTTTTGTTCTGCTTCTGCTTGATTGATGATCTGGTTAGGAATTGAATTCCAGGTAGGAAATCATTTTCCCATAAATCTTTTCAAGGCATTGCTCCATTGTCCTCCAGCTTTTCAGGCACTTTATAAGAACACAAATATAGGCCGGGCACGGTGGCTTACACCTGTAATCCCAGCACTTTGGGAGGCCAAGGCAGGCAGATCACCTGAGGTCAGGACTTTGAGACCAGCCTGGCAAACATGGTGAAACTCTATCTCTACTAATAATACAAAAATTAGCTGGGTATGGTGGCACATGCCTGTAATCCCAGCTACTCGGGAGGCTGAGGCAGGAGAATCACTTAAACCCCAGGAGGTGGTGGTTGCAGTGAGCCGAGATCACACCATTGCACTCCAGCCTGGGCAACAAGAGCAAAACTCTGTCTCAAAGAAAAAAAAAAAAGAACAGAAATATAACTCCCTTCTTTCCAAAGGATGCTATTTTGGTGGGGGGAAGCCCTCACCTTATATTCAAATAAATGCAAATTAAGAACACAGTGACATACCACTTTTCACCCACCAAAATGGCTAAAAGTAAACGAACTGATAATGCCAAGTGTTGCCAAGGATGTGGAACAACTGGGACATTCATATGCTGCTGATGGGAATGAAAAATGACACAACTATTTTGGAAAACATTTTGGCAGTTTCTTATAAAGTTCACATATACTTACTTCATGATCCAGCAATTTCACCTGTAGGTGTTTACCCAAGAGAAAATATGTATACTCATAAAGATTTGTCTGAAGAAGTTCTTGGCAGCTTTATTTATAATAACCCCCAAACTAGAAAGGACCCAAATATCCATCAACAGGAGAATGAATAAAGGAATTGTGGCATATCCATAGAATGGAATACCATTTGCTATGATCTAAATGTTTCTGTCCCGCAAAACTCATATGTTGAAATCTAACTATCCCTTATCTGGAATGCTTAGAAACAGAAGCATTTTGGATTTGGAATATTTGCATAATATTTACTGGCATCCCAAATCCAAAAAGCAGAAATCTGAAATGCTCCAATGACCATTTCCTTTGAGGGTCACATTGGTACTCAAAAAGCTTTTCAAAGCCCAGCGTGGTGGCTCACGCCTGTAATCCCAGCACTTTGGGAGGCCAAGGCAGGCGGATCACCTGAGGTCAGGAGTTCAAAATCAGCCTGGCCAACATGGTGAAACCCTGTCTCTACTAAAAATACAAAAATTAGTCGGGCGTGGTGGTGGTTGCCTGTAATCCTAGCTACTGGGGAGGCTGAGGCAGGAGAATCGCTTGAACCCAGGAGGAAGAGGCTGCAGTAACCTGAGATTGTGCCAGCCTGGGTGACAGTGAGACTCCGTCTAAAAAAAAAAAAACACATTTTGAATGATGGTGCTCAGCCTGTGTTAAGAGGTGGGGCCTGGCTGGGTGCGGTGGCTCACGCCTGTAATCCCAGCACTTTGGGAAGCCGAGGCAGGTGGATCACCTGAGGTCAGGGGTTCAAAACCAGCCTGGCCAACATGGTGAAACCCCATCTCTACTAAAAATACAAAATTAGCTGGGCGTGGTAGATGCCTGTAATCCCAGCTACTTGGGAGGTTCAGGCAGGAGAATCGTTTGAACCTGGGAGGCAAAGATTGCAGTGAGCCGAGATCACGCCATTGCACTCCAGCCTGGGCAACAACAGCAAAACTCCATCTCAAGAAAAAAAAGAAAAATACAAAATTGGCCTGGCATGGTGGTGCATGCCTGTAATCCCAGCTACTTGGGAGGCTGAGGCAGGAGAATCGCTTGAACCCAGGAGGTGGAGGTTGCAGTGAGCCGAGATGGCGCCATTGCACTCTAGCCTGAGCAACAAGAGCGAAATTCCATCTCAAAAAAATAAATAAATAAAAGAGATGGGGCCTTTAGGAAGTGATATGTTCATGAGGGTAAAGCCTCATGAAAGAATCAGGGCCCTTATAAAAGAGGACTGAGTGAGCCGTGATCCCGCCACTACACTCCAGTGTGGCCAACACAGGGAAACCCTATCTTTTTTTAAAAACTTTATTTTCAATTATCATTCTAGCATATTTTTTCTTTTTTTATTTTCAGTTGCCATTCTAGCACAGAGATCCTGTCTCAAAAAAAAAAAAAAAAGAGGCCTGAGAGAACGTGTTTATGTCTTTTCCCATGTGAAGACACAGCTAGAAAGCACCATCCTTGAAACTGAGAGCAAGCCCTCATCAGTCAGTGAATCTGCTGATGCCATGTTCTTGGAATTCCCAGCTTCCAGAACTGTGAGCAATAAATGTACATAGATTGCAAATTACCCAGTCTAAGGTATTTTGTTACAACAGCCCAAAAATACTAAGACAATATTCACCAATCAAAAGCAATTAAGTACTGACAGACGTAACAACATGGTAAATCTCAACGCATTATACCAAGCAAAAGAGGCTGGACACAATAGAGTGATTTCCTTCATCTAAAATAGGGAAAGGGCCGGGCGTGGTGGCTCGCCCCTGTAATCCTAGCACTTTGGGAGGTTGAGGCGGGTGGATCACCTGAGGTCAGGAGTTCGAGACCAGCCTGAACAACATGGTGAAACCCCATCTCTACTAAAAACATAAAAATGAGGCATACCTGGTGGCGGGCACCTGTAATCCCAGCTACTCAGGAAGCTGAGGCAGGAGAATCCCTAGAACCCGGGAGGCAGAGGTTGCAGTGAGCAGAGATCATGCCATTGCACTCCAGCCTGGGGAACAGAGCGAGACTCCCTCTCAAAAAAATAAATAAATAAAATAAAATAGGGAAAGGAAAATAGAAAAGGACAAACAACTTAATACAACAAAAAAGCAGGTCAGTGGTTTCCCAGTCCTGGGACCAAGGTGGGAGTGGTATGGATCATAAAGGGACGTGAGGAAAGTTCTGGGGTGGTGGAAATGTTCTATGTCCTGTTGTGTTGGTGGATACGTGGGTATAAATGTTTGTCACAACCCATCAAAGTGCTCACGTAAATATGAGTGTAGGCTGGGCGTGGTGGCTCACGCCTGTAATCCCAGCATTTTGGGAGGCCGAGGCAGGCAGATCACCTGAGGTTGGGAGTTAGAGACCACCCTGACCAACATGGAGAAATCCCCGTCTCCACTAAAAATACAAAATTAGCCGGGTGTGGTGGCGCATGCCTGTAATCCCAGCTACTTGGGAGACTGAGGCAGGAGAACACTTGAACTCGGAAGGTGGAGGTTGTGGTGAGCTGAGATCGCGCCATTGCACTCCAGCCTGGGCAACAAGAGTGAAACTCTGTCTCAAAAAAAAAAAAGTGTATTTTATTGTGTGTAAATTGCACTTCAATAAAGTTAATATTTTTATTTTTATTTACTTTATTATTATTATTTTGTTTTCAGACCGAGTTTCGCTCTTGTTACCCAGGCTGGAGTGCAATGGCGCAGTCTTGGCTCACTGCAACCTTCGCCTCCCAGGTTCAAGTGATTATCCTGCCTCAGCCTCCCAAGTAGCTGGGACTACAGGCGCCCGCCACCACGCCTGGCTAACTTTTGTATTTATAGTAGAGATGGGGTTTCACCATGTTGCCCAGGCTGGTCTCGAACTCCTGACCTCAGGTGATCTGCTCTCCTTGGCCTCCCAAAGTGCTGGCATTACAGGCGTGAGCCACCACGTCCAACCAAGTTAATATTTTTTAAATGAAGCACTAGTAAGAGGACTGCGATTCCATCCAAGGTCAGGGATTGTAGCAGCAGACTTCGCTTTAGGGAGACAGTGTGGGAAACCAGCAGTTTTGATTATCTCTTTTTAGGGCTTTCCATTTCACTAAAGAAGAGGGCTCCACTTTTTGGCATGGGGTGAAACATGGAAAAACCTGACTCTCTGGATTCTGGGCTTCAAGACAGGACAGAATGAGAGGAATCAGGAGTTACCGTCCAGGCCTTTCATTAGTCCTTCTCTTCACTGCATGACTGAATCCTGCCCTCTGGCTTTCCTAAGCCCCAGGCCACTCCAGCATTGTAGGAAGCAGCAGTTCCTTCTGAGCCACCCCTGTCCCTGGTCCCTGCACAGGCTACAGGCTGTGGCTTTTGGCACCCTCTTTTTCCATTCTCTCTCCTCTCTCCGCAGTCCTCCATCTAGTTGAACTCATGTAGGATCTCTGATGCTCCTCTTCCCCTGCCACCACAGTCCTGTTGTTTACCTTTTTAGGTTATAGTACCATCATTGTGGGTCAATCTGTTATAGGCACTAGCTTCCCAAAGTAAGAACGATCTTCTACTTTTTTTTTTGGCAGAGTTTCACTTTTGTTGCTCAGGCTGGAGTGCAATGGCTCGATCTCGGCTCACCACAACCTCTGCCTCCTGGGTTCAAGTGATTCTCCTGCCTCAGCCTCCTGAGTAGCTGGGATTACAAGCATGGGCCACCATGCCTGGCTAATTTTTTTGTATTTTTAGTAGAGATGGGGTTTCTCCATGTTGGTCAGACTGGTCTCGAACTGCCAACCTCAGGTGATCCGCCCACCTCGGCTTCCCAAAGTGCTGGGATTACAGGCGTGAGCCACTGCGCCCGGCCTACTTTTTTCATGTAAGTCTTTCTATTTATTTATTTATTTTTGAGACAGAGTTTCACTCTTGTTGCCCAGGCTGGAATGCAATGGCGCGATCTCGGCTCACCACAACCTCCACCTCCCGGGTTCAAGCAATTCTACTGCCTCAGCCTCCCGAGTAGCTGGGATTACAGGCATGCAGCACCACGTCTGGCTAATTTTGTATTTTTAGTAGAGATGGGGTTTCTCAATGTTGGTCAGGCTGGTCTTGAACTCCCGACCTCAGATGATCCACCCGCCTCGGCCTCCCAAAATGCTGGGATTACAGGCTTGAGCCACTGCATCTGGCCTAATTTTATTTTTATTTTTATTTTATTTATTTATTTACTTTGAGACAGAGTCTCGCTCTGTTGCCCAGGCTGGAGTGCAGTGACATGATCTCGGCTTACTGCAACCTCTGCCTCCCGGATCCAAGCAATTCTCCTGCCTCAGCCTCCCAAGTAGCTGGGATTACAGGCACATGCCACTGCGCCCAGCTAATTTTTGTATTTTTGGTAGAGATGGGGTTTCACCATGTTGGCCAGGCTGGTCTCGAACTCCTGACCTCAAGTGATCCACCTGCCTTGGCCTCCCAAAGTGTCGGGATTATAGGCATGAGCCACCGCGCACTGCCCTATTTTTATTTTATAAAGACAAGGTCTCATTATGTTGTCCAGGCTGGTCTTGAACTCCCAGGCTCAAACAATGTCCCCACCTTGGCCTCCTACAGTGCTGGGATTACAAGGGCGTGAGCCACCACACCTGGCCTGTATAAGTCTTTCCTGGGAACATGCATGTGGAAGGTATTCAAAAAACATTTGTTAGGGATAAAAGACTTTATGGTAAATTTTTAAAAAAGAGAGAGAGAAAGAAATATTTGTTGGGCCAGGCGCAGTGGTGTACACCTATAATCCCAGCACTATGGGAGGCTGAGGTGAGAAGATCTCTGAAGCCTGGGAGTTCGAGACCAACCTGGGCAACAGAGTGAGACTCTGTCTTTTTTTAAAAAAAAGAAATACTTGTGGAATCAATGAATGATGAATCTCAGACCTATTCTCATGTGTACTAAGAGAGAAATTATGAAGCTTTGGCCTGGCCGTACTCATCTTAATATCATCATTATTATTATTATTTTAGAGACGCAGTGTCACTGTGGCATGCAGTGGTGCGATCAGAGCTCACTGCAACCTCAAAATCCTAGACTCAAGGGAGTGTCTTCCCTCATTCCCCCCAAGTAGCTAAGGCTACAGGCGAGTGCCACCATTTTTGACTAGTTGATTTTTTATTTTACATTTTTAGTAGCGATGGAGATTCACTATGTTGCCCAAGCTGATGTCAAACTCCTGGCCTCAAGCAATCCTCCTGCCTTGGCCTCCCAAAATGCTGGGA
Organism: Homo sapiens; assembly: GCF_000001405.40. Classification (NCBI taxonomy): domain Eukaryota; kingdom Metazoa; phylum Chordata; class Mammalia; order Primates; family Hominidae; genus Homo; species Homo sapiens. The sequence continues at coordinate 62,073,625 of NC_000011.10, read as the reverse complement.
TTACAGGCATGAGCCACGGTGCCTGGCCAGTACTCACTTTAAAAGGGGATTGGAAACATACTAAATCTGAGTTTCTGTAATTAGTGACCGTTGTGAACATGGTATAAATTCTGCTTCTACTTTTAGAGCTGAATGAGTTTCTTTGACTGTAGACTGGAGATAAGACCTACCCTATTTTGGCATAGAAACAGTGAATGGGATAGGAGGAATAGAAAACATATCACCGAAGTGTTCACCATAAAAATGTTTTAGAGTGGCACTTCCAACAGTTTATTCCAGAGTAATATATGGCAGGAATTCTTTTTACTATTCTTTTTCTTCTGCTTATGAGATGAAGAGCAGTTCAACAAACAAAGCCTTCATGTCAGTAATTTTGTAGACACGCTCGGGGCTAGGTTTGTGGTAAAACCCTGAGAAGCTCCCAGTTTAGTTCAATTAAACGCTTTCTCCTTGAGAAGATGACCCTTTGTTGAAAGCTGCACTGAGTCAGCTTGTGGGTCTTTGAGACCCCAAAATTCATAGCTTCTCTAGGCCCTGGGGGCTGCACCAGGTGGCTTTGGGGTTGTTACCAGGCCACAAAATGAATATATTGAGTTACCCTGTCAACACTATGGGTGTTGTTTGGATTACCACGAGAAAAAGAGAAAGAAGGATAGTTGGGAGGCTCATGAACATTCAAAGAAGGCCAAACTCTACCACAAACAGTGCCATACTGAGAAAATACAGATTAAAAAGACAGTTCAAGGCCTGCACAGTGGCTCATGAGTAACCCCAGCACTTTGGGAGGCCAAGGCAGGAGGATTGCTTGAGCCCGAGTGTTTGAGACCAGCTTGGATGACAAAGTGAGACCCCATTTCAACCAAAAATTTAAAAATTAGCAGGATGTGCTGGTATGTGCCTGTGCTTCCAGCTAAAGGGGGGCCAAGGCCAGAGGATTGCTTGAGCCCAGGCCATTGAGGCTGGAGTGAGCCATGACTGCACCACTGCACTCCAGCCTGGGCAAGAGTGAGACCCTGCCTCCAAAAAATAAATGAATCAATAATAAAAATTTGCCAGTGTTTCAAATTGCATAGACATTAAAGGGCAAAATTATGGAATACAATCCTCAAATGGAGGGCAGCATCAAGGTCACTTGAATGATCACTGAAGGATTACAACGCCTGCAGCAACACTTTGATCAGTTAGAAAGAAAGAGACGGGCTGGGCGCGGTGGCTCATGCCTGTAATCCCAACACTTTGGGAGGCCGAGGCAGGCAGATCACCTGAGGTCAGGAGTTCAAGACCAGCCTGGCCAACATGGTGAAACCCCATCTCTATTAAAAATACAAAAATTAGCTGGGTGTGGTGGCGGGCGCCTGTAATCTCAGCTACTTGGGAGGCTGAGGCAGGAGAATTGCTTGGATCCGGGAGGCAGAGGTTGTGGTGAGCCGAGATTGTGCCATTGCACTCCAGCCTGGGCAACAAGAGCAAAATTCCATCTCAAAAAAAAAAAGAAAGAAAAAGAAGAAAAGGCTGGGCATGGTGGCTCATGCCGGTAATCCTAGCACTTTGGGAGGCCGAGGTAGGTGAATCACCTGAGGTCGGGGGTTCGAGACCAGCCTGACCAACATGGAGAAACCCCATCTCTATCAAAAATACAAAATCAGCCGGGCATGGTGGCGCATGCCTGTAATCCCAGCTACTCAGGAGGCTAAGGCAGGAGAATCGCTTGAACCTGGGAGGTGGAGGTTGCAGTGGGCCGAGATCACGCCATTGCACTCCAGCCTGGGCAACAAGAGCGAAACTCCATCTCAAAGAAAAAAAGAAAGAAAGAGACAATATCTTCAGATTACAATGTTCTTCCAAAAGATTTCAGCAAAAAAACCCTTCAACTATCAATTGATAGTTGATATCATTGATATCATCTGCTCCTGACATCCAACCATTGACATCATCATGGCCCGGTGATGCAGGATCACCTGAAGCAGATGATCCTCCTGATGTTTGTCAGAAGCTCAAGAGAAGCCCAACACTCATTACAATGCTATGCCACTCATCTCGTGCAGCTCACCACACTGCATCATCTCATCAGAGGGTGAGTACAGTACAGATATTTTGAGACAGATCACATTCACATCACTTTTATTATAGTAGTTTATTGTAGTCTGTTGTTATCATTGTTCTTTATTTTTATATTTTAGAGATGGTGTCTCGCTTTATTGCCCAGGCTGGTCTTGAACTTCTGGACTCAAGAAATCCTCCTGCCTCAGCCTCCCAAAGTGCTGGGATTACAGGTGTGAGCCACCACGCCCAGCCCAATAGTTCTATTTTATTATTAATGTTGCTAATCTCTTATTATGCTTAATTTATAAATTAAACTTTTTATTGGTGTGCATGCATAGTATATATGGGGTTCAGGACTATCCACGATGTCACATATCCACTGAGGGTCTTGGAATGTACCCACTGTTGATAAGTTGGGGGACTACTGAATATGATTCCTCCTCTTACCTGTAGGATGGCCCATGCAGTTTCGTCCCAGAGGATTATGAAATGAAACTGTTTATTACATTGGTGCAAAAGTAATTGAGGTTTTTGCTGTTAAAAATAATGGCAAAATTACTTTTTTTTTTTTTTTTTGAGACAGATCTCACTCTATCACCCAGGCAGGAGTGCAGTGGTGTGATCTCAGCTCACTGCAACCTCCACCTCCTGGGTTCAAGCGATTCTCCTGTCTCAGCCTCCTGAGTAGCTGGGACTACAGGCACATACCACCATGTCCGGTTAATTTTTGTATTTTTTAGTAGAGACAGGGTTTCACCACATTGGCCAGGCTGGTCTTGAATTCCTGACCTCAGGTGATCCACCCGCTTCAGCCTCCTGAAGTGCTGGGATTACAGGTGTGAGCCACCGTGCCCGGCAGGCAAAATTACTTTTAATGGCAAAAACCGCAATTACTTTTGCACCAACCTAATACCAGCTAGACACCCGCATGGCCTCAATTCTAAATTAAACTATAGAAGAAATTGTTAGCAGCTACACACATCACTCAGTGGAGCCCAATCTTGGGGATAGGCAGTGGGAGAGAGAGGGAGTAGCATTCTTAGTCTGTATTGCAAAGCTGTAGGTTCTCCCTCGGTAGCCCTAGGGTTAATGTAGGCATTAAAGACCTCTCTAAAGGCAACAGTGAAAAGCCAGGGTCTCTGCACACCATAGCCACCCCTACACACACCCCCACCCCCACCACCTCCGCACTCCTCCCGACCTCTCTGCAGAGCTCTGCAGTCAGGCCTCCTAGGATTTCAGCTGGAAACATCAGGCACTCTGTCTATCCTTCAGTCGACCTTTCCTATCCGTAACTGATTTCCCCATGTGGACCAGAGGGAGCAAAGCTTTAGGTTAGTGTCAAAAGGATTTTTAACCCTTACTGCACTCAGAATTCTCTTGTGTGTGTGCATGGAGGCGGCAGGAAGCATAGAGTGTCAGGGCCTCGGTCCTCATTAAGGTCCAGATGAAATTGATCATCCGGCACCATGCCAGGATTTCTCCTAGGTTCTGCTGAGGCAGAAGCAAAAGGAAAATAAAATAGGATGTCATGTTCCCCAGCCCCAGGAGCCAACTGGAAACAATTGGAGGAAATCGCAGCCCCCATCAGAGGTGGTCTTTATGGACAGGAACACTGGCTCGCAAGAAACTTTGCACACTCTTCTCTCAACAGAATCTGACGAATACTCAGATTGTTCAATACATGTGCATAAACCCAGAAAATCTCTGGAAATAGATCGTGGTGATGGTTACACAACATTATGAATGCACTTAATGCCATGGAACGGTACACTTTAAAATGGTTAAAATGGTAAATTTTGTGTGACATGTATTTTACCAGAATTAAAGCAGTGACAACAGAAACTTATTTGCTGGCTTCTGAAACCTAAGACTCATTCTGGAGTCTCTTCTTTACTCACCCCACACGACCAATCTGTCAGGGCCTCTTGTCACCTCCACCTCCAGAACTCGTCGGGAATCCATCCCTCCACCTCTGCGGCCATGCCCTGGTCCAAGCTACCATCGCCACCTCTGGGTACTGCAGCAGTGACCTCCTCCTAACTCATTTCCCTGCTTCGACTCTGGCCCTCTGCAGCCCATGTTTCCCTCAGCAGCCAGAGTGAGCTTTTAAGCACATGACTGAGATCATAGTGTTCCCCTGCTTAAAACCTAATGGATCGGCCGGGGGCTGTGGCTCAAGCCTGTAATCCCAGCACTTTGAGAGGCCGAGGTGGGCAGATCACAAGGTCAAGAGTTCGAGACCAGCCTGGCCAACATGGTGAAACCCTGTCTCTACTAAAAATACAAAAATTAGCCGGGCGTGGTAGTGCGCACCTGTAATCCCAGCTACTCAGGAGGCTGAGGCAGGAGAATCGCTTGAACCCAGGAGGTGGAGATTGCAGTGAGCCAAGATTGTGCCACTGCACTCTAGCCTGGCAACAGAGCAAGACTCCCAACAGCAATAACAACAACAACAACAACAAAAAACCTAATGGATTCCCCTGGCCCCTGGAATAAAAGCCCAGCTTCCTTGCTGGCCTCCAGGCCCCATGTGATCTGGCTCAGTCAGCCTCTCCAACCCCAAATCCAGCCCCTCTCTTTCTGACTCACCATGTTTTAGATATTTGCACCATCTTTCTGTTCTTTGAATGTGCTCAGCTCACTCCTACCTCGGGGCCTTTGCTCCTACTGTTTCTTCTGCCAGAAATGCTTGTCCCAGGTCTCCGCATGGCTGTCTCCTTGTTGGCACTCAGCCCTCGGCTTAAATGTCACCTCTACACAGAGGCCTTTTCCTCTAGGTTGCAGTAGCCCCCCAGTCACACCATCACTCATCCCTGCTGCATTTCCTTGCAGCCCTTATCCTAAATATTTCCTTGTCTATTTGTCTAATAACGTATTGTCCATCTCCTCCCCCTAGAATAAAAACTGCACAAAAGGCCAGGCACAGTGGCTCACGCCTATAATCCCAACACTTTGGGAGTCCAAGGCAGGAGGATCACTTGAGGTCAGAGGTTCAAGACCAGCCCTGGCCAACATGGTGAAACCTTATTTCTACTAAAAATACAAAAAAAATAGCTTGGCATGGTGGCAGGCACCTGTAATCCCAGCTACTTGGGAGGCTGAAGCAGAAGAATCACTTGAACCTGGGAGGTGGAGGTTGCAATGAGCCAAGATCACGCCACTGCACTCCAGCCTGGGCAATAGAGTGAGGCTTCATCTTAAAACAAAACAAAACAAAACAAATAAAACAGCCAGGCACAGTGGCTCACATCCCACTACTTTGGGAGGCTGAAGCAGGCGGATCACCTGAGGTCAGGAGCTTGAGACCAGCCTGGCCAACATGGCAAAACCTCATCTCTACTAAAAATATTAAAAAATTAGCTGGGCGTGGTGGCATGTGCCTGTAATTCCAGCTACTTGGGAGGCTGAGACAGGAGAATCACTTGAACCCAAGAGGCGGAGATCGCACCACTGCACTTCAGCCTGGGTGATGGAGCAAGACTCTGTCTCGAAAAAACAAAAGACAAAACAAAACAAAAAAACTGCATGAAGAGCAGGAACCTGCATTGCTGTGTCTCTAGCACCTAGAATAGTCCCTGGCACATAATGGGCACAAGTATTATTGAGTGAATGGGTGACAAATCAAAGCACATTTCCCGGTCAGGCGCAGTGGCTCACGCCTGTGAACTCCCAGCCCTTTGGGAGTCCGAGGTAGAAGAATCCCTTGAGCTCAGGAGTTCGAGACCAGCCTGGGCAATAGAGTGAGACCCCGTCTCTAAAAAATATATATATATATAATGAAGAAAAATTTTAAAAAGTGCATTCCCTAAACATCAGGAATATCACATGTAGTAAGTTGAATGGTCGTCCCCAACAAGATATGTCCATGCCCCAGAATCTGTAAATCTGCCCTTATTTGGGAAAACAGTCTCTACAGATACAATAAAGTTGTCCTGGATTACCCTGGGGGGCCCTCTTGATGAGGAGAAGACACAGAGACACAAAGGAGAAGGCCAAGGTGAAGACAGGGGCGGCGATTGGAGCAATGCTCCCACAAGCCAAGGAATGCCTGTGGCCACCAGAATCTAAGAAGGCAAGGAGAGATCTTCCCCTGGAGCTGCAGGCAGGAACATGGCCTTGACCCACACCTTGATTTCAGATTTTGGGCTTCGACAATCTCTATTGCTTTAAGCCACCACCTTTGTGGTACTTTGCTACCACAGCCCTAGGAAACTAACACATGACTCAAGGGTCAAGGATGCAAGATCTTGCCCCCAGCATCTTTGATCTTTCATTATATTCTTCCCTGATTCTCGGTTCCAAGCCCAGGGGTACAGTCCTGTGACCTCTACAGTGAAAAATCAATCACTTTGTCCAGCCTTTGTTTTATCTACCTGGTATAGGTCGCATTGTGTCCCCTCAAAAGATATATTCAAGTCCTAACCCCAGTCCCTGTGAACATGATTTTATTTAAAAATAAGATCTTTTCTGGCTGGGCGCGGTGGCTCACGCCTGTAATCCCAGCACTTTGGGAGGCCAAGGCGGGTGGATCACAAGGTCAAGAGATTGAGACCATCCTGGCCAACATGATGAAACCCCGTCTCTATTAAAAGTATAAAAATTAGCTGGGCGTGGTGGCGGGTGCCTGTAGTCCCAGCTACTCGGGAGGCTGAGGCAGGAGAATCGCTTGAACCCAGGAGGTGGAGGTTGCAGTGAGCCGAGATCATGCCATTGCACTCCAGCCTGGGCGACAGAGCGAGATGCTGTCTCAAAAAATATAAAAATTAAAAAAAATAAGATCTTTTCTTTCCTTTTATGTTTTAGTTTTTTTTGAGACAGGGACTCACTCTGTCGCCCAGGCTGGAGTGCAGTGGCGAAACCTTGGCTCACTGCACTCTCCATCTCCCAGATTCAAGAGATCCTCCTGCTCCAGCTTCCCAAGTAGCTGCAACTATAGGCACGCACCACCACTCCTGGCTAATTTTTGTATTATTTTGTAGAGACAGACTTTCGCCATGTTGCCCACGCTGGTCTCGAACTCCTGGGCTCAAATGATCCTGCCACCTTGGCTTCCCGTAGTGTTGGGATTACAGGCATGAGCCACCACGCCCAGCCTGGAAATGTGATCTTTTTTAGCTGAGTTAAAATAAAAAAAGAAATAGGATCTTTACAGATGTAACCAAGTAAAAATAAGGTAATACTGGATTCAGGTGGGCTATAACTTCTTCTTTGTAAGAAGAGAGAAATTTGGTCACAGAGGCAGAGACACACACAGAAAGAACACAGCCATGTAAGATGAAGACAGAATCAGGGTGATGCAGTTACAAAGCCAAGGAATGGTATGGATAGCTGGCAACAACCAACAGCTGAAGACTCCTAATTGAGGAAGGAGTCTTGCCTGGAAATTTTGGACTTTTCACCTTCAAAGCTATGAGAGAATAAATCTGTGCTGTTTTGTTTGTTTGTTTGTTTGTTTGTTTGTTTTGAGATGAAGTTTTGCTCTTGTTGCCCAGGCTGGAGTGCAGTGGCGCAATCTCAGCTCACCACAACCTGTGCCTCCCAGGTTCAAGCAATTCTCCTGCCTCAGCCTCCCGAGTAGTTCAGATTACAGGCACCCGCCACCATGCCCAGCTAATTTTTGTATTTTTAGTAGAGACGGGGTTTCTCCGTGTTGGTCAGGCTGGTCTCGATCTCCCAACCTCAGGTGATCCACCCACCTCGGCCTCCCAAAGTGCTGGGATTACAGGTGTGAGCCACCACGCCCGGCCTAAATCTCTGCTGTTTTAAGCCACCCAGCTTGTGGCACTTTGTGACGGCACCCAGAGGACACTAATACAGTCCCTAAATATACCTTCCTTTGAACTCCTCTGGCATGCATCAACTGTGTGTGCAGTTGGATGCTGAACTAACCATAGAGACCAGCATGTATCTTCCATGTGCTTCTCACATTCCCACCACCAGCTCACTAAGGGCTGGATGTTGTCGTTTGGTGTCTTGGCATCACCCACAACAGTTTGTGGAGTGCTGGTGTGAGAGAAGTCCCCTTGTAAGTTGAAATTGAATGAAGAATGGAAATATCAACAGATCAACTGCTAGATAGGGGCTACAAGGCAATGACTCAGATTCATGATAGATCTAGGGGTCTTTGCTGCCTGTGAAAGCCCTGAGTTGATACAGATTTGGGTTTAATTTCGGCCTTCTCCATACTTTATCTTTATCCCTCAAATTCAGGCTTTAGCTGCTGTTCTCCAATTCCTCCAAGGCTGGACACTGTGGAAAGAGTTTTTAAGGCTTCTTCTCTGCCTGATACTTCTGGTCTGAGTGCTGGTGAGGGAGGCACCAAGATGGAGGGACGTTAAAGGGCTTTGTCCTTGATCCTCTCTTCATTTGCTCCATCGGTAGGTGGGTATCCAAGTCTGGTGGTGTTCATCAGGGCCTTCCCAGGCAAAGGAGGAAGGAACATTGGAAGAGAAGATCAAGGGGGAGAAATAGCCCACAAGAAAGCAGAAGAAATAGGCTGGGCGCTGTGGCTCATGCCTGTAATCCCAGCACTTTGGGAGGCCGAGGTGGGTGGATCTTCTGAGGTTGGGAGTTTGAGACCAGCTTGACCAACATGGAGAAACCCCATCTCTACTAAAAATACAAAATTAGCCAGGCGTGGTGGCAGGTGCCTGTAATCCCAGGTACTCCGGAGGCTGAGGAGGAGAATCACTTGAACCCAGAAGGCAGAGGTTGTGGTGAGCCAAGACCAGGCCATTGCACTCCAGCCTGGGCAACAAGAGTGAAACTCAAAAAAAAAAAAAAAAAAAAAAAAAGGAAAAAAGATAGCAGAAGAAATAGAAAGCTCCAGGGAAAAGTGAAAACTTCAGAGCTGGTTAGTTGGTGTGACATTATGATACATATGTATTGGTTCTCACCCATGGTTTCTGGCTCATAACTCCCATAGCCCTTGTCATAGTCTTTTGTGATAATATTGGGGTGTTTTAGGCCTCTGACCCAGCCTCAGAAAACAGAATCTCTCTCCCTGACCTTCTCCTGCCCTCCTTTTACCTGCTCCTTTTTCTCCCCAAGGCAGTAATCATTTTCCTGCCTTTTTGTCTAGGAGCTAGCCCTAAAGAAATTCCCCAACCTACCTCGCCTAATTGTAGGTTACAAGACAACCATTCCAGACAAGATCCTGCCCCATACCCTGGAGGAAGGACAGCTGCACAGAGAGGTCAAGAAGAATCTAGATAGACAGGCCTTGCTGGCATTCCTGAGTCAGTCCATTAGCCTTTGATCAATCCCTTTTGGTTCAATCACATTTCTGCATGGCTGTCCATGCTTCAATCATGTCTAACCAATGAAGTCTCCATAAAAAGCCAAGGAGGGGCCAGGCGTGGTGGCTCACACCTGTGCTTCCAACACTTTGGGAGGCCAAGGCGAACAGATTGCCTGAGGTCAGGAGTTCAAGACCAGCCTGACCAACATGGTGAAACCCCGTCTCTACAAAAAATACAAAAATTAGCTGGGTGTGGTGGTGGGCTATCTGTAATCCCAGCTACTTGGGAGGCTGAGGCAGGAGAATAGCTTGAACCCGGGAGGTGGAGGTTTCAGTGAGCTGAGGCTGGGCCATTGCACTCCAGCCTGGGCAACAAGAGCCAAACTCCATCTCAAAAAAAAAAAAAAAAAAAAGCCCAGGAGGATGGAGTATGAAGAGCTTCCAGACAGCTGAACACAGAAAGGTTCTTGGAGTGTGATTTGCCTGGGGAGGGCGTGGAAGCTCCATTCTCCTCCCCCATACCTTTTTGTTTGTTTGTTTGTTTTGAGATGGAGTCTTGCTTTGTTGCCCAGGCTGGAGTACAGTGGCACCATCTCGGCTCACTGCAACCTCCACCTCCCAGGTTCAAGCGATTCTCCTGCCTCAGCCTCCCGAGTAGCCGGGACTCCAGGCGTGTGCCACCATGCCCAGCTAATTTTTAAATTTTTTTAGTAGAGATGGGGTTTCACCATGTTGGCCAGGCTGGTCTCAAACTCCTGACCTTGTGCTCTGCCCACCTCAACCTCCCAAGGTGCTGGGATTACAGGTGTGAGCCACCACACTCAGCACCCCCATATCTCTTTTTATGCACCTCTTCATCTGTATCCTTCGTCATATCTTCTATAATAAACTGGTAAACATCAGTATTTCCCTGAATCCTGTAAGTTGCTCTAGCAAATTAATTGAGCCTAAAGAGGGGGCCGTGGGAACCCTTGAAGCTGGTCAGTCAACAGTTCTTTTTTTCACAGTTTTGGAGGCTGGGAAGTCCAAGATCAAGGTGCCTGCAGATTTGGTATCTGGGGAGGGCCTGCTTTCTGGTTCACAGACGGCATCTTCTAGAGTGAGGGGTCTCTTTAGGGCCTCGAAGGATACTCATCCCATGCATGAGAGCTCTGCTGTCATGACTTAATCACTTCCCAACGGCCCTGCCTCCTAATACCATCATCTTGGGGTTAGGTCTCAGCATATAAATTTTGGGGAGATACAAACATTTAGACCATAGCACCTTCCCTTTCCTTCATATTAAGATACAAAGTCCATTTGCTAGGCATTAACACCAGAGGAACTGCACCTTACACATGGATCAGCAAGGACTGAGAGATGATTACAGGACCCCTGCAACCATCATGACCTGTGATGGTTGCCGGGCATGGTGATTCATGCCTGTAATCCCAGCACTTTGGGAGGCCAAGACGGGTAGATCACCTGAGGTCAGGAGTTCAAGACCAGCATGACCAACATGGTGAAACCCAGTCTTCTCTAAAAAATACAAAATTAGCTGGGCATGGTGGTACATGCCTGTAATCCCAGCTACTTAATTCTTTCAATAAGTCAGTCAAGATGAGGTTGTTAATTGACTGGAGCCAGAAATGTCTAAGCCTTCCCCTAGGAAGAGGGAGGGAGGGCAAGGTGCTTAGTTCATACCAAGAAAGCAATGGATGACATCATCTTAAAACATGGCCTGCTTCTCCTGGGACTGTTTTGAGGTTCAAATATGATGACAAAATTCTTCAAATCCCTTTGACAGTGAAAGCCTGGGCCCAGGGCTAGTGGTGTTTTTGTGTATTTCATTGGTACAAACAGAAGTAGAGGAAATAGCTCATTCTCACACCCTGTTGGAGGCATTGCTGGGACTAGAACCTGGGCCCTGAGCCCCAGCCTGGGGTAAAGTATGTCTGGCTATGCGCCTAATTGCATCACGCATCTTGAGATGCAACTGGTGTCTAAAGCGAGGGGGGCAGTCCTGAGGCACTGAGCTCTAAACCTGGGAGATCTGATGCTATTTCTGGGTAGGTGGTGTCAGAATTAAACTGGAGGACGCTCAGCTGGTGTCCATGGCAAAATTGATTGATTGCTTGGCATGTGGGGAAAAAAACCCACACATTTGGTCACAGAAGTCTTCTGTCTTTATTGTGTAGTGTGAGAGCAGAGGAAAATCAGTTGGTTTTTTTTTCCACTCACAAAGTGGCTCTGGACAAATCAGACTGTGCTCTGGCCTTGGGGACATCCAATGAAGAGGGAATCAGTATGTGAGGAGTTAGGAAAACCAGCCACATTAGAGAACAGTGGACGCTTGTCTTTTCGGAATGCCACAGCTGTTTTTCTTTCTTTTTTGACTGTGGGTTTTTCCATTTTATCTTTCCTGCACAGGCTTCTCTGGGGATCTTTGTGCTCCTTTGCAACAAGGTTCTTGCCTTGTTGGAGAGCAGGGACTCTATAAATGTTCCGCGGGACTTAGGATCCCTCCCCAGAGAAGGCAGTGGGAGGCCTCCTTGCTCCTACCTCTGCCTGTTTTCAGGATGAGCGTAGACACAGACTGACTTTTCTGCAGCAGAACGGCGGAGGCCAAGTGGCTAAGTGGACGCCACCATAGGGGGAGGCCAGTGGGAGGCCTCTCTAGTTTCCATTTCTCGCCTCTTTTTTTAAAATGCATTTTCCCTCTTCTCTTTCCAAATGCAGAAAGGAGTAAATGTGAAGCAAGCAGTGCAGATAAAGAGAGAAAAATAGCAAAGAGAGATAGGAAGGTGGCGCTCGTGGGATAAAAATGTAAAGCTTACCTGCTCATCAGGTAAAAAGTGCATACATGAAATTTTGGAGAGAAGTTTTATCCAACTCATGCAAGGAAGATCTGTTCAGCAAGCAAATTGGGGCTGCTAAGGCCTTCTAGAGAGTTAATAAGACCAGGTGCAGTGGCTCACACCTGTAATCCCAGCACTTTGGGAGGTCAAGGCAGGCGGATCACCTGAGGTCAGGAGTTCAAGACCAGCCTGGCAAACATACGAAAACCCCCCTCTCTACTGAAAATACAAAAATTAGCCAGGCGTGGTGTCTTATGCCTGTAATCCCAGCACTTTGGGAGGCCAAGGCAGGAGGATCGCTTGAGCCCAGGAGTTCAAGGTTACAGTGAGCTATGATTGCCCCACTGCTCTCCAGCCTGAGCAACAGAGAGACCCTGTCTCAAAAAAAAAAAAAAAAAAAAAGGAGCCGAGTGTGGTGGTGCATGCCTGTAATCCCAGGTACTTGGGAGACTGAGGCACAAGAATCACTTGAACCCGGGAGGCGAAGGTTGCAGTGAGCCAAGATTGCACCACTGCACTCCAGCCTTGGAGACACAGTGAGACTCCATCTCAAATAAAGAGAGATGGCTGGGCGCGGTGGCTCACACCTGTAATCTCAGCACTTTGGGAGGCTGAGGTGGGCGGATCACCTGAGGTTGGGAGTTTACGACCAGGCTGACCAACATGGAGAAACCCCGTCTCTACTAAAAATACAAAATTAGCCAGGCGTGGTGGCGCACACCTGTAATCCCAGCTACTTGGGAGGCTGAGGCAGGAGGAATTGCTTGAACACGGGAGGCGGAGGTTGTGGTGAGTGGAGATCGTGTCATTGCACTCCAGCCTGGGCAACAATAGTGAAACTCTGTCTCAAAAAAAAAAAAAAGTTAAGACTGAGGTTGGACCCCTTCTTTAGGGATAGATTTCCTTAAACTCCAGCTATGGGGATGGTAAGTAGCCACTGAAGATGAAGGACTTGAAAAAGAAAGGTTTCCACCTGTCCCAGAAGGTATAATCTCAGAAGTAAAAAGGAAATATGTACACTTGGAGACACACACACACACACACACACACATACACTCAGTCACTTTGCTTTAGAATAACTCTGTCCAGGCCTTGACTTAGGTTAGGTTCTAAACGGGTCAGAATTGTGACAAAGGCAGGATGGGAGAGCAGAAAGAGAGGTGGCCTTTGTGTGGCAGCACTGGGACTAGACCCAAGGGATATTTTTCTCTTCTTTTCAAGATGGCGTTTCGCTCTTGTTGCACAGGCTAGAGTGCAATGGCACAATCTCGGCTTACTGCAACCTCTGCCTCCCAGGTTCAAGCAATTCTCCTGCCTCAGCCTCCTGAGTAGCTGGGATTGCAGGCACCCACCACCATACCTGGTTAATTTTTGTATTTTTAGTAGAGACTGGGTTTCACCACGTTGGCCAGGCTGGTCTCGATCTCCTGACCTCAAGCGATCCACCCACCTTGGCCTCCCAAAGTGCTGGGATTACAGGCGTGAGCCACAACGCCCGGCCCTTTCTTTTCTTTTTTTAAAAGACACAGTCTTGTTCTGTCACCCAGGCTGGATTGCAGTGGTGCCATCATGGCTCACTGCAGCCTCAACCTCCTGGGCTCAAGCAATCCTCCTGACTCGGTATCCCGAGTAGCTGGGACTACAGGCACGCACCACCACACTCGGCTAATTTTTAAATTTTTTTTGTAGAGACGGGGTCTTGCCATGTTGCCCAGGCTGGTCTCAAATTCATGAGCTCAAGCAATCCTCCCACCTTGGCCTCTCGAAGTGCTGGGATTACAGGCAAGGACCACTATGCCCAGCTCTGCCCCCAGGGTACATTTTAAAGAACTGTTTTATTGTCAAATAAAAGCCACAGTACAGGTCGGGCACGGTGGCTCACGCCTGTAATTCTAGCACTTTGGGAGGCTGAGGGGGGCGGATCACTTGAGGTCAGGAGTTCAAGACCAGTTTGGCCAACATGGTGAAACCCCATCTCTACTAAAAATACGAAAAAAAAAAAAATTAGGAGTAGTGGTGCACACCTGTAGTCCCAGTTACTTGGGAGGCTGAGGCACGAAAATCGCTTGAATCCAGGAGGCGGAGGTTGCAGTAGGCTGAGATAGCGCCACTGCACTCCAGCCTGGGTGACAGAGACTCTGTCTCAAAGACAGGAAAACAAACCACAAGTACTACACACATACACAAATAATATACACTTAAAAAAAAAAGAAACCACACAGGTAAAACCCACACTGAACAAATATATGGCCTTAATACATTATTATAAGGTGAATACTTTTGTAACCACTACCCAGGTCTAAAAATAGAACTTTCCAATTTCCAACCAAAAACCTTCCCCACCAACACCAGTCCTGTCCTGACATTTTTTTTTTTTTTTTTTGGAAACGGAGTCTCGCTCTTTCACAAGGCTCGAGTGCAGTGGTGCGATCTTGGCTCACTGCAACCTCTGACACCCTGGTTCAGGTGATTATCCTGCCTCAGCCTCCCGAGTAGCTGGGATTACAGGCACGTGCCACCACGCACAGCTAATTTGTGTATTTTTAGTAGACACGGGGTTTCACCATGTTGGCCAGGATGGTCTCGAACTCCTGACCTCGTGATCTGCCTGCCTCAGCCTCCCAAAGTGCTGGGATTACAGGCCTGAGCCACCGCGCCTGGCTCCCTGTCCTGACTTTTATGAGAATCACAAACTTGAGTTTTTGATAGTCTGGCCACACAGGTGTACATCACTAAACTCTGTAGTCTTGCTCATTGTTTAACTGGAGATGACTGTTTGGCCTCTTTAATTTCTGGAGGATCTGTTCCTTCCCTACAGTTTCTCTAGGGCAGAGCCCAATAACAGATTCTCCAGAAACTGTTGACCTGCAGTTTCCCACAATCTGGATTTGGCCGGTCGCACCCTCGCGGTTCGGTTCAACACAGGCTTCACTTTCTGATTTCCCACCAATTGGCAGCTGGGTCAGAGCCTGGATGAGACCCAGGTCCAAGTGGGGGAGGCAAACAGTGATAGCAGCCACTCTGAGTGGGCTCAAGGACCAAGCTCAGCAGGGCGGGGGGATGAGAGAAAGACAGGGCAGAGGTGGGAGAGCAGATGCCTCGAGGCCGGATCAGACCCAGCAGCGGCTGCATCTCAGAGTTGGGATAGTGAAATGCACCTCTCTGTGCCGGCCCCATGTGTCCTGACAGAGGCTCAGGGACTGAAGCAGGCCCAGTGCAGGTGGAGCAATGGCAGCGAGACTCTGGAGCACGTGTCGCCCACACCGTGCTAAGACAAATGCTTTACATGCATTATCTCATATAATCCTTATTAAATTCCTCTTATCCCCACTTTACAGAGGAGGAAACTGAAGTATATGGAGTTTCAGCAACTTGACCATGGCCTCACTGAGATAAAGAATAAAACAGGGCCGGGTGCAGTGGCTCACACCTGTAATCCCAGTACTTTGGAAGGCCGAGGCGGGTGGATCACTTGAGGTCAGGAGTTGGGGACCAGCCTGGACAACATGGTGACCCCCGTCTCTACTAAAAATACAAAAATTAGCTGGACATGGTGGTGCGTAACTGTAGTCACAGCTACTTGGGAGGCTGAGACACGAGAATCACTTGAATCTGGGAGGCAGAGGTTGCAGTGAGCCGAGGTCACACCACTGCACTCCAGCCTGGGTGACAGAGTAAGAGTCCGTCTCAAAAACAACAGTGAAAACAATGTACTGCAAAGACAGATGGGGAATTTAAGCAAAGCCAGGACTGGTAGCCAGTGGCCACTGCCAGGTGTCCACGCTTGAGCCTTCTCTGCAGCCAGCTGGGAAGTACCACTCCAGAGGGCCAGGCTCCTGGAGGATGACTACATGCCTTCTGGGCAGTGGATTTGGGATGATACAATCCCTGACTTCATGAAACTTACAAGCAGGGGGCACTCCATGGGGTCTCAGATCTACATATGAGGTCCCAGATCAAAATGTAGCCTCAGGGCTACAGTTCAGTGACCTCTCACTACTGCTACATTTATTTTTCCCCTCCACTAAATTTATATGGGCTTGTTTCCTTAAGAAAGAGGAGAGTTTTTTTTTGAGGTATTTTAATAAAATGATCAAATACATGGGTTCAGATGGCCCCTCCATGATTACTGGTTGTATGGTATAAAATACCTCCGTCAACCTCTATGAGCCTTGGTTTCTTCATCTCTAAAATTAGAAATGATAGGCCCTACTCTCAGGGGAACGGTGAGGATTAAATAAAGCACTAAGGACAGCACCCTGCAAGCAGTCAATGTCAGCAAAACTTCAGTAAGCAGGTCAATAGCTTCTTTCCTTAGGGAGTATTCATGAGAAGGTCATTTTCCCTTGACCTTCTTAGTCTGTTCAGACTACCATAACAAAACACCATAGACTGGGTGGCTTGTAAACAATACAAATTTATTTCTGGCAGGGCATGGTGGCTCACACCTATAATCCCAGCAGTTTGAGAGGCCGAGATTGGAGGATGGCTTGAGCCCAGGACCTTGAGCCTCAAGACCAGCCTGGGCAACACAGGGAGACCCTGACTCTACAAAAATTTTTTTTTAAAAAAATTAACCAGACATGGTGGCACACAATTGTAGTCCCACCTACTTGGGAGGCTGAGGTGAAAGGACTGCTTGAACCTGAAAGGTTGAGGCTGCTGTGAGCTATGATCGCACCACTGCACTCAAGCCTGGGTGACAGAATAAGACCCCATCTCATATATATATATATATATATTTTTTTTTTTTTCTTTCTTTTTTTCACAGTTTTGGAGGCTGGGAAGTCCAAGATCAAGGTGCCTGCAGATTTGGTATCTGGGGAGGGCCTGCTTTCTGGTTCACAGACGGCATCTTCTAGAGTGAGGGGTCTCTTTAGGGCCTCGAAGGACACTTATCCCATGCATGAGAGCACATTAAGTCTGCTCTCATGACTTAATCACTTCCCAATGGCCCTGCCTCCTGATACCATCACCTTGGGGGTTAGGTGGGGAGACACAAACATTTAGACCATAGCACCTTCCCTTTCCTTCATATTAAGATACAAAGTCCATTTGCTAGACATTAACACCAGAGGAACTGCACCTTATACATGGATTAGCAAGGACTGAGAGATGATTACAGGACCCCTGCAACCATCCTGACCTGTTGGGAGCCAAAAAGACCAAAGGGATCATGACCAACTCAGCATTCCACTGGAGGCTATATGATCAAACAGCAAACTGTTTATCATGAATGCAGGATGTGAGCGAACTCACGACTGTGCCTGCCTCCAGGAGGCTTGCTGAGGGTCATCACTCCCTGGCGCTGGGCTCCTTGAAGTTATCTGCTGGGAAATCTAGCACCTATTGTTCCAAGGATGCAGTCTTGCAAGCCTGCTGTGAATCAAACTGCCGGCGGACAACCACTCCCCCTCCTTCTTGTTATCTCTTTTACCAATAAATATGGAGGGCTGTGTAAAGCTGGGGCCCCTTGTCCACTAGAGGCAAAGTGCCCCTGACCCATTCTTCCAAATATACTCTTTTGTCTTTATCTTTTACTCCTGCATTTGCCCCCTTTGTTTGATCCACCAGGGATCATGGCTGTCTACAAGTGGCACCCCAAACAGCAACACAATCAGGCGCACAACAAGTGGCGTCTGAACACAGGACTTCAAGGATGTGAGCGAAGAAGGTCTGCTGGAGCAGAGGAACTGAAATTGACAAGGCAAACACGGACCCCGGAACGAGTCTGCCAGCAGCAGATATAAGGTCAGTGCCCTAAAGAGGTACTGATCAGTGTCCTAAAGAGGTATTGGAAGCAGTGCTTTAAAGAAGTCCTGGACGGGAAGTTTTTGCAATCAGGGTAACATGGGGCAGAATTTGCCTATTGAAGAATAACATTATCTGCAGTTTCTCAAAGTTCTGTTGAGACAGTTTGGGGCTCAGGTTAGTTCTCAGACACTAACTAAGCTGCTGCAGGAGGTTATTTTGCATAACCTATGGTTTTCACAGGCAGGCACTCTTGATGTGGAAAACTGGGACAGAACAGCAGAAGGATTAAAATGGGCTCATCAAAAAGGTCTTAAAGTTGATTCTTCTGTTTTCTCCACTTGGAGTTTAGTTCGTACTATGCTTCTGCCATTATCTCCTTATTATTCTGCAGGACAGCAGGCTGAATCTAAAAATCTGAAAGAATCTGTTGTCCCACCCACAGCTCCAATTGAAAATAAGAAACAGGAGAGGGAGGATAAAAATTGGCCTATACCACCTCCTCCAGTTGCAGAAATGTCTGTACTGCCTCCTTCAGTGGCAGAAATAGAGACCCCAATACAAAGAATTTTATGCTCTGCTGCCATGGCTGGAGAGCCCTTAGGACCTTATGCTTTTCCTATTTCCATAAGGCCTGATCCAAATAATCCACAGCAGGTTATTCATGAACACACTCCACTAGAGTTTAAGTTGTTGAAGGAATTAAAAGCGAGTGTAGTAAATAATGGCATATGGAGCCCATTCACTTTAGGATTGCTAGAATCTGTGTTCAGTGCTATGTGTCTTTTACCCTTTGATGTGAAACACTTGGTGTGAACTTGCTTGTCCACTAGTGCATATCTGACATGGAATTTAAATTGGCAAGAAATGTGTGCAGAGCAGGCTAGACAGAATCGTGTTGCTGGACATGGAGATATTTATAAAGGATATGCTGTTATGTAATGGCCCTTATTCAGACCTGGAACGACAAATGACACTCCCAGAGGCTGCTTATCAGCAGTGTGCACAGGTTGCTAAATGCACCTGGGCCACAATTCCTGAAGAGGGAGTCCCAGCACAATCCTTCTTACATATCATGCAAGGGTCACAGGAGCCCTATGCGCAATTTCTTGCAAGATTACAAGAGGCAGTGAAGTGTCATATTCCTCACACTGCGGCTGCAGAAATGCTAACCTTAACTCTAGCTTTTGAGAATGCAAACGCGGATTGTAAACGTGCACTGGCACCAGTGAGGTGTACAAAAAACTTGGGAAATTTTCTCTGAGCTTGTCAGGATGTAGGAACTGAGCTTCATCCATCTGCAATGTTAGTGCAAGCAATGGCTAATTCAGCAGTTGACAAATCTAAAAGGAGCCAAGGGTCAAACTCTAAAATGGGAAAATGTTATAATTATGGAAAAACTGGACATTTTAAAAAGGAATGCCACCAGATCTCAGGACAGAAAGGACCTTACAATGCAGTGCCCCACTCAGCGGAAAAAAATGCCAGGACTTTGTCCTCGCTGTAACAAAGAAAATCACTGGGCTAATCAGTGCCACTCAAAATTTCATCAAAATAGCACCCCCGTCGGGAAACGAGACAGGGGCCTGGACCCAGGCCCCTCAAACAATGAGGGCATTCCCAGTCCAGACCTCAACCCCATTTCAGGGATGGGTTCCCAGAGGCACATTGATTCCCTCACCCCAGGAACACCAGGAAGTGCAGGATTAGACCTACCTGCCAGAGAAAGAATAACAGTAGTTGGTGGAGACAAACCTATCAAAGTTCCCACTGGTATTTGGCGACCTTTACCAACAGGATACACAGGATTAATTTTAGGCAAAAGCCATCTTAACTTACAGGGCATCACTGTAGTCCCGGGAGTGATTGACTCTGATTATGAAGGATAAATTCAAGTAGTTTTAATGTCGCAAGATCTTTGGGTTTTTGAACTGGGAGAATATATTGCTCAGCTATTGCTTATTCCCTGCAAATTACACCCTTCTCCACAAAAGGAGATGCAAGGAAACAAAGGGTTCGGGAGCACAACTGCATGGGAAATCTATCTATCCCAACCCATAGCCTCTAGTAGACCCACCTGTGTAATACAAGTTAAAGGAAAGAAATTTTATGGGCTTATGGATATAGGAGCTGATGTGTCAGTAGTATCTAAAGACAATTGGCCCCCATCCTGGCCCTTGCAATTAACTTCTATGTCCCTATTGGGAGTAGGAACAGCTCAAAGTGTTCAACAAATGCTGAGATTTTACCTTGTCTTGGTCCAGATGGACAGTCATGTACTTTTCAGCCTTATGTTGCAAATATAGCTGTCAATTTATGGGGTTGAGACTTACTTACAGCATGGGATATGAGGCTTATAAATGAAAACTTTGATAACCAGAATTTAAAATGTTGAAGGTCATGAGATATCAGAGTAGAAAAGGTTTAGGGAAATTTCTACAAGGAAACCCTAACCTGATATCAGTAACTGGAAAAACAGATAGAAAAGCATTAGGACGTCAGGATTTCTGATGGGGGTCATTGATATTTCTCCTCCGCCCCCTGCCTTATCATTAGAATGGCTTAGTGACAAACCTGTGTGGGTGGATCAATGGCCCCTAACACAGGAGAAGCTAGGTCAACTTCACCTGTTGGTAAAAGAGCAATTGAATGCAGGACATATAGAAACGTCAGTTAGCCCCTGGAATTCACCGGAATTTGTTATTCCAAAAAAGTCTGGAAACAATAATGACCTCTGGGGTTTCAGCTCAATGCTCAGAACTAATTGCAGTCATTCAGGTTTTACAGCTCACAGCTTCAGATCCTATCAACGTTGTCTGTGATTCAGCTTATGTTGTAAATGTAGCCAGTCACGTATAACAATTATATATTTTTATATATATATATATATATATATATATACACACACACACACACACACACACACACAATCACATATAGCAGCCTTTGGTAAGCTTAGCTATGTTCATGCAATTATAAACACTTATTCTCATATGCTGCATGCTACATGCCAAACAGGTGAGACAGCTGGTCATGTACAGTGACATTGTCTGTCATCATTTGCTCATATGGGGATACCTAAACAATTAAAAACTGACAATGGACCTGCTAATACTAGTCACACTTTTAAAAATTTCTTACAGCTTTGGGCTATAACCTATAAAACAGGAATTCCTTATGACCCTAAAGGACAAGGCATTATAGAGCAGGCACATCAAACATTACAATGCATATTGAAAAGACAAAAAAGGGATATAGGAGGCCAACTACCACCTCAATCAAAACTACATTTAGCCTTATTTACCTTAAATTTTTTGACTCCTGGTATGAATGGTAAGACTCCAGAAGAAAGACATTGGCAATTGTTAGATGAAAAGAGGAAAGTTTATCTGAAAGTGTTATAGAAATCCCCGGAAGAAGGACAATGGAAAGGTCTGGTGTATTTACTAATATGGGGACGAGGGTATGCTTGTGTTTTTACAGGAGATGGATAAGCCGTGTGGGTGCCCTCAAGGTGTGTGCGACCATGGAACGGGAGACTTGAGGAGCCCAGGGTGGCCAACCATGGGCCCGGTCCCTCCGGTACGAGCCGTGAGCCAGCTGAGCCTGAGTGCAAAGACAGAGAGAAGTCCGACCAGAGCCCAATGACATCAACCCCCATAAGCTGGGGACAACTCAAGAAAACCATGCAGGAAGCTGAGAAACTACTGTAGCATCAGGGACAGGCCAGAACCCCTGATTCCATGTTCTTGGCCATGTTAGCCATAATGTCCAATGTGATATGTTTTCCCTGTGCAGAGGCAAAAACATATTGGGCATATGTTCCCAATCCCCCAGTAGTATGACCTATTCTTTGGAGTGACACTCCTCCTGAGCTTTATCATGATCAGGGAGAGTGGGCTCCAGGACTCCTGACTCCCCCTGACATAGAACAGTTAGACTCTCAGAATAATGTCATTAATTATACTGCTCCACTGGAAGGACTTCCTTTGTGTATCACCACAAAGACATCGCTCAGCCATAGCTGTCTTAAATTCAAGCTCAAACATGGTTGAGTCACTATGAAAAAGTCATGCACCTGTTAAGTCTTGGTTCTATTAACGTAACTGGTGTGCTAACCAACCATTCCTGGCCCAATCACCCTAATTGTGCTGATTATACGGAATGGGTTCCATTCAGTATTTCCTACCCCCATCTATGGACCCAGTGTCTTGGTCCACTGGCTAGAAAACAATCTATGTTAACTGGAGACATTGTGGATTGGGGACCTAAAGATCAATTAGATGGAAAAGATGAAAATCAGAAATCATGGCACAAACTTCGCTGGCATTGGTGGCAAGCTTTTAATGCTTCTTCTTTATACAATACTGGGATCCAATCCCAGTCTGCTACCCAGATTGCTTGGCACGGAGCAAGCTTTAGCCCGCCTCTTCCTCAGTGGCATTATCTAGGGAGGAAAGGACCAATTAAAGAGATGATGTGGAAGGCAGCACTCCCATTTACGAATCGCAGCATCTGGATTAGGATACTATCCAATAATAGCAATAGTAAGCAATGCAGTCTAATGTTACATTTGTAAAGATATCACCACTCAATTTACAGTTTGTGTGTTTAATCCTTATGTCTTTTTGGCAGCTAAGAAGGACCAGTTCCAGGTAAACAATACCGAATTAACCTGTAAATCTTGCCAGTTATATAACTGCATTCATCATAGCACATGGCAAACACATAATCTCTCTACTTTGATGATTTTAGGTTGCATCCCTGGGTGATGGATTCCTGTTAATCTGTCTGAGCCTTGGGCTGCCACACCTGCCTGGCATTTTGTGAAACTTCTTCTAACTCAGCTTACTCATTGTGTCTGTAGAGCCTTAGGCATGATAATTTTTGCTATCGTTTCCTTGGTCACACTAATAACTTTTGTCGTGATGTCTTCTGTAGCTTTGCATAATTCTATTCAAACAGCTCAGTACGTGGAGAACTGGACGCACACAGCCAAACAAGTGTGGCTACTTCAGAATAAAATTAACACTGAGTTATAAGCTTAAGTGGCAATGTTAAAATCCATGGTTCTATGGTTAGGAGAACAAGTACAAAACTTGCAGTTGCAACAGCAATTGCGTTATCATTTTAATAACACTCATATTTGTGTAAACAACTTAGAATATAACCAAAGTGAGTATCCGTGGGACCTTGCGAAAGCCCATTTGCAGGGAGCGTTCACATCCAACATCACCTTTGATATTGGTGAATTACAAAACAAAATTCTTGATTTAAATAGGCAAACTCAAGAATTTCAGCCTTCTTTAGAAGACTGGACTGAATTCCAGCAAGGCCTGGAGAGCCTCAACCCTTGGACCTATCTAAGGCACCACATTACCATCTTATATGCAGTTCTTGGAATAATGTGGTTTTGTCTCTGTCTTCTGTTCATAGTCTGTAAAATTGGATGGACCGCCAATTGGAAAATGAGAGCTGCCCAGCCTGGCCTTACATTCTTTCAATTAATACATAAACAGAAAAGGGGAGATGTTGGGTGCTGAAAAGGCCAAAGGGATTGTGACCAACTCAGCATTCCACTGGAGGCTATGTGATCAAACAGCAAACTGTTTATCATGAATGCAGGATGTGAGCAAACTCACGACTGCGCCTGCCGCCAGGAGGCTTGCTGAGGGTCATCATTCCGTGGCACCGGGCTCCTTAAAGTTATCTACTGGTAAATCTAGCACCTATTGTTCAAAGGATGCAGTCTTGCAAGCTTGCTGTGAATCAAACTGCCGGCTGACAACCATCCCCCCTTCTTGTTATCTCTTTTACCAATAAATACGGAGGGCTGTGTAAAGCTTGGGGCCCTTGTCCACTAGAGGCAAGATGCCCCCTGACCCATTCTTCCAAATATACTCTTATGTCCTTGTCTTTTATTCCCATGTTAGCCCCCTTTGTTCAGTCCAACAGGGATCGTGGCAGGCTACACTGTCCTGTGAGGCTGTGAACAGGATGGGAGAGGGGAAGAAGATATGAGCTTGGAGGTGGAGGTCAAAGGACTGAGCACTCTGGTATCACTGGCTTTGAAAGTCTGAGAATTGCCAGGCATGGTGACTCATGCCTGTAATCCCAGCACTTTGGGAGGCCGAGGCAGGTGGATCACCCGAGGTCAGGAGTTTGAGACCAGCGTGACCAACATGGTGAAACCCTGTCTCCACTAAAAAATACAAAATTAGCCAGGCATGGTGGTGCATGCCTGTAAACTCAGCTACTTGGGAGGCTGAGGCAGGAGAATTGCTTGAACCTGGGAGGAAGTGAGCCAAGATCACGACATTGCACTCCAGCCTGGGCGACAAGAGCAAGAAAAGAAAAAGTCTGAGAATCTTTGGCACCTCTTTAATTTCTCTCTCTCTTTCTCCCTTCCATACCTCCTTCCTTCCTTGCTTCATTCATTTATTTATTTCTGTTTTAGAACCAGGGAAGCCCTTGGATACCATTTGAGAAAACACTAGGAAAGACCACTGGGCCAGATCTAGGTGTTGTCCCGGTTCCAACACTAACTGGGAAGTGATCTGGTGGGGCTGGAAGACATGCGGAAGAAAAGTCAGGGCCATGCATGGGCCATGGAGTCCAGCAGAGCAGGGATCAACCCCTGGTTCCAGGACTTGTAACTCTCTGGATCTGTTTCCCTATCTCTATAAAGGGGGTGCTATTCATCTCATAGGGTCCTTGTAAGGCTTCCATGAGGAAAGCTCTTTATGCTGCTCCTGATACACAGTAAGTATTTTGTACTCTTACTATTATTATTAAGAATTACTTTGGCCTGGTGCAGTGGCTCACACCTGTAATCCCAGCATGTTGGGAGGCCGAGGTGGGCGGGTCAGGAGGTCAGCAGTTCAAGACCAGCCTGGCCAAGATGGTGAAGTCCCACCTTTACTAAAAAAAAATACAAAAATTAGCTGGGCATGATGGTGGGTGCCTGTAACCCCAGCTACTCGGGAGCCTGATGCAGGAGAATCGTTTGAACCCGGGAGGCAGAGGTTGCAGTGAGCCAAGATCGTGCCATTGCACTCTAGCCCGGGCAACAGGGTGAGACTCCATTACCCCCGACCCCCACAAAAAAAAAAAAAAGAATTGCTTTGGCCAGATCAGGTCACCTCTGTGAACTTCTTTGTCATCCAAAGAATCTGGTTCTTGATGCATAATTTAAAATACATACCTTTAAACATTTATCCTAATAAGCTAAAATACATGCCTTTAAACATTTATCCTAATTTCCTGTGTCTGCTTTCCTTCTTCCTCCAAGACTTCTCCTCTTTTCTATTTGCTTTGCTTTTTGAACATGTTTCAGACAAATAAGTCAGTGGAGATGAGGTCGTTAATTTACTGGAGCCAGACATGTCTCAGCCTTCCCCTAGGAAGAGGGAGGGAAGGGAAGGTGCTTAGTTCATACCAAGAAAGCATTGGATGAAGTCCTCTTAAAACATGCCCTGCTTCCCCTGGGGCTGTTTTGAGATTCATATATGATGACAAAATTCTTCAAATCCCTTTGACAGTGAAAGCCTGGGCCCAGGGCTAGTGGTGTTTTTGTGTTTTGTGTATTTCAAAACAGAAGTGGAAGAAATAGCTCATTCTAACACCCTGTTGGAGGTGTTGCTGGGACTAGAACCTGGGCCCTGAGCCCCAGCCTGGGGTAAAGTATGTCTGGCTACATGCCTAACTGCATCACATGTCTTAAAACTCCTTCACTTAAAGGCAGTTTAAACTATTGTCTGGAAACAGGAGACCCTGCCACCATCCACGTCAGCATGGAGGGAAACACATCTGCTAATCCAAGGGTGGCTGGTCGGGCTCGTTGGAGGCTGGGGGCCAAAGTGGGCAAGGGAGATGGTGAAAGTCTGGATTCTGCAAGTAACAGAGCAGAGGGGACCAGCTTGAGATATTGTATTCCTTTATCTTTTGTTACATGTAATTTTCTGTTTTGGAAACATTCAGACTCATACACAAGGAGAGAGAATTGTATAATGAACCTCCATGCCCCAAGCACCCATTGTCTTCAGTTATTAACATTTAGTATTTGGGAAGTTGTAAGAGGTGAGATTGAGAAAGTTCGGTGATGGATGAGATAGTGGGGAGCAGGGAAGGAGGACAGGGAAGGGAGCATGAAAGAGAAAGAATAATCTGAGGTGGCCCTGCTCTGTGGCTTGGATCCGGTAAAAAGGAAGCAGCCCAGCCGGTCTGGAGAATGGCGATGAGCTGGGTGAGCAGAGGCTCTCTGGAGTGTGGGAGCTGTGCTGTTGGCACCCTCCACCCTTCCATTCTTTACACTGATATTTACTAATTGAATAAGCAAATAACTCTGGGTAGTGGGACCTCCAAGGGTTCTCAGAGCCTCCTGCGGCACTGGCCAGGCCTGAGGACTAAGCTAGGGGAGCTGGCTGCTCATCCAAAGTCCCCTTTTGGTTGGCTTTGCCCTTTGAGGATCTCTGAAAATAAAAAATAACCACCTAGCCCTTTTCCCAAAAAATGAGAAATTTAGCTTATGTACAGGAGGATACAAGTGAGTGTTCTGGAAAGAGACCTGGGCAAAGTAACATTGAGGGTGCCGGGTCAGCCTTGTGGGGTGCTCCCTGGCCTCTGCCCTGGGGACCCCTTTGCTGGGCACAGGAGTAAAGCACCACTTTCCAGTCACCCACATTATCTCCCCACTGTGCATTTCTAGGACTATGTTCGGGGTGCACAGTGTAGGAAATGGGAGGTGTTCCAGCAAGCCGGGGACTCTGAGGCAGGTTATGTTGACCCAGCTAAGGAGGGACTGGGATGAGGAGCCAGCCTTTTCTGCCCATTCTGGACAAGGAACTGCCTGTCTTAGTGGTGCATGGTGACACTACTGTTCTCCTCGGATACAGGGAGTTTCTTGCTTCTCTTGTACTATTTGTAACCAGGGATGTTACAATCCTGGTTGGCTGATCTTAATAATTCCAAAGCAGGCCAGGTGCGGTGGTTCATGCCTGTAACCCCAGCACTTTGGGAGGCCAAGGCGGGTGGATCACCTGACGTCAGGAATTCAAGACCAGCCTGGCCAACATGGTGAAACCCCATCTCTACTAAAAACACAAAAAATTAACCAGGCATTGTGGCAGACGCCTGTAATCTCAGCAACTCGGGAGGCTGAGGCAGAGAATTGCTTCAACCTGGGAGGCAAAGGTTGCAGTGAGCCAGGATCACACCCCTGCACTCCAGCCTGGGTGACAAGAGTAAGACTCCGTGCCAAAAAAAAAAAAAAAAAGTAATTCCAAAGCAGCTCTTCCTTATCTTCCTTATCGCTATCTAGTGCAATTATAGACAACACCAAAGGTGCTCTTTGAACCTGTTTTTTTTGTTGTTGTTGTTGTTTGATATGGAGTCTTGCCTGTCACCCAGGCTGGAGTTGAGTGGCGTGATCTCAGCTCACTGCAACCTCTGCCTCCCAGGTTCAAGCGATTCTCCTGCTTCAGCCTCCTGAGTAGCTGGGACTACAGGTGCATGCCACCAGGCCTAGCTAATTTTTTTATATGTGTAGTAGAGATGGGGTTTCACCATGTCAGCCAGGATGGTCTCAATCTCCTGCCCTCATGATCCACCTGCCTCGGCCTCCCAAAGTGCTGGGATTACAGGTGTGAGCCAGTTTTATAGGCGTGAGCCAGTTTTACAGGTATGAGCCAGTTTTCATCTGCTTTGGGTGTAAATAACTCTGAGTCACTTAATGTGATTCAATTACCAAGAAGCCCTTTGGCATTCTGGCATTCTATTGTATTCTTTCCTTTGCCTTCTAGCCAACAAAACCAAACAAATTGTTCTTGTCAATTAAACTTCTACCAGCCTTCTAGATCCACCTCTGTGATTATGAAAGAAGCCCGTTTTCACAGTAATCTGATCAATTCCTACCCAGAGTCTGTGCTGCTTTGAGAACTGCTCACCTTGTTGATTGGCATTGAGAACTAAGCTCTGATTTTTTATCTTGCCCAGATTCCTATCTAAGGAGTCTGGGGAGTCATGCCCTACAAACCATAAGTTCTCATCAGTTGGGTTTTGTTTGACCCTGCATATCATGACTTACTTTCCAATCTGACTCTGGCATAACAAGAAAGAAAATCAAAATGTTTTGCCCCAAAATCTATTTCCTTGCCATACCTTGAAATTGCTCTCCAAAGTCTCTTGTGGGAAAAATCCACATTCTATACAGAATCCCCTTTCCCCTTTGTTTTCCTTCCTTTCTTCCCACATCCAGGAGATAATCAACTAAGAGCCAGGCACTAAAAAATACAAAGCCAAAATTTAAAGTCCGCTAAAAAACAATTTACAAACTGCTCTCTCTGAAGTCCGCTTTATAAGAGCTTCCTCTGAACGATAAAACTTGGTCTCTACAATCCTTTATCATTAACCTGAACATTCGTTTCTATGGATCTCACGTCTTTAGACAAACTCAACCAATTGTCAACCAGAAAATGTTTAAATTTACCTATAGCCTGGAAGCCCTCCGCTTTGAGTTGTCCTCCCTTTCTAAACCAAACCAATGTATTTCTTAAAAGTACTTGATTGATGTCTCATGCCTCCCTAAAATGTATAAAACCAAGCTGTATCCCGACCACCTTGGGTACTGTCAGGCCTCTGAGCCCAAGCTAAGCCATCATAACCCCTGTGACCTGCCCGTATACATCCAGATGGCCTGGAGCAACTGAAGAACCACAAAAGATGCCATTCCACCCTTGTGATTTGTTCCTGCCCCACCCCAACTAATCAATCAACCTTGTGACATTCCTCCCCTGGACAATGAGTCTCATGAGCTCCCCACCCTGCCCCCTGTGACCCCCACTCCTGCCTGCAAGAGAACAACCCCCTTTAACTGTAATTTTCCACCTACCTACCCGAATCCTATAAAACTGCCCCACCCCATCTCCCTTTGCTGACTCTTTTCTGACTCAGCCCACTTGCACCCAAGCGAAATAAAAAGTTTTATTGCTCACGCAAAGCCTGTTAGGAGGTCTCTTCACATGGAAGCGCGTGACAGGCACATGTTCTCAGGGTCTCCTGGGGGCTGCGTCATGGGCCATGGTCATTCGTGTTTGGCTCAGAATAAATCTCTTAAAATATTTTACAGAGTTTGGGCCAGGCGCGGTGGCTCATGCCTGTCATTCCAGCACTTTGAGAGACTGAGGCGGGTGGATCATCTGAGGTCGGGAGCTCGAGACCAGCCTGACCAACACTGTGAAACCCCGTCTCTACTAAAAATACAAAAATTAGCCGGGCGTGGTGGTGTGCACCTGTAATCCCAGCTACTCGGGAGCCTGAGGCAGGAGAATCGCTTGAACCCAGGAGGCAGAGGTTGCAGTGAGCCGAGATCGCACCGCTGCCTCCAGCCTGGGCGACAGAGAGAGACTCCGTCTCAAAAAAAAAACAAAAAACACTTCAATGTCATTTGTTTCAAATCTCCCCTCAAGGCTGCCCAGAAAGCTAAGCGAGGGAGATGGGGAGGTGAGCAAGGAGGGTGGTTTACTTTCTCACACTCTCTTGCTCTGTGCTTATTCTTTCGGTGTTGAGTTTGGGACAAGGACGAGGAAATCCGATGGGACTGCCCATGGTGAGTTGTTTATTCTTTGTTCTTTGTAGTGGCCTCTCCTCTTTGGACGTGGCTGCTTCTCTGCCCAACACCGTGTGCACTCTCTTTAGAGGGCCAGTGTCCAAATACTGCCTTTCCCAGAGGGACACAGGTCTCAATGCTTCAGCCTCTTCCCCCCAACCCCCACACCTCCCCAAATTGGACTCAATGCTTCTCAGAATCCCTGGGCTGAAGAACCAGGCTATTTTTCTTCACTGCCAGGGCTCAGAGACCAATACTTCCGTATAGTACATTAGAAATTACTGGGAAGTTGAAAATTTTTTTAAAGACTTACAAAATACAGGTCCCATTCTCATGATTACATTCAACAGTGTGAACCCCGAATATCTGAGACAGGTCTCAGTCAATTTAGAGACTTTATTTTCCCAAGGTTAAGGACATGCCTGTGACACAGCCTCAGGAAGTCCTGAGGCATGTGCCCAAGGTCATCAGGGGTACAGTTTGCTTTCATACATTTTAGAGAGACATGAAACATCAATCAATACATGTAAGATGTACATTGATTCGGTCCAGCAAGGCGGGACAACTGGAAGTGGGGGCTTCCAGGTTAGAAGTGGATAAGAGACAGAAGGTTGCATTCTTTTGAGTCCTTGATCAGCCTTCCACTGAAGGCTGTCTCAGTGAATCTTCATTTTTACATAAATGGTAGGGCAGATAGGCGCGGTGGCTCACACCTGTAATCCCAGCCCTTTGGGAGGCCGAGGCGGGTGGATCACCTGGGGTCAGGAGTTTGAGACCAGCCTAACCAACATGGAGAAACCCCGTCTCAACTGAAAATACAAAATTAGCCAGGCGTGGCAGTGCATGCCTGTAATCCCAGCTACTCGGGAGGCTGAGGCAGGAGAATCGCTTGAACCCAGGAGGTGGAGGTTGCGGTGAGCCGAGACCAGGCCATTGCACTCCAGCCTGGGTAAGAAGAGTGAAACTCCATCGCAAAAATAAATAAATAAATAAATAAATAAATAAATAAATAAATAAATAGGGCAGGGGAAGCAATCAGATATGCATTTGTCTTAGGTGAGCCTCAGGGGGA
This sequence comes from Homo sapiens, assembly GCF_000001405.40. NCBI lineage: Eukaryota > Metazoa > Chordata > Mammalia > Primates > Hominidae > Homo > Homo sapiens. Next base: position 62,043,074 of record NC_000011.10, on the reverse strand, counting down.
TAACTTTGAATAGAACAGGAAGCAGGTTTGGCCTAAGCAGTTCCCAGCTTGATTTTTCCCTTTAGCTTGGTGATTTTGGAGTCCCAAGATTTATTTTCCTTTCACAACAGACAGAAAATTGTGCTGTCCAATTGCTACAAAACTTTCTAAAGAATTTCTCTTAACTTCTCTACTTACTTCTTCTCAGACTGGTAACCAACAGTTCATGGACCAGGTCCTGTCCCAGGGACACAGTGTGTGTAGTACTAGTTTAGCCTACCTTGAAATAATCTGCTGTATTTTTAATAAAACATATCCTTTATTATAATATTATAAATAACTTGTTTACAATTGTAAAAAACAGTATTTATCCTTTTCCAATCCACTCCTCTGCCCCCTCCTCCAACAGTCAGTTCTACTTCCCTCCTCTTCTTCTCCCTTTATTCCAAACTAACTGGATGTCTTGACCTTTTTTGATGAGTTAATTTGTATTGCAGCTTCTCAGAGAACAGGTGGGAGTGGAGCCAAGGTATCTTGGGGCAGAGGCGGTTGTAACAACTGCTAACAGTTTATGGTAGTTAACGTTGCAGGAGGAGCGATAAGAGAGGCTCACTCTTAGTTAAGCAACAGCAAGGTGTGTTCCAGCTGGCATTATAGGGCGGCCCCAGCCCTGGGCACCTCCAGCTCACTCCCCGTGGCACAGCGTGTGTGCCACTATTACTGCAACCACTCTAACTCACCCCACCTGCCTTTACTCTTTCGAGGATGTCACGTGCCCCATGGATTCCAGTTTGGTCTCACACACTCCAGTGATCTGTATCTTTTCTGGTGACCCAGTCTGCAGGTGCATCCACGCGGCCCTGTTTCCTAATCACCACAGTCAGAACCGTCTCTGCCCTGCCAGTCTCCCAGGTGGCTGCCAGATAACAGATTCAGTTCCACATTCTTTCCTTCAAGGCCCACTCAATTGCCTGTGGTCAGCTGAACTGCAAAGATAAGACTCAAAGATACAGTTGTCTAAAGTTCAGTGGGAAAACAGTCATGGCTGGGCACAGTGGCTCACGCCTGTAATCCCAGCACTTTTGGGAGGCTGAGGTGGGTGGATCACCTGAGGTCAGGAGCTCGAGACCAGCCTGGCCAACATGGGGAAACCCCGTCTCTACTAAAAATACAAAAATTAGCCAGGCGTGGTGGTGGGTGCCTGTAATCTCAGCTACCTGGGAGGCTGAGGCACAAGAATTTCTTGAACCCAGGAGGCAGAGGTTGCAGTGAGCCAAGATCACACCACTGTACTCCAGCCTGGGCAACAGAGCAAGACTTGTCTAAAATAAAATAAAAGATATTTCCCTTTTAAAAAAAACCCAGATTTGAGGCATGTGTCATATTTTATCCTCAAGACATGTGAAGCAGGGTCACCTAATTGTCTACAGAGAAAGTGTCTGGGGGCTTAGGAGTGGGGTCAGCCAGGGCAGGATATTTGAACTATGTTCACTGTGTAAGGGGAGAGAGGACTGCAGAAATGGGATAGGACTGCAGGATGTGCAAGGGGATAAGGGCGGGGATGGCTCAGAGACTTGCTCAGGTGCAGGGTGGCTGTAGCTGTGGATGTCCCCATCATGAGACTCCTTCAGGAGCTTTCTGCCTGCCTTTCTACCTCCCCTCTTGTCCCCCTAAGATCCATTATCAGAAGCCAAAGTGATCCTTTTGTTTTATTTTATTTTATTATTATTTTTGAGACAGAGTCTCGCTCCGTCACCCAGGCTGGAGTGCGATGGCACAATCTCGGCTCACTGCAACCTTCTCCTCCCAGGTTCAAGCAATTCTCCTGCCTCAGCCTCCCAAGTAGCTGGGATTACAGGTGCCTGCCACCATGCCCAGCTAATTTTATTTATTTATTATTATTATTATTATTATTATTATTTGTATTTGTATTTTTAGTAGAGACGGGGTTTCGCCATGTTGGCCAGCCTATTCTCGAACTCCTGACCTCAGATGATCCACCTACCTCAGCCTAGCAAACTGCTGGGATTACAGGAGTGAGCCACCACACCCGGCCCAAAGTGATCCTTTTAAAACATAGCTCATTTGTCACCATCCTGCTCCACCTCCTAAACTGGTTTTCTATTACAAGTGGAATAAAATCCAAGCTCCCCACCTAGCCTCAATGCCCATTGTGACCCACCTCTGACCTGTCTGGTACCACCCTCCCTGACCCACTCTGATGGGCACCTGCTGGACAGCAGTGCCATTCACTACCATCTGGAATGAAGGGGGAAGACATTGCAGAGGGCTCAGATCCCATAGCAACCACCGGAATGTCATTTTCCCCAGGAAGCTGGTACCCACAGATTCATTTGCTTGAGAAGATGAAATTTCCATTTTCCATATGCTGAATTTAAGATGGGCACCATCCAGTGAGGCAAAAGACGTGCAAACCGTTGCACTCCTGGAGAAATGTTTCTCGCATGCACCGAATAGCAGAAAGCAGAGGTCAGCAAACTGCAGCCCGTGGGCCAAAGCCAACCCCAACAACCTGTTTTTGTACAGCCTGCAAGCTAAGAACAATGTTTACATTTTTAAATAGTTTTTACATTTTTCATTTATTTATTTATTTATTTATTTTATTTTATTTTTTTGGAACGAAATTTCGCTCTTGTTGCCCAGGCTGGAGCGCAATGGCACGATCTCGGCTCACTGCAACCTCTGTCTGCCTCCCAGGTTCGAGCGATTCTCCTGCCTCAGCCTCCTGAGTAGCTGGGATTACAGGCGCCCGCCATCACGCCCAGCTAATTTTTGTATTTTTAGTAGAGACGGGGTTTCACCATGTTGACCAGGCTGGTCTTGAACTTCTGACCTCAGGTGATCCACCCGCCTCAGCCTCCCAAAGTGCTGGGATTACAGGCGTGAGCCACCACACCTGGCCACATTTTTCTTTTTAAAAAAAGAAAGAAAGAATGTAGGCTGGGAGTGGTGGCTCATGCCTGTAATCTGAGGCTGAGGTAAGAGGATCACTTGAGCCCAGGAGTTTGAGACCAGCCTGGGTAAATTGTGAGACCTCATCTCTATTTTAAAAAAAGAAGAAGAATGTATATGCAACAGAAACCAGCTGTACCCACGAAGCCTAAGATGTTTATTATCTGTGCTTTACAGAATAAGTTTGCTAGACCTGATATATAGGAATACTTACACAGGACTGTAATACTTACACTGTGTCTGCTGGGCACAGTGGCTCACACCTGTAATCCCAGCACTTTGGGAGGCCGGGGCAGGTGGATCACCTGAGGTCAGGAATTCAAGACCAGCCTGGCCAACATGGTGAAACCCCGTCTCTACTAAAGATACAAAAATTAGCCAGGCATGGTGGCAGGCACCTGTAATCCCAGCTACTTGGGAGGCCGAGGCAGGAGAATTGCTTGAACCCGGGAAGCAGAGGTTGCAGTGAACCGAGATTGTGCCATGCACTCCAGCCTGGGGGACAAGAGCAAGACTTCGTCTCAAAAAAAAAAAAAACCAAAACCTGGAAACATCTGAATATCCATTATCAGTAGAATAAATGAATGTAAAAATAAGTTCATTTAATGGATATTATGCAGTGAAGGCAATGAACAAACTGTAGCTACATGTAACACTTGGATGAGTCTCATAAACAATACTGAGCAAAAAATACAGGACACAAAAAAATACAAACAATAAGATTACATTCAAACAAGTTAAAAACAATCAAAAGGGAAGTCCTAGCTAGAGCAATCAGATAAGAGAAAGAAATAAAGAGCATTCAAATTGAATAGGAAAAAGTCAAATTATCCTTGTTTGCAGATGATATGATCTTATATTTGGAAAAACCTAAAGACTCCACCAAAAAACTGTTACAACTGATAAATTCAGTAAAGTTGCAGAATACAAAATCAACATACAAAAATTAGTAACATTTCTATATGCCAACAGTGAACAATCTGAAAAAGAAATCAAAAAATTAATACCATTTACAATAGCTACAAATAAAATTAAATACCTAGGAATTAACTTAACCAAAGAAGTGAAAGATCTCTACAATGAAAACTATAAAACATTGATGAAAAAATGAAGAGGACATGAAAAAATGGAAAGATATTCCATGTTCATGGATTAGAAAAATCAATATTGTTAAAATGTCCATACTACCCAAAGCTATCTACAGATTCAAGGCAATCTATCAAAATACCAAGACATTCTTCATAGAAATAGAAAAAATCTATTCTAAAATGTATATGGAACCATAAAAGACCTGGAATAGCCAAAGCTATCCTGAGCAAAATGAATAAAACTGGAGGAATCACATTACCTAACTTCAAATTATACTACAGAGCTATAGAAACCAAAACAGCATAGTACTGGCATAAAAATAGACACATAGGCCAATGGAACAGAATAGAGAACCCGGAAACAAATCCACGCATCTACAGTGAACTCATTTTCAACAAAGATGCCAAGAACACACATTGAGGAAAGGACAGTCTCTCCAATAAATGGTGCTGGGGAAACTGGATATCCATAGGGAGAAGAATGACACTATCTCTCACCATGTACAAAAATGAAATCAAAATGGATTAAAGACTTAAATCTGGGCTGGGTGCGGTGGCTCATGCCTGTAATCCCAGCACTTTGGGAGGCCAAGGCAGGCAGATCACCTGAGGCCAGGAGTTCAAGACCATCCTGGCCAACATGGTGAAACCCTGTTTCTACTAAAATTACAAAAATTAGCTGGGCGTGGTGGTGATTGCCTGTAATCCCAGCTACTCAGGAGGCTGAAGCAAGAGAATCGCTTGAACCCAGGAGGCAGAAGTTACAGTGAGCTGAGATCAGGCCACTGTACTTCAGCCTGGGCAACAGACTGAGACTCTGTCTCAAAAAAAAAAAAAAGAGAGAGACTTAAATCTAAGACTTCCAACTATGAAACCATTGCAAGAAAACATCAGGGAAAATATTCAGGACATTGAAATGGGCAAAAATTTCTTGACCAACACCCCATAAGCATAGGCAACCAAAACAAAAATGGACAAATGGGATCACATCAAGTTAAAACGCTTCTGCACAGCAAAGGAAACAATCCATAATGTGAAGAGACAACCCACAGAATGGGAGAAAATATTTGCAAACATCTTACAAAGGACTAATAACCAGACTGTATAAGAGTTCAAGGCCAGGCACGGTGGCTCGTGCCTATAATCTCAGCACTTTGGGAAGCCAAGGTGGGTGGATTATGAGGTCAGGAGTTCAAGTCCAGCCTGGCCAAGATGGGGAAACCCCGTCTCTACTAAAAACTACAAAAAAAATTAGCCAGGCATGGTGGCAGGTGCCTGTAATCCCAGCTACTTGGGAGGCTGAGGCAGGAGAATGGCTTGAACCTGGGCAGCAGAGGTTGCAGTGAGCCGAGATCGCACTGCTGCACTCCAGCCTGAGTGACAGAGTGAGACTTCGTTGCAAAAAAAAAAAAAAAAAAAAAAAAAAAAGAATTCAAACAACGATATAGGAAAAAATCTTCTAAAAATGGGCAAAAGAGGTGAATAGACATTCCTCAAAAGAAGACATAAAAGTGACAAACAGGTATATGAAAAGATGGTCAATATCATTGATCATCAGAGAAAAGCAAATCAAAACTACAATAAGAGATCATCTCACCCCAGTTAAAATGGCCAATATCCAAAGGACACACAATAACAAATGCTGGTGAGGATGTGGAGAAAAGGGAAGCCTCGTACACTATTGGTGGGAATGTAAATTAGTACAACCACTATGGAGAACAGTTTGGAGGTTCCTCAAGAAATTAAAAATAAAGCTACCATATAATCCAACAGTCCCACTGCTGGGTATATACCCAAAAGAAAGGAACTCAGTACATTGAAGAGATATCTGCACTTCTATGTTTATTACAGCATGATTTACAATAGCCAAGATTTGGAAGCTACTTAAGTTGCTATCAGCAGATGAATGAATAAAGAAAATACAGTACATATACACAAGGGAGTACTATTCAGCCATAAAAAAAGAAGGAGATCCTGTCATTTGCAACAACATGAATGGAGCTGGAGGCCATTATTTCATTAAGTGATATAAGCCAGGCACAGAAAGACAAACTTTGTATGTTCTCACTTTTTTTTTTTTTTTTTTTTTGAGACAGGGTCTCACTTTGTCACCCAGGTGGAGTGCAGTGGCGCAATCACAGTTCACTGCAGCCTCAGCCTCCTGTATTCAGGTGATCCTCCTGCCTCAGCCCCTCAAGAAGCTGGAACTACAGGTGTTTCCCACCACACCCGGCTAACTTTTTTGTATTTTTTGTAGAGATGGGGTTTCACCATGTTGCCCAGGCTGGTCTCCAACTCCTGGGCTCAAGTGATCTGCTGGCCTCAGCCTCCAAAAGGACAACAGGCGTGAGCCACCATCCCTGGCCATGTCCTCACTTATTTGTAGGAGCTAACAATTAAAACAAGCTCATGGCCAGAGGCTGGAAAGGGTAGTGGGGGATGGAAGGGAAATGGTTAATGGGCACAAAAAATAATTAGATAGAATGAATAAGATCTAGTATTTGATAGCACAATGGGGTAGCTACAGTCAATAATAATTTTTTTTTTTTTGAGATGGAGTCTTGCTCTGTCGCCCAGGCTGGAGTGCAGTGGCATGATCTTGGCTCACTGCAAGCTCCACCTCCCAGGTTCACACCATTCTCCTGCCTCAGCCTCCCGAGTAGCTGGGACTACAGGCGCCCACCACCACGCCCAGCTAATTTTTTCTTCTTTTTCTTTTTTTTTTTTTTAGTAGAGACGGGGTTTCACCGTGTTAGCTAGGATGGTCTCGATCTCCTGACCTCGTGATCTGCCCGCCTCGCCTCCCAAAGTGCTGGGATTACAAGCATGAGCCACCGCACCCGGCCAATAATAATTTATTGTACATTTAATAACAACTAAAATGGGATTGTTTGTAACACAGGAAAGCATAAATGCTTGAGGTGATGGATACCCCATTTACCTTGATGTGATTATTATGCATTGTATGCCTGTATCAAAATATATTCTGTACCCCATAAATATATACACTTACTATGTACCCACAAAAAGTAAAAATTGAAATTAAACAATGAAAAGCAAACTATCAAATTTAGAGATGCATATATGTACAATATGCTATAAAGAAAAGTAAAAAATTAGGCCAGTTGCGGGTGGCTGATGCCTGTAATCCCAGCACTTTGGGAGGCCGAGGCAGGTGGATCACCTGAGGCCAGGAGTTCTAGAGCAGCCTGGTCAACATGGTGAAAACCCGTCTCTACAAAAAAGAAAAAAAAAATTAGCTGGGCATGGTTGTGTGCACACCTGTGGTCCCAGCTACTTGGGAGGCTGAGGTAGGAGAATTGTTTGAACCAGGGAGGCGGAGATTGCAGTGAGCCAAGATTGTGCCACAGGGCTCCAGCCTGGATGACACAGCAAGACTCTGTTGAAAGAAAGAAAAGAAGGAAGGAAGAGAGGAAGGGAAGAAGGAGGGAAAGAGGGAGGGAGGGAGGGAAGGAATGAAAAGAAAGAGAGAAAGAGAGAGACAGAAAGAAAGAAGAAAGAAAAGAAGAAGGAAGGAAGGAGAAAGAAAGAGAGGAAGGAAGGAAAAAAGAAGGAGAGAGAAAGGAAGCAAGGAAGGAAGGAAATTTTGATTACCTCTATGGGTGAAGGAGGAGGTGGTGATCAGGAGGGGCACATGGAGGCTCCTGGGGCATTCAGCAATGATTAATTTCCTGACCTTGGTGGTGATGTGCACAACTAATCTTAATTTGTATATTGAGGTTTTATGCATTCAACTCTATGCAAGATTGTATTGTTTAGTTTTTGCTATAATAATGCTGTGTAACAAACCACCCGACATCCAGTGGCTTAAAACCACAGTTCTTTATTCTCACAGATTGGGGGGCCAGTGGCTCTGTTCAGTCTGCAGGAGTGGAAGCTGCAGTGTTTCTTTTTTTTTTTTTCCTTTCTTTCTTTCCTTTTTTCATTTTCTTTTCTTTTCCTTTTTTTTTTTTTTTTTTTTTGAGACAAGCTCTCGCTCTGTCACTCAGGTCAGAGTGCGGTAGCACTATCATGGCTCTGCATGGATCTGCAGCTTTGACTCAGCCCAGGCTTTAGCAATCCTCCTACCCCAGTCTCCCAGGGAGCTGGGGCTACAGGTGTGCACCATCATGCTTGGCAAATATATTTTATTTTTTGTAGCAATGAAGTCTCACTATGTTGCCCACGCTGATCTTGAACTCCTGGGGTCAAGGAATCCATCCACCTTAGTCCTCCAAAGCACTGGGATTACAGGCGTGAGCCACCACACTGGGCTTGCCCTGCCTCTTGCTTTATGTCTGTGGGTTGGTGAGGGCAGCTTGGCTTGGCTCCATGTGTGCTCATTCTGGGCCCAGATACGGGAGGCAGCAGCTTGCCAGGGGAAGCTCTTCTCACTGCCATGCCAGAGGTTCAGCTGTGGCACACTCCTACTTCCATCCCCTACCCTCATTACTGGCCAAAGGAAGTCACACGGCTAAGCCCCAAATCAAGGGGCTAGGTCTATACTCTGCCCACAGTAAAGCACTGGGATAGAGTTGGAGTCAATATTTCTCCTCACCAAAGCCTCAGTTAGGGGAGAAATTGAAGTGTTTTGGGCATCCAGTTAGGCAGGCAGCCCAGAAAGATCTGGAGCACAGAAAGACCTAGCATGTAGACCAAGTTCTTCTGCATTTAGGCAGCAACCAAAGCCCCACAAGTGACTGAGTTGTCTGGGGACAGTGTACCAGGATGAAGCAAAGAATATTGCCAATGTGAGCTGGGCTCAGGGAGATGCTCCAGTGCAGGAGATTTAGACAGGGACAGCCAGAGGGGCAAGAGGAGAGTGCTAGAGAAGGACAAAGTTTGAAAACTGACAAAGCAAACACTGCTGGTGGTGTCAAGTGCTCAGCCATGTGCTAGGCCTTTGCTCTTGAGGGATCGCCTTGGAGGAAGGAATTTGGACAGCTCAGTAGGGACCAAATCCCATTTTCAGTGGGTTGAGGCAATGGCAGGTGAAATGGAGCTCCTTGTTCAAGAAGTGTGGCTGCCAAGCAGTAGTTCTTGATCTTTTCTTTCACGTCATCCTGTGTAGATTGAGAACTCACACTGCCATCAGAAACAGGAGTGACTTTAACAGTTCCTCCAATCCTGTTTTAGGAAACACTGTTATAAAAAGGATAGAGAAGCAGAGGCCCAGGAAGGATACAGCACACAGACAGGGTATATTTCCTGTAAACAGAAGTCTGGATTTCTGCCCTACACAAAAGTGAGTTCACGGCCAATGCCCCTGCGGTATTTGTTGTCTGTGGTGGAAATGACTCGTAAACACCTCACAGTAATCCAAGGCAGGGCAACACAAGGCCTGAGAAGGCTTACCTGCTATTTGCTGTGACAGCATTGAGGAAGAAGAGATTAATTCTGACCAAAAGGATCAGGGTGGGGGCAGGGTTACAAAAGAGGAAGCATTTAGGGCGTGGCTGGGGCTAAAGAATAGATGGAGAAGACCTAAGTTGCAGCGGCACGCGGCATGTCCAGGAGTGCAAGAGTGTTGGGGAAGGAGGTGGCAGATGAGGCTGGAAAGGAAGTTAGGGGCTCTGGAATGGAGGACATCTCATGCCAAATGGATTCATGTTTGTACTCTGTCGGCAATAGGGAGCTACTGTGGGTTTTTGAGAAGGAGAGAGGCATGATCAAACTCACATTTTAGGATATATTCGGTAGCAATGTGAAAAACGATTTGGTTGTCAGACACTGGAGGGATTACTAAAGGAACAAACACCTGTCCTGTCTTCCTTATGTGACCCACTTTTGCCATGAGGAGTCACTCTGAAGCCTCTCTCGGCCAAGTTTGGTCAATTTCTTTTCTTTTCTTTTTTCTTTTTTTCTTTTTTTTTTTTTTTTGAGACGGAGTCTTACTCTGTCACCCAGGCTGGATGCAATGGCAACATCTCAGCTCACTGCAACCTCCAACTCCCGGGTTCAAGCAATTCTCCTGCCTCAGCCTCCTGAGTAGCTGGGATTACAGGCGCCCGCCACCAGGCCTGGCTAATTTTTTTGTATTTTTAGTAGAGACGGGGTTTCACCATGTTAGCTAGGCTGTTCTTGAACTCCCGACCTCATGATCAACCTGCCTCGGCTTCTCAAAGTGCTGGGATTACAGGAGTGAGCCACCACGCCCGGCCCAGTTTGGTAAATTTCTAAATGAAGACCCACAGGCCTGCCTAACTTTGGATAGGCCAAAGTTCTCAAAATTGGTGCTGATTTCAAACACTCTGTAGTATTACTGAAGCTGTCCTCAAAGGATTAACAAGAATCCTGGACAGAAATATGGTTATAATGAAGCACTAATCAGGCTGTACTTTCACTGACTTCCTTGGCAACCGTAAGTCACTAGATAATGATCACTGGCATCCCCATTGTTCCTGTTGATAGGATTTCTGATGTTAGAATCATATGGCTTTTTTGTTTGTTTGTTTGTTTGTTTGTTGAGACAGAGTTTTGCTCTTGTTGCCCAGGCTGGAGTGCAATGGCGCAGTCTCAGCTCACTGCAACCTCTGCCTCCTGGGTTGAAGCAATTCTTATGCCTCAGCCTCCCAAGTAGCTGGGATTACAGGTGCCCGCCACCACACTAGTTTTTTGTATTTTTAGTAGAGACAGTGTTTCACCATGTTGGCCAGGATGGTCTCGAACTCCTGACCTCAGGTGATCCAACCGCCTCGACCTCCCAAAGTGCTGGTATTACAGGCATGCCCGCTGACCAGTTTGAAGACTCCCACAGAAGAAAGGAATCAGCATGAGAATACAGTTTATCTTCCTGTCCCGTGACTTCACCCTGCACTCTTCGACAAACCAGCAATCTCCATACTTCAGCCCACTCCAAAGCTCTTAAAACACTAGCCCGAAATTTCTTGGGAAAATAAATTTGAGGTTTCCTCCTATCTCCTGGTTCGGTGCCTTACAATTAAACCTCTTTCTCTGCTGTAACCTGTTGTCTCTGCATACTGACTCGCCAGGCACAGTGGGCAACGGACCTATCAATATAGGAGTTAAGAAGAAATTACTTAGGCAGATAGCAAGGGCATGGGAGTCATCGGTAAGGCTTTTCTTTTTTCTTTTTCTTTTTTTTTTTTTTTGAGACAGAGTCTCGCTCTTTCGCCAGGCTGGAGTGCAGTGGCACAATGTCAGCTCACTGCAAACTCTGCCTCCCAGGTTCAAGCGATTCTCCTGCTTCAGCCTCCCAAGTAGCTGGGATGACAGGTGCGCACAACCACACCCAGCTAATTTTTGTATTTTTAGTAGAGACAGGGTTTCACCATTTTGGACAGGATGGTCTTGATCTCCTGACCTCATGATCCACCCACCTCAGCCTCCCAAAGTGCTGGGATTACAGGTGTGAGTCACCATGCCTGACCAAGGCTTTTCTTTTTAACGAAAAGCAGCCCCAAATCATATTCTAACAAAGAGCAGCCTGCAAGCTGGAAGCTTGCACAGATGAATGCTAGCAGGAATGAAACCACCTTTGCGAAATTATGACTGAGACAGTGAAAGAGATCCAACTTAAGTGATTCCATCTTGCTTCTAACCTCCAAGCTGTCTTTGTTCATTCCTGGGTGTAGGCTGAACTAACTTTGGGAGAAACCTATTTTGTAGTTTATAGTTTAAACAAAGATGGTAGCAGCCCTTTCCCAAAGCAGACTTCCTTCTTGCCTGGAAACTAGACTAACATTAGCCACGGGATTAGAAATTATGGTTTAGGAGTCACGCAGCTGGAGGCTACAAGATTCTGACCCTCTCTAAACTGCTCCTAAGATCAGTGCTTGAGATATTTTGCAGATCCTGCACTTGGGTTGGCTGGTGCCATCCCAGTGGATAAACTGGCTTGTCTGATCTTGTGGCCCCAACCCAGCAACTGACTCAGTGCAGGAAGACTGCTTTGGCTCCCTGTGATTTCATCCCTCACCAATCAGCAGTCCCGGCTCACTGGCTCCCCACAACCTTAAAAAGTCTGCTCCCCAGCCGGGCACGGTGGCTCATGCCTGTAATCCCAGCACTTTGGGAGGCTGAGGCGGGCGGATCACCTGAGGTCGGGAGTTCAAGACCAGCCTGACCAAAATGGAGAAACACCCCTCTCCACTAAAAATACAAAATTAGCTGGGCATGGTGGCACATGCCTGTAATCCTAGCTACTTGGGAGGCTGAGGCAGGAGAATCGCTTGAACCCGGGAGGCGGAGGTTGTGGTGAGCCGAGATCATGCCATTGCACTCCAGCCTGGGCAACAAGAGCAAAACCCCATCTCAAAAAAAAAAAAAAAAAAAAAGTCTGCTCCCCAAGGCCGCGTGCAGTGGTGAACTCCTGATCTCAAGTGATCTGCCCACCTCAGTCTCCCAGAGTGCTGGAATTATAGGCATGAACCACTACGCCCAACGGTTGGCTCTATTGTTGGTTTGCCTGTTGAGACAGGGTCTTGCTCTGTCATCCAGCATGGAGTGCAGTGCTGTGATCACTGCTCACTGCAGCCTCAGCCTCCTGGGGCTCAAGCTATCCTCCCACCTTGGCCTCCCAAGTAGCTGGGACTACAGGCACACGCCACCATGTCCTGCTAACTTTTTGTATTTTTTCTAGGGAAGGGGTTTTACTCTGTTGCCCAGGCTGGTCTCCAGCTCCAGAGCTCAAGTGATCCGCCTGCCTCAGCCTCTAAAAGTACTGCTGGGACTACATACATGAGCCATCGTGCCGGCCACTTGATTGGTTCTTCTGGTTACCAGTCCCATTCTCCAAGAGTCACCTCATTAGCATGAACTCAAGTATGGTGAAAAGGGGCTCATTACGAATAACAAAAGCTGCTCCTCTCCTCTTATCACTCAGGAAATTCTAAAGGTTTTAGAAGCTCTGTGCCAGGAACTGGGAGGAACACCAAATATATGTTTCTTGTTATATGACAATAGCACAGTTTGTCTCGGTGACCCCATTATATAATCATTATTAACCCCATTATATAACCATTATGTAACCCCACTATGTAACCGTCAAGATGATACAGCATCACTGTTACTTGGGGGCCCATTCAAACTACATGTCCCAGCTTGACTTTTTTTTTTTTTTATAACCAAGAAGTTTTTGTTTGTTTGTTTGTTTGTTTGTTTGTTTTGAGACGAAGTTTCACTCTTTTTGCCCAGGCTGGAGTGCAATGGCGCGATCTAGGCTCACCGCAACCTCTGCCTCCCGGGTTCAAGCGATTCTCCTGCCTCAGCCTCCCAAGTAGCTGGGACCACAGCATGTGCCACCAGGCCTGGCTAATTTTGTATTTTTAGTAGAGACAGAGTTTCGCCCTGTTGGTCAGTCTGGTCTCCAACTCCTGACCTCAGGTGATCCGCCCACCTCGGCCTCCCAAAGTGCTGGGATTACAGGAGTGAGTCACCACGCCCGGCCCCAAGAAGTCTTTTTTTCCTAAATCAAACCATGCATCTTGATTTTGGGGTTCGGATAATATGGTCACTATAGCTATGGGACAAGTCATGTAACATTTGAAGTCCTCAGTTTCCCTATTTGTAAAATGAACAAATTGGACACATGGTGGCCCTGGTCCCTTCCTGTGCTAATAGTCCTGGACTCTGAGCCCACCACACACTAGAAAGGGTGGAGTCCCGGCTCTATCTCTTGCTAGCTGGGTACCCAAACAAGCTAAATAACATTTTTGTGCCTCAGTTTTCTCATCTAAAAAATGATGGTGATTGCAGGGCATGGTGGCTCATGCCTGTACTCCCAGCACTTTGGGAGGCCGAGGTGGGCGGATCACCTGAGGTCGGGAGTTCGAGACCAGCCTGACCAACACAGAGAAACCCCATCTCTACTAAAAATACAAAATTATCTGGGCGTGGTGGCACATGCCTGTAATCCTAGCTACTTGGGAGGCTGAGGCAGGAGAATCACTTGAACCCGGGAGGCGGAGGTTGCGGTGAGCCGAGATCGCGCCATTGCACTCCAGCCTGGGCAACAAGAGCAAAACTCCATCTCAGAAAAAAAAAAAAAGTTAAATGGTACACTTTATCTTATGTACATTTTACCATGACTCAAAAAAAAGTTTTAGCTATGTGGGCTAGGTGTGGTGGCTCATGCCTGTATTCTCAGCCCTTTGGGAGGCCGTGGTGGGCGGATCACTTGAGGTCAGGAGTTCGAGACCAGCCTGGCCAACATGGTGAAACCCCATCTCTACTAAAAACACAAAAATTAGCTGGGCATGGTGGTGGGTGCCTGTAGTCCCAGCTACTCAGGAGGCTGAGGCAGGAGAATTGCTTGAACCCGGGAGGCGGAGGCTGTAGTGAGCTGAGATTGCGCCACTGCACTCCAGCCTGGCGACAGAGCAAGACTCTGTCTCAAAAAAAAAAAAAAAAAGTATTAGCTGTTGTGATCTCTTGTCTCAGATATTGTTATCAAGCTGCCAGATGTACACTATAAACCAAAAATAAAATTCTAAGGCCCCCGACCATCTGAATGGACTTCCTTCTCAGCCAGGGTGCTCTTAAAATGTAACCTGAGAGACTGGTTCAGGCCATGATGGGAAGTGGGGGTCCGACATGCCTCATATAAAATCAACACAGACCTGATAAGAAGCATTTATAATCTATTCTCTCTGAAACCTGCTACCTGAAGACTTCCTCTGCACAATAAGAACTTTGGTCTCCACAGCCTTTTTCTCCACAAAGGAAACCCAGACATTTCCTTTCTATTGATCCTAGGTTGTTTTTTGTTTGTTTGTTTGTTTTTTGTTTTTCTTGAGACGGAGTCTAGCTCTGTTGCCCAGGCTAGAGTACAGTGGGGCGATCTCGGCTCACTGCAACCTCTGCCTCCCAGGTTCAAGTGATTCTCCCGCCTCAGCCTCCCGACTAGCTGGGACTACAGGCATGCACCACTACGCCTGGCTAATTTTGTATTTTTCGTAGAGACAAGTTTCACCATGTTGGCCAGGATGGTCTGGAACTCCTGACAGGTGACCCACCCGCCTCAGCCTCCCAAAGTGCTGGGATTACAGGTGTGAGCCACCACGCCTCGCCTGGACCCCTTGCTTCCAAAAGTGTTCCTGCCTCTTTTAGATTCCAATCATGTCTGATCCTGTTCTGGTCTTCTTGGTTCAGAGGGGAGGAATTATTGGTTTGGGTATTGGTGTTGTTCGAGGTTAAGTCTTCTATCGTGCATGCCCAGGCTCCATGACTTACAGTTTTGGGCTCTATTATACCTAAAAAGTAACTCAACATTTTGCTATCAACAGAGTAGACCCAGTTTGGGCTGCTCCTGTCATTACAATATCTGAAGGGTTTCTCTAGAGAGCAGAACCCAAACAATGCGACAATTGCTACTTACCCTGTAACTGGCATTTGCAGCTCCAACTGGGCTACCCCTTGCACCTTCTCGGTTACCTGAGAAGCAAGTTATATTTTCTCCTTTAAATCCAATCCTATCTTTGTCATACGGAACAGTCAGCCTTGATGGTGTTTTGGAGTCAAGGAAAGCTGGAGAACGAGGAATGACAGCTCCAAGGAGAGGGACCCTCCCGGTTCTGCTGGAATTCCAGCTGCAGCTCCCAGCCCCTGCCATCCTAACCCTGGAGCTACTGCACTGGACAACAGTTTCCCCAGAAGCTGGACACCTCATGGGGAACTACAGAAGTGGGTTCTCTTGGGGTCCTCTCAGATTAGCACCAGGTGAATGGCAAATCCGGGAGGAGCAATGCCAAGGCCCCATACTGTTGAGTCTGAAGGCCCTTGGGCCCCAATTGTGCCCTCAGCAAAGCCATATTGAGGCAGAAGAACAGGGAGGGTAAACCAAGAGTTAAGATAGAAGCAAAAGAACAGCAGGTGCAGCCAGTTCTAGGCAAGATTAGGCAGCACACAGGCCACACCTCACCCCTGTGATGGCAAGACAGAAGTTTTTACTTCAGCCTCTGATTGACTGCAGGCTGAGGCTCCACTTCAGCCTCTGACTGGTCACAGGCCAATCCTTCATAGGGTGTAACAAATTGGAGGCCTCTAAAGGGCACCTAGCGGTGTTTCCAAATTCCTTTAGCCTAATAAAAATCCTTAAATGAGAGAGGTGGGGTGGCTCTTGAGCCACTTGCTCAAGCCTGCTCCTACTCTGTGGAATGTACTTTTGCTTCGATAAATCTGTGCTTTCATTACTCCGTTCTCGTGTTGCTTTGTTTGTCTTTCGTTGTTTCATTCTTTTGTTGCTTTGTGCATTTTGTTCAATTCTTTGCTCAACATGCCAAGAACCTGGACAACTCACAGTCAAGACCTTCCATCCAGTAACAGTTTTGCTTTGGGAACCACAGGAGATGAGGGCCAATAGGCCTGTGCCTTGGCAGATGATTCTTACTTATAACTTGGCCCAGTAAAATGGCCAGAACAAGGGCTCTGTCACTGGCCTTCACTGAAGGAATAAGGTTTTGTTTAATAAATCTACTGAATGCATCCTATCAGCAAGACACAAAAGCAAGGCTACTCAATCTTGGCCTGGTCAGGACCACCTTGGGGAGCTTAAAAAATACTGTTGCCTGAGCCCAACCCTCAGAGGTTCTTTTTATTATTATTATTATTTTTGAGATGGAGTCTAGCTCTGTCTTCCAGGCTAGAAGGCAGTGGTGCTATCTCGGCTCACTGCAAATTCTGCCTCCCGGGTTCAAGAGATTCTCCTGACTCAGCCTCCTGAGTAGTTGGGATTACAGGTATGCACCACCACATCTGATTAATTTTTATATTTTTAGTAGAGATGAGTTTTTGCCATGTTGCCCAGGCTGGTCTTGAACTCCTGACCTCAAATGATCCACCTGCCTCGGCCTCCCAAAGTGCTGGGATTACAGGCGTGAGACATCGCGTCTAGCATTTTTTTGTGTGTGTGTGCCCAGAGGTTCTAATTTAATCAGTCTGAGTGCAGCCAAGTACTGGGATTTTTTAAAAGCTCTCCAGGTGAGTCTAACATGCTAGCCACTGCTGGCTCTAAAGACTCAAATAAGAAGACTAAGTCCTCCGTGAGCAAGGTGGGGGCTGTCACAGAGGGAGATCTTTAAAAAGAGGTAAGGAAGTCCCAGGCACCGTAGAAGTGATGATCTCACTGGGGAAGGTCATGGACATTCTGCTGCTTCCTGTAGGCAAGAGCCATCGTCATTGCTTGATCTGTGCACACACAATGAGGTGGAGACCCTGCCTTACGGACCGAAAACGTGGTTTTGTGTTACATAAAATAGTTCCGCAAACGGCCGCTTTTCTGCCAGGCATGGTGTCTGTGCTTCTTGCTTTGGCTTATCTTGTAACTATTGACAGGGGTGTGGTCAAAACAAACCTCCCACATCCCGTACGTGTCTGCTGACTGCAGCTTTCCTGATGTAATAACAAAGCTGTCAGATGCGTTTCTTCACACCATGAAGTCTGCAGTCCCTACTGTTTTGAAATCCATGTGCATTAAGACACTGACTCACTTCCCTTTAGCCTACTGAGTTCTGTTGCTTTCTGGACCAACAAACCCTGTGGGCACCTCCCCGTCCAGAGCTCACTGAAACTGTCAGACTTACCTGCAAGGGCCTGGGATTCTAAATTTCACTCTGTCACTCTTGGAGGTGAGGGGAAAGCTGTATGGGCATTGAGGTGACATTTCTGGGCTTTGATGTCTCCATAGGAAAGGACATATAAATACAAAATGTGGTTAACCCTAATTAACCCCTAATTCAGACCGTTGGGGACAGAACCAAGGTCTATTAATTTTTTCTAAAAAAGGAAGGAAATTAGAAAAGAATGTTTCTCTCGATTGTGTAGAAGAGTTGGACGAGGTGAACATTCCGCTGGGTGGCTCTGTCACAAACTAGCTTTTGTTCAATCATTCAAGACATATCGACTGCCAAACACTGCTCTAGGCTCCTGAAAAAATGATCATGGCAAGACAGTTACAGACCATGCCTCTTCATGGAACTTACCAAGATGTGTGCTTGGGGAAACACACTGACTGTCTTTGGACTACTTGTTTCTTAATTAATTAGTAATAGCTGACACTTAGGGAGCACTTACCACATACCAGTTTCTGTGCGAAACCCTCACTTTGCACTCCTTTTAAAAATAGCTATTTTCTGGCCAGACATGGTGGCTCACGCCTGTAATCCCAGCACTTTATGAGGCTGAGGTGGGTGGATCACCTGAGGTCAGGAGTTCGAGACCAGCCTGGCCAACATGGTGATACCCCGTCTCTATTAAAAATACAACATGCCATGTTCCATGGCAACATGGAAAAATACAAAAATTATGGCCAGGCGCGGTGGCTCACGCCTGTAATCCCAGCACTTTGGGAGGCCGAGGTGGGTGGATCACCTGAGGTCGGGAGTTCGAGACCAGCCTGGCCAACATGGCAAAACCCTGTCTCTACTAAAAATACAAAAATTATGGCCGGGCTTGGTGGCTCACACCTGTAATCCCAGCACTTTGGGAGGCCGAGGCAGGTGGATCACCTGAGGTCAGGAGTTCAAGACCGGCCTGGACAACGTGGTGATATCCCGTCTCTATTAAAATTACAAAAAATTAGCTGGATGTGATGATGGGCACCTATAATCCCAGCTACTGGGGAGGCTGAGGCAGGAGAATCGCTTGAACCTGAAAGGCAGTTGTTGTGTGAGCCGAGAGTGCGCCATTGCACTCCAGCCTGGGTGACAAGAGTGAAACTCCATCTCAAAAAAAATAAAAATAAAAATAAAAATAATAAAAATACAAAAATTAGCCAGGTGTGGTGACACATGCCCATAATCCCAGCTACTCAGGAGGCTGAGACAAGAGAATCACTTGAACCCAGGAGGCAGAGGTTGCAGTGAACCGAGATCACACCACTGCACTCCAGCCTTCGCGACAGAGTGAGACCCTGTCTAAAAAAAAAGCTATTTAAGCTATTTTCTTTTATCACAATTCCTATTCCCTTCTCCCCTACAAACAACCATCCTAATGCTTTTAATGTTCATCTTTGCCTGTTTTCTTGGAATTTCAGGTTATTTTCTTTTTTATACGATTCTAAAAGCCATTTTTATTTGATTTTTTAATATATCATATACATTTTCACAGCAAGAATTAGAGGTTGAGTCAGACGTGATTGGAAGATCTCATTCCAGTCTTTTGCACTTACTAAGATCACTTTTTTTTTCTCAACTTTTAAGTTCCAGGGTACATGTGCAGTGCCATGGTGGTTTGCTGCACAGATCAACCCATTCCCTAGGTATTAAGCCCGGCATCTATTAGCTATTCTTCCTGATGTTCTCCTTCCCCCTCTAACCTTCCTACAGACCCCAGTGTGTGTTGTTCCCCTCTTGTGTCCATGTGTTCTCATCACTCAGCTCCCACTTATAAGTGAGAACAATCAGCGTTTGGTTTTCTGTTCCTGTATTAGTTTGCTGAGGATAATGGCTTCCAGCTCCATTCACGTCCCTGCAAAGGACATGACCTCATTCCTTTCTATGGCTGCATAGTATTCCACGGTGTATATATACCACATTTTCTTTATCAGTCTATCATGGATGAGCATTTAGGTTGATTCCATGTCTTTGCTATAGTGAATAGTGCTGCAATGAACATATGTGAGGATGTACATTTAAAACAGAATGATTTCTATACCTTTGGGTATATACTCAGTAATGGGATTGCTGGATCAAATGGTATTTCTGCTTCTAGATCTCTGAGGAATCACCACACTGTCTTCCACAATGGTTGAACTAATTTACATTCCCACCAACAGTGTAAAAGTGTTCCTTTTTCTCTGCATCTTTGCCAGCATCTGTTGTTCAGGTTTGTATACATGTATTCGAATATATATTTATGTCAGGTATGTTTATGCAAATTAGAATATATAGACGTTCTTCTTCTGCACTAGGTTGGTAAGGTCCACCCGTGTTGCTGTGTGTGCATCTACAACCCCTTCTCACAGCTGTGTGGTGCTCCATCCAGTGCAGCCACCGCCTTTCACCTGTCCATTTCCCCCAGTGAAGAACTCGCTGGATTGCCTTTAGTTCCCTGCTGTGGAACAGGAAAATCAAAGTGTCTTCTCCTGGTATACTCTCAACACTCATCACACTTCCCCTCACCAAAATCAGTGGGCTTTTCCCACCCCAACCAATTTCCGACACCAGCTGCGTAACCTATCATTCAGTTCAATTCTGACACTAGTTACGTGGAGTTAGCATCAGATTCCACAGGTTAGCTCAGTCTCACGAGACTGCCCCCACTTCAAAGTCCAGTTGCAACTGTGGACCATTCCTACTTCTGACCAACCGCCTATAAATCCAGGCTTCCCACAACCCCCTCCTTGGGTTCGACCATTTGCTAGAATGGCTCACAGAACTCAGGGAAACACTCCTGGTTTATTATAAAGTATATTGCAAAGGATACAGATGAACAGCCAGATGAAGAAGTACGCAGGATGACATATAGGGGGAGGGACATGGAACTTCATGCCCTTTTTGGGAACATCACCCTCCAGCACCTCCACACGTTCAGAAACTCTGAGGCTCTCCAAACCCAGCCCTTTTGGATTTTTACAGAGGCCTCATTGCTTAGGCATGATTAAATCACGGGCCATTGGTGATTAGCTCAACTCTCAGCTCCTCTCCCCACCCCAGAGTTTGGGGGGGTCGGGGACAGTGCAGCTGAAAGTCCCAAGCTTCTAACCATGGCTTGGTCTTTCTGGTGACCAGGAAGCCCAGCAAGAGTCACTTCATTAGAACAATAGAAACTTCTATCACCCAGGAAATTTTAAGGGTTTGGGATGTTCTGTTCCAGGAACTGGGGGCAGAGACCAAATTTTTATTATGTCACAATATCACACCTGCCTTCACAAGCTAGTCTCTGTGATGAAGAGCATCTTTATCATGTGTCTTTAGGCCCCTATGCGACGTGTGTGTGTGTGTGTGTGTGTATGTATATACATACATAGATATATATATATGTTCCCAGAAGTGGATTCTTGGTTGTGTGGTAGACATATAGACAGTCTGGCAAGTAGGGCAGCTCACTCTGCAGAATGTCCACACCACCTACCTATGACCATCAATACAGTAGGGCACTTATACCCACCACACCTACCCTACTTGGCATTCTCTAGCTTTATCATTTTTGCCAAATAGGTGGAAAACAATATCTCATTGTTGGTTTAATTTGCAATTACTTTATGACCAGGGAACATCTTTCACATATTTATGTTGCCCTTTAGGTTTCTTTTTTTTTTTTTTTGAGACGGAGTCTTGCTGTGTCACCCAGACTGGAGTGCAGTGGCGCGATCTCAGCTCACTGCAAGCTCCACCTCCTGGGTTCATGCCTATTCTCCTGCCTCAGCCTCCTGAGTAGCTGGGACTACAGGTGCCCACCACAATGCCTGGCTAATTTTTTTGTATTTTTAGTAGAGACAGGGTTTCACCATTTTGGCCAGGATGGTCTTGATCTCCTGACCTCATGATCTGCCCGCCTCAGCCTCCCGAAGTGCTGGGATTACACCTTTAGGTTTCTTAATCTGCAAATTGCCTATTCATACTCATTGCCCATTTTCCCACTGGGTTCTCTTTTTCTTGTATATTCTAGATATTAGTCCCCTTTTGGCTGCAGATATTGCAATAGCTTCTCCCAGTCTCTCATCTGTTTGTTACTTTTGACCATGGTGTGCTTTGTTTTACAGAAATCCTTTAGTTAGGGGGGATCAAATTAATCCATTTTATGTCTCATGATTGAACTTGTGATGTTTTTTGAGGAGTCCTTCCTTACCTCTAATCCATAAGGGAATTATCTTACAGAGTCTCGTTAATATCATCACTTATATTTCCCAGGTTGGGCTTCAGTTTATTGGAATCCTGCCTGTAAGTTGTGTTTATCAGGGATCCAGTTTTGTTTGTCTTTGCTTGATTTACCCACTGAGCCTTCATAACAGCTCTCCACAGCACAGGCAGAAACTGACAGCAAAGACAGTCAAAATGTTAGCAAGTGGCAGACCTCAAATCTGATTTTGTTTCTTCAAATGTGAATAGCTGGGCCATATTATAGGTCTTCAGGAAGAGAGGGCAGCTGTAAAGCCCAGGGCACACATATAGATTCACCAGAGCAGGCATTATTAATTACTTAGTCAATGGATGAGGCTCTTGAGTCTGTCTCTTGGACTCAGTTCAATGAGAAATGTCCGAGAACCACAGGAATGACCACGCCCAAAGCCCCGGCTTCAGTGGGAAGTCCCTTCCCATCTCTGACCACTCCACTATGCAGCCTCCTCAAAATAACTTCTTCTTCCTCAACTTAGGGCCTCCCTCTACTTCTTGTCCTAATCTCCTGTGCTTAGGAATTCTTTTTTTTTTTTTTTTTTGAGATGGTGTTTTGCTCTTGTTGCCCAAGCTGGAGTGCAATGGCATGATCTCAGATCAGTGCAACCTCTGCCTCCTGGGTTCAAGTGATTCCCCTGCCTCAGCCTCCCGAGTAGCTGGGATTACAGGCACCTACCACCATGCCTAGCTAATTATTGTACTTTTTGTAGAGACAGGGTTTCACCATGTTGACCAGGCTGGTCTTGAACTCCCAGCCTCAGGTAATCCTCCCACCTCAGCCTCCCAAAGTGCTGGGATTACAGGTGTGAGCCACCGCACCCAGCCATGCTTATGAATTCTAATAAGTCACAATTACTAACATGGAGAGAGCACTTTCTATGTGCCAGGCACTATTCTAAGCACTTAGCATGTATTTCACTCATTTAATATCCACAACTCTATGAGGTGGGTAATATTATTGTACTCATTTCGTGGAGTATAATATAGAGGCTAAGGTTCTCACCATTAGTAAGTAACAGAGTAGGGATATAAACCCAGGCTGCCCAAGCACAGAGACTGCACTTTAACCAGGGTGTCCTACTGTCCCTTGTCACTCTGGCCCAGATAAAATATGGCTTTCAGAAACTGTGAAATACAGGTGCAGTGGCTCACGTCTGTAATCCCAGCACTTTGGGAGACTAAGGCAAGTGGATGACTTGAGGTCAGGAGTTCAAGACCAGCCTGGCCAACATGGCAAAACTCTGTCTCTACTAAAAATACAAAAATTAGCCAGGCGTGGTGGCATGTGCCTGTAATCCCAGCTACTTGGGAGGCTGAGGCAGGAGTCTCACTTGAATCCAGGAGGCGGAGGTTGCAGTGAGCCAAGATTGCACCACTGTACTCCAGCCTGGGTGACAGGGTGAGACTCTGTCTCAGAAAGAAAAAAAAAACAGTGAAATACAGACAACTAAAGTAGGCTCTGACCATTTTATTTTTAACCAGGACACTCCAAAGTCCAGAATTGCCTTGGCGAACACCTGCAGTGGTCTCAGTGGCCTGGCGACTGCACATCCCTGCTGGAGTCAAAGTCCCTGAACATGTCACTTGTTTAAGAAAGCCCACTAATTCATTAAGTCAAAAGTCTTCATTAAGTGACTATTTGGATAGCCATAGAGCCCTATTTCTTGGCCCAGCCAGATGGCAGGGTGCTTGTCACTGTGTTTGGCAGGAGTTCTCAGTCCCCTTTGGGTAACCCAGTCCTGGGGGCTGAAAGCATGACTGCTTCCCAGGAGACTGTGCTGGCTTTGGGGCCTTTGTTCTTGGCCACAGGCCCCATTATTCTCAGATGCTTTTCTTTCTGCTTGATCATCTTCTTTTGACCTCATCTTGGTTACTGTTCATTACCCTCATGTTTCCCCTCACACTTCCCTTTTGTCTCTAGCTTTCATCTCTTCTCCTCTCTTACCTCTTTCTCAGGTTTGAATAACATTGTGTCAATCTGCCCTTTCTTCCCCCTTCTCTTTTCTCTGACCTTGAATCCCAAGGCCATATTGGAACTGGAGCTAGGTCTATGCAATATCACTTCTCCTTCCTTTCTAGTCCCATGTCCCTCCCCCTCCAGGAAGCTCCTGCTTACCAACACTCCTGACATGGCTAGTACTTTTTTTTTTTTTTTTTTTTGAGACAGAATCTCACTACAGTGGCAAGATCTCAGCTCACTGCAACCTCCGCCTCCCAAGTTCAAGCGATTCTCCTGCCTCAGGTTCCTGAGTAGTTGGGATTACAAGCAGGCGCCACCATGCCTGGCTAATTTTTGTGTTTTTAGTAGAGATGGGGTTTCATCATGTTGGCCAGGCTGGTCTCGAACTCCTGACCTCAGGTGATCCACCTGCCTCGGCCTCCCAAAGTGCTGGGATTACAGGTGTGAGCCACCGCGCCCGGCCGCTAGTACATTTTTTATTCGTGTTTCTGTCTCTCTAGGAAGACTCTTTGCTCCTTAAAGACAAAGGACTACATTTTCAGGGTTTAGAATCGACGTGGGCAGATGGGAAATAAGTTTGGGGCTGTAAGTGAATGAATCAGTTAGACATGCCTTCTCAGATTCCTCCTGCTACAATCACTTGCTGCCTGTCCTGTGGCTGGCTGGGTGCATGCTGTAGTTTCTCCTAATAAACTGTAAGCTTCTAAGAAGAGTAGGGCATGGCATTGCCAAAAGGACATAGTCTGTCCCCTCCAGAACCCAGCACTATTGCAGAGCAAGTGCCCAGCCAACAGCTGCTGAATTGGCTTGGAGGTCAGAAGCCACTGTGACCTCTAGGCAGCAGAACAAGGAACTTGAGGGGATAGGGTGAGGGATTAGAACCCTTGGGTGTCTAGCCGGGCGTGGTGGCTCATGCATGTAATCCTAGCTACTTGGGAGGCTAAGGCAGGAGAATTGCTTGAACCTGGGAGGTGGAGGTTGTGGTTAGCCGAGATCGCACTGAGCCGAGATCGCACTGAGCCGAGATCGCCATTGCACTCCAGCCTGGGCAACAAGAGCAACAAGAGCGAAACTCCGTCTCAAAAAAAAACAAAAAAACAAAAAAAACCTCGGGTGTCAACCTTCTGGAAAATCAGCCTTTTAATTGGCAAGTCCCAGAAGAGGAAGCCTAGGCAGTTAGACCCCAGGCCACGGTGATAGGGTGCTGATACCATGCAGGGCAGGGCTCTTGGTGCCTCGAGGCTTTTGCATCTTTACTTCCTGCTGAAGTTAGAGAGAGCTGACTGGACTTAGTACAAGCATAGGAGTGGGGATCCAGGACTCAGGAAGGCCAGCTCTGCCATCCTGGGTCAAAGAGATGTCCTCCCTGGACGTCTGGCTCCCGCTTTAAGAAATCATATCAGCCAGTCATGATATGGCTCACGCCTATAATCCCAGCTATAATCCCAGCACTTTGGGAGGCCGAGGTGGGAGGATCACTTGAGCCCGGGAATTCGAGACCAGGCACTGCAACAAAGTGAGACCCCATTTCTTCAAAAAATAAAATAATTAGCTGAGTGTCATAATGCATGCCTGTAGTCCCAACCGCTTAGGAGGCTGAGGTGGGAGGATCACTTGAGCCCAGGAGATTGAGGCTGCAGTGAACAACAATGATGGCACCACTGCATTCCAGCCTGGGTGACAGAGTGAGAGCCTGTCTCAAAAAAAGAAAAAAAAGCAAAGGAATAATGGCGGCAGTCCACCATCTTGTCTTGCTGCTGTCCGAGACTCAGACATGGCTTCTAAGTTCCTATTAAACGTTTCTTTCTAAGAAACTAGATTGGTCAGCCTCTTTCTTTGGCCTTTCAGCTTCCTTAGACTCTGGGGATAGGTTTGCAAAGGCCTGCCCCCCACAGAGCATGTGGCAAGCCAGCTGGGCCAGGAGCTGAGAGATCAAGAAATGGGTGAAGGGAATGAATCATCCGTCTGGGAAATTGTAGGGTCCAGCCCCACAGGGTCGGTGGGCTTCTCCCTGTGTGTGGCGACGAGAGAGTATAGAAATAAAGACACAAGACAAAAAGATAAAAGAAAAGACAGCTGGGCCCCGGGGACCACTACCACCAATTCACGGAGACCGGTAGTAGCCCTGAATGTCTGGCTGTGCTGTTATTTATTGGATACAAAGCAAAAGGGGCAGGGTAAAGAGTGTGAGTCATCTCCAATGATAGGTAAGGTCACGTGGGTCACGTGTCCACTGGACAGGGGGCCCTTCCCTGCCTGGCAGCTGAGGCAGAGAGAGAGAGAGGAGACAAAGAGAAAGACAGCTTATGCCATTATTTCTGCATATTAGAGACTTTTAGTACTTTCACTAATTTTCTACTGTTATCTAGAAGGCAGAGCCAGGTGTACAGGATGGAACATGAAGGCAGACTAGGAGCGTGACCACTGAAGCACAGCATCACAGGGAGACGGTTAGGCCTCCAGATAACTGCAGGCAGTCCTGACTGATGTCAGGCCCTCCACAAGAGGTGGAGGAGCAGAGTCTTCTCTAAACTCCCCCAGGGAAAAGGAGACTCCCTTTCCCAGTCTGCTAAGTAGCGGGTGTTGTTCCTTGACACTTTTCGCTACCGCTAGACCACGGTCCGCCTGGCAACGGGTGTCTTCCCAGACGCTGGCATCACCGCTAGACCAAGGAGCCCTTCTGGTGGCCCTGTCTGGACATAACAGAAGGCTCACACTCTTGTCTTCTGTTCACACCTCACTATGTCCCCTCAGCTCCTATCTCTGTATGGCCTGGTTTTTCCTAGGTTATGATTATAGAGCGAGGATTATTATAATATTGGAATAAAGAGTAATTGCTACAAATTAATGATTAATGATAATCATATATAATCATATCTAAGATCTATATCTGGTATAACTATTCTTGTTTTATATTTTATTATACTGGAACAGCTCGTGTCCTCGGTCTCTTGCCTCAGCGCCTGGGTGGCTTGCCACCCACAGGAAATCTCAGGGTGGTCAATCACTTTCTTTCTTTTTCTTTTTTTTTTTAAGACAGGGTTTCACTCTGTTGCCCGGACTGGAATGCAATGGCGCCATCATAGCTCACTGCAGCCTTGCTCTCCTGGGCTCAACTGATCCACCACTTGTACCACAGGTGCTAATTTTTTTAATTTTTTGTAGAGACGGGAATCTCACTATGTTCCCCAGGCTGGTCTTGAGCTCCCAGGCTCAAGGGATCATCCCACCTTGGCCTCTCAACGTGCTGGAATTTCAGACATGAGCCACTGTGCCCGGCTGGTCCGTTGCTTTTATGTGGAGTGGTGTGGTTCACCTTTTATATGCTTGTAGACCACCATGTGACTACGGAGATGCCCTGAAAATGCCAGTGGCTTAGAGTCATTGTTAACTGAGAGCCGTCCATTGCACAGTGATAAGAAAGGGCAGCCAGCAGTCATTTTGAGACTAGTGACCTGAGTTCAGGCAGACCCACATCTGAGCATGGTCCAGCCTCAGGGTCCAGCACTTCCTTTCACTTTCGTTTTAACTATCACAGATGGCAACAACCAAGGGATTATATGTTTATTGTGGTTATTAGGGTTTTTGTTTGTTTGTTTCCAGATGGAGTTTCACTCTTGTAGCCCAGGCTGGAGTGCAATGGCGCCATCTCGGCTCACTGCAACTTCCGCCTCCTGGGTTCAAGCGATTCTCCTGCCTCAGCCACCCCAGTAGCTGGCATTACAGGCACACGCCACCACGCCTGGCTAATTTTGTATTTTTAGTAGAGACGGGGTTTCTCCATGTTGGTCAGACTGGTTTTCAACTCCCGACCTCAGGTGATCCACCCTCCTCAGCCTCCCAAAGTGCTGGGATTATAGGTGTGAGCCACCACGCCCAGCCGTGCTTGTTAGATTTATAAACCAAAAATAAAATCTTAAGCCCCCAACCAACTGAATAGACCCTCTTGGCCAAGGTGACCCCAGAAAAACCTGAAAACCTGAATTCCTGACCAGGACAGGAAGGAAGGCCAGACATGCCTCATAGACCCTCTCCCTGTGGAGTTCAGTGAAAAATTATGCCAGGGCAACAGATATATCTCTGAGACCTGTGGTTACCAAGAAGGTAGCCAATGTCAGGGAAGGCAAAACCAACTAACTACTAACACCAGAGAGCACAGTGTGAAGCACTGTTCCATTATGTAGATCATCAAATCTACAAACCCGCACTCTGTAGATTTGTGTCATCAGCTCCCTGAGGAACCTTCACTAAAATGGATTGTGAGAGTATCTATTGGAAGCAATATCTTTGGTTTTAAATGCTGTACAGTGGAAAAAACATGTTTGTGTTACTGGAAAGGGGTCCCAATCCAGACCCCTAGAAAGGGTTCTTGGACCGTGCCAGTCCATAGAGTATATTGAAAACAAGTTTATTAAGAAAGTAAAGGATTAAAGAATGGCTACTCTATAGACAGAGAAGCAGCTTGGGCTGCTCGACTGATAATACTTATAGTTAATTATTTTTACTCTGTCACCCAGGCTGGAGTGCAATGGCTTGATCTCAGCTCACTGTAACCTCCGCTTCCCGGGTTCAAGCGATTCTCCTGCCTCAGCCTCCCGAGTAGCTGGGACTACAGACGTGTGCCACCACGCCCGGCTCATTTTTGTATTTTTAGTAGAGATGGGGTTTTACCGTGTTAGCCAGGATGGTATCGATCTCCTGACCTCGTGATCTGCTTGCCTCGGCCTCCCAAAGTGCTGGGATTACGGGCCTGAGCCACCACACCCGGCCTATTACTTCTTTTCCGGGAGTTTTCCGGGAAAGAGGTGGACAATTTCCAGCACTGAGGGTTCTTCCCCTTTTAAGACAGTATAGGGTATACTTTAAGACAGTGTAGGTATAGTATAACTTCCTGATATTGCCATGGCATTTGTAAACTGTCATGGCGTTGGTGGGATGTCTTTTAGCCTGCTAATGATTATAATTAGCGTATAATGAGCTGCGAGGATGACCAGAGGTCACTTTGTTGCCATCTTGGTTATGTTGGGATTTGGCTGGCTTCTTTACTACAACCCATTTTATCAGCAAGGTCTGTGTGACCTGTATCTTGTGCTGACGTCCTATCTCATCCTGTGACTTAGAATGGCTAACTTCCTGGGAATGCAGCCCAGTAGGTCTCAGCCTTATTTTACCCAGCCCCTATTCAAGATGGAGTTGCTCTGGTTCGAACTCCTCAGCCTCCTGAGTAGCTGGGACCACAAGCGCATGCCACCACGCCTGGCTAATTTTCTTTGTATTTCTTGTAGAGCCAGACTAGTCTCAAACTCCTGTGCTCAAGCCATCCGCTTGCCTCAGCCTCCCAAAGTGATGGGATTACAGCCATGGGCCACCACACTGGGCCTTGTTATTGTTATTGAGAGCATCCACCCAGGGAAGAGGCATGAGCTTTCTTCCTGGTTCATCTCCAGGAGCAGGGAAAAGAGAGAATTTATAGCCCCAGGGCCCTGTGGGCAGATTCTTTCTTGGCTCACTCTACAGAAGGTTCCAGGAAAGCTGGCGGGCGGGGTGCACACTGGGCATTTCCCTGCAGCTCAGCCTCCCAGGGAGCCAGGGAAGACTCCTGAGAAAAGCCTTTCCAGCGTGCAGGACTACCAGCGCTCCGGAATCCCTCCTGCGGTGCCAAGCCTGGCCTCCATGCTGACTGCCCCATCAGCGGAAAGCAGGAAGCAATGGGGTGATGGGGGACTTGGGGGAGTATTTGGCAGGTGGGGAGGAAGGGGTCAGCTGGCAGCAAAGCCACGGTCCTTGGAACTTGGATCCTTTCCTTACTCTGCATTGCTCACAGCAGAATCTTACTACCCCCCCCATCCCCACCCCCACTGGACCTAGCCCTCAGGAAGCCACATGCCTGGAGGACTCTCCTGTTAGATTGGATGCTTGCAGACTGGGCACTTGCTGACTCCTGGC
Source organism: Homo sapiens (assembly GCF_000001405.40). Classification (NCBI taxonomy): domain Eukaryota; kingdom Metazoa; phylum Chordata; class Mammalia; order Primates; family Hominidae; genus Homo; species Homo sapiens. Next base: position 62,013,333 of record NC_000011.10, on the reverse strand, counting down.
TGTGACACAAAGCCCTCTATTGCTCCCCCTGGGTCCCTCACCTGCCAGGATTTACTCACGTTTCTGAGAAGAAGCTCAGAGGCCAGGGGACCTGGGGCAGGAGGCTCCCTGTGAACACAGAGAGTCCTATTCACGGATGAGGGCTCAGAGTCCTTGCCCTAAGGGAGTTGGTTGGGGCACTGGGACACACAGGCAGTTCGTGGCAGAGCAGGGACTGGAGCCAGGTCTGTGATCTGAGTCACCACCCATGGCTACTGCTGTCTTCTTCCCTGCCCACCAGTGCCCATCAGTGTTAGGGAGAACTCCCTGGTTCAGGAGAGGCATCTTGTGACTCCTCATGCAGCCAAGGCCTGGGACCTGGGGCCAGGGAAGATCCTCAGGCTCTGTCATGGAAGAGCGAGTATTGGCCTTACCCCAAGACTTCTCTGCCGGAAACTCCACTCCTCATCCCCAGCTCAACCCCCAGGCAGAGGGACTTTTCTCCTCCTCCACCTGAATCTCCAGTTCCAAGAAACAAGAAGCTGGCTCCAAAGGAAGACCTCCCCTTTTTCGATGCCCTGTTTATCTCTAAAGTGGACATGATTGATGGCACAGGAATGCATTCAGCTGCAAGTAACAGAAAACATGACCAACAATGTGGGAGAGACATAGATGTTTACTTTGCTCATGTAAGAAGATGACAGAGCTTCTTCTCCAAGAAAACACCAAATGGCAGATGACACAGTGCAGTGGGAGGCCCAGAGGCCCTGGGATGAGGAACAGTGGCAGCTTCTGCAGAGGCTTCGGCACTGGCATCTGGGGCTGAGGTCACGGCCAGGGTTGGAGCCAGGGGCATGAGAGCTCCAAGGCTATGGAGCTCTCAGAGGCAAGGCTGAGGATAAGGAGTGGATGCCCGTCACCAAGCTGGGCCGTCTGGTCAAGGACATGAAGATCAAGTCCCTGGAGGAGGTCTATCTCTTCTCCCTGCCCCTCAAGGAGTCTGATATCATTTACTTTTTCCCTGGGGTCTTCTCTCAAGGATGAGGTTTTGAAGATCATGCCAGTGCAGAAGCCGACCTGCGCTGGCCAGTACACCAGGTTCAAGTCATTTGTTGCCACTCGACTACAATGGCCACCTCATTCTGGGTGTTAAGTACTTCAAGAGGTGGCCACTGCCATCCAAGGGGCCATCAACTCTCCACGGTCCCTGGGCACAGAGGCTACTGGGGGAACAATATCGGCAAGCCCCACAGTGTCCCTTGCAAGGTGACAGGCCACCATGGCTCTGTGCTAGTGCACCTTAACCCTGTGCCCAAGGGCGCTGGCATCGTCTCCCCCGTGATGCCCGGTGCCCAGGAAGGTGCTGATGATAGCTGGTATCGATGACTGCTACACCTTGGCCAGGGGCTGCACTGCCACCCTGGGCAACTTTGCCAAGGCCAGCTTTGATGTCATCTCCAAGACCTACAGCTACCTGACCCGACCTCTAGAAGAATACTGTATTCACCAAGTCTCTTTACCAGGAATTCACTCACCATCTTGTCAAGACCCAGACCAGAGTCTCTGTGCAGAGGACCCAGGCTCCAGCTGTGGCTACAACATAGTGTTTTTATACAAGAAAAAGTTAATTAAGCCTTTGAAAAAAACAAAACAAAAAAAAGACCGGGCATGGTGGCTCACGCCTATAAACCCAGCACTTTGGGAGGCTGAGGTGGGTGGATCACTTGAAGTCAGGAGTTCAAGTCCAGCCTAGCCAACATGGTGAAACCCTGTCTCCACTAAAAATACAAAAATTAGCTGGGTCTGATGGCAGGTGCCTGTAATCCCAGCTACTTGGGAGGCTGAGGCGGGAGAATTGCCTGAACCCGGGAGGTGGAGGTTGCGGTGAGCTGAGATGGTACTACTGCACTGCAGCCTGGGTGACACAGTGAAACTCCATCTCAAAAAAAAAAGGAGAAGAAAAGACAGGGCTCTGGGCTATGGTCATTCTGGTTCTTTTAGGTTTCCCCTCATGGTTTCATGATGGCTGCAGCAGCCCCATACACCACATCCTCACAACATGTTCAGATGCAGGAAGCAGGGAGTGATACCAGGCAAAGAATTTTCACCTCCCAGCTTTGATCTTATCAGCAAAGAAAGACTGTTTTCAAGAAGGTCTCAAGAGGTCTCCTGACCTCTCCTCACAGCACTGGCCAAACAGGGGCTATAAAGTCTAAAGTCCTCCCTGACAAAGACAAAGCCAGGACATATCCGGCCATCCCATCCTTTACAGTGAGTGGAGGACAGGAAGAAAGGTTTTGGGACTGATTTGGGTTTAACCAAACAAAAGTACTTGCCACAACTGACCAGCTCTAGGAATCCTGGTTTTGAGCAACTAGACTTGGGAACAAATGTAACACAAGGCTAATCCTCCCTAGCTTCCTGACAGTTTCTCTCTAACAGAAGACAAGTAGATCCTCACTGGTGTTCTCTCCAAGCTAGAGTCCTAACCACTGTGAGAATCCATTCCACTACTGTTCCACAAATAAGCCACGAGCGCAGGGGTTAGATCTGAGGCTCTTTTTTTTTTTCTGTCTTTTGTTTGTTTTGTTTGTTTTTTACTTTTTAAAATTAATTATTATTATGATTATTATTATTATTTTTATTTTTTGAGACAGAGTCTTGTTCTTGCCACCCAGGCTGGAGTGCAATGGTGTGATCTCGGCTCACTGCAACCTCTGCCTCCCGGGTTCAAGCGATTCTCCTGCCTCAGCCTCCCAAGTAGCTGGGATTACAGGTGCCTGCCACCACGCCTGGCTAATTTTTGTATTTTTAGTAGAGACGGGGTTTCGCCATGTTGGCCAGGCTGGTCTGGAACTCCTGACCTCAAGGGATCCGCCTGCTTCAGCCTCCCAAAGTGCTGGTAGGCGTGAGCCACCTTGCCCGGCCATGTTTTTAATTTTTTTAGAGATGGGGTCTCACTCTGTTGCCCAGGCTGGAGGGCAGTGGCACCAGTATAGCTCACTGCAGTCTCAACCTCCTGGGCTCAAGCAATCCTCCCACCTCAGATTCCTGAGTAGCTGGGACTTCAGGCATGCACCACCACACCCAGCTAATTTTTTTTTTTTTTTTTTTTTTTGAGACAGAGTCTCGTTCTGTTGCCCAGGCTGGAGTGCAGTGGCGCGATCTCTGCTCACTGCAAGCTCCGTCTCCCGGGTTCACACCATTCTCCTGCCTCAGCCTCCCAAGTAGCTGAGACTACAGGCACCTGCCATCATGCCCGGCTAATTTTTTGTACATTTAGTAGAGACGGGGTTTCACCATGTTAGCCAGGATGGTCTTGATCTCCTGACCTAGTGATCCACCTGCCTAGGCCTCCCAAAGTGCTGGGATTACAGGCATGAGCCACCGCACCCGGCCCAAAACGTTTTTTTTTTTTTTTTGAGATGGAGTCTTGCTGTGTTGCCCAGGCTGGAGTGCAGTGGCATGATCTCGGCTCACTGCAACCTCTGACTCCTGAGTTCAAGTGATTCTCCTGCCTCAGCCTCCCAAGTAGCTGGGATGACAGGCACCTGCCACCATGCCTGGCTAATTTTTGTATTTTTAGTAGAAATGGGGTTTTGCTATGTTGGCCAGGCTGGTCTTGAACTCCTGGCCTCAGGTGATCCACCCACTTCAGCCTCCCCAAAGTGCTGGGATTACAGGCGTGAGCCACCGCGCCCGGCTAATGTTTTATTATTTATAGAGACGATGTCTAGCTGTGTTGCCCAGGCTGGTCTCAAATTCCTGGACTCACACAATCCTCTTGCCTTGGCCTCCCAAAGTGCTGAGATTACAAGTGTGAGCCACCACAGCCAACCAACTTTTTCTTTTATATTGAGGCAAAATTCACATCCCATAAAATTTACCATTTTGGCCGGGCGCAGTGGTTCACGCCTGTAATCCCAGCACTTTGGGAGGCCGAGGCGGGCAGATCACGAGGTCAGGAGATCAAGACCATCCTGGCTAACATGGTGAAACCCCGTCTCTAGTAAAAATACAAAAACATTAGCCAGGCGTGGTGGTGGGCGCCTGTGGTCCCAGCTACTCGGGAGGCTGAGGCAGGAGAATGGTGTGAACCTGGGGGGTGGAGCTTGCAGTGAGCCGAGATCACACCACTGCACTCCAGCCTGGGTGACAGAGCGAGACTCCGACTCAAAAAAAAAAAAAAAATTTTTTTACCATTTTAACCAAAGTGTAGAATTCATTTTAAAGTGTAAAATTTATACATTCAAAATGTTGTGCAACCATCACCACCATCTCATTCCAGAACATTTTTATCTCCCCAAAAGGAAACTCCATACCCATTAAGCAGTGACTGCCATTGTCCCTTCTCTCCAGTTCCCCAGCAACCACTACTCTGCTGTCTCTATGGATTTGCCTATTCTGGACATTTCTTTTTTTTTTTTCTTTTTTTTTTGAGACAGAGTCTCGCACTGTCACCCCAGCTGGAGTGCAGTGGTGTGATCTCGGCTCACCGCAAGCTCTGCCTCCCGGGTTCACGCCATTCTCCTGCCTCAGCCTCCCAAGTAGCTGGGACTACAGGTGCCCACCACCACACCCAGCTAATTTTTTGTATTTTTAGTAGAGACGGGGTTTCACCGTGTTAGCCAGGATGGTCTCGATCTTCTGACCTCCTGATCCACCCGCTTCGGCCTCCCAAAGCACTCGGATTACAGGTGTGAGCCACTGCGCCCAGCCTGGACATTTCATATAAATGGAATCATATGATATGTGGGCTGTTGTGTCTGGCATCTTGCATAGTTTCCAAGATTCATCCATGTGGTAGCATCTATCAATACTTCATTATTTTATGGTTGAAGAAAACTCCATGAAATGAATAAATATAGCATATTTTGTTTACCCAATCACCAGTTGATGGGCATTTGGGTTGCTTCAAACCTTTGGGTATTACACATAATGCTACTATGAACATTCAAGTACCAGTTTCTGTTTTCACTTCTTTTGGGTATATACCTAAGAGTGAAATTGCTGGGTCATATGGTAATTCCACAGTTAAGTGTTCGAAGACTGCCAAAAAGTTTTCTACAATAGCTGTACCATTTTACCAGCAATGTATGAAGTTTCCAATTTCTCCACATCCTCACCAACACTTGTTATTTTCAGTGTTTTTAGTTATAGCCATCCTAGTGGGTAGGGAGTGGTATCTCATTGTGGTTTTTTTTTTTTTTTTTCAAGACGGGGTCTTGCTCTGTTGTCAGTCTGGAGTGGCACGATCTCGGCTCACTGCAACCTCTGCCTCCTGGATTCAAGTGATTCTCCTGCCTCAGCCTCCCGAGTAGCTGAGACTACAGGTGCGTGCCACAACGCCCAGCTAATTTTTGTATTTTTAGTAGAGACGGGGTTTCACCATGTTGGCCAGAATGGTCTGGATCTTTTGACCTTGTGACCTGCCCACCTCAGCCTCCCAATGTGCTGGGATTACAGGCATGAGCCGCCACATCCAGCCCTCATTGTGATTTTTATTTGCATTTCCCTAATGACTGATGATGTTGAGGACCATGTTTATTGACCATTTGCAGATCTTTTGCGGAGAAATGTACAATCAAGTCCTTTGCTCATTTGTTTGTTTGTTTTTTGAATTGTTGAGTTCTAACAGTTCTTTACGTATTCTGGATCCTAGACTCTTATCAGATATATGACTTGCAAATATTTTTCCCATTTTTGGGTTATTGCTTCACTTTCATGATAGTGGTCTTTGATGCACAAAAGTTTTAGATACCAATGAAGTCCACTTTTTCTTTTGTTACTTGCTTGTGCTTTTGGTGTCATATCTAAGAATCCATAGCCAAATCCAAGGTCATGAAGACTTAGCCCTATGTTTTCTTCTATGAGTTTGGTAGTTTTTAGCTCTTACATTTAGATATTTGATCCATTTTGAGTAAATTTTGTACATAGTATGAGGTAAGGGTCCAACTTCTTTCTTTTGAACATGGATATCCAGTTGTTCCAGCCTGTTCCAGCTCCATTTATTGAATGACTGTGGCCCCTCCAACTTTTTTTTTTTTTTTAGATGAAATCTCGCTCTGTCACCCAGGCTGGGGTGCAGTGGCGCATTCTCGGCTCACTGCAGACTCCACCTCTCGGGTTCAAATGATTCTCCTGCTCAGCCTCCCAAGTAGCTGGAATTACAGGCACCTGCCACCACACCGAATAATTTTTGTATTTTTAGTAGAGATGGGCTTTCACCATGTTGGCCAGGCTGGTCTCAAACTCCTGATCTCAGGTGATCCACCCTTCTCAGTCTCCCAAAGTGCTGGGATGACAGGCGTGAGTCACCGTGCCTGGCCTGTGGCACCCTTTTTGAAAGTTAATTGACCTTACGTGTATAGGTTTATTTCTAGACTCTAAGTTGTACCTCATTGATCTACACCATTAATTTCTAAGGCATTGGAGAAAGAGGCAAATGAACACAGGTCCAACTCTTTAGAGAAACAAATTTAATAAAGCAAAACACTCTTCTCCCTGGACTACATTGGCCTGGGCAGAATATTTGGGGTTCATGATAGATTTTCAGTCAAAATATCTTATCTAAATTTTTTTTTTTTTTGAGACTGGGTCTCATTCTGTTGCCCAAGCTGGAGGGCAGTGGCATGATTGCAGCTCACTGTAGACTCAGTCTCCCGGGATCAAGCGATCCCTTTACCTCAGCCTCCCAAGCAGCTGGGAGTATAGGCATAAGCACCACATTCAGCCTTATCTGAACTTTGAACATTGGTATGACCTTGGTTCCTTTTTCTTTGGAGACGAAGTCTCGCTCGTCGCCCAGGCTGGAGAGCAGTGGCACGATCTCGACTCACTGCAACCTCCATCTCCCGGGTTCAAGCAGTTCTCCTGCCTCAGCCTCCCAAGTAGCTGGGACTATGGGTGCGTGCCATCACAGCCGCCTAATTTTTTTTTTTTTTGAGACCCAGTCTTGCTTTGTTGCCCAGGTTGGAGTGCAGTGGTGAGATCTCTGCTCACTGCAAGCTCCGCCTCCCGGGTTCACACCATTCCTCTGCCTCAGCCTCCCAAGTAACTGGGACTATAGGCGCCCACCACCATGCCCAGCTAATTTTTTGTGTTTTTAATAGAGACGGGGCTTCACCATGTTAGCCAGGATGGTCTCGATCTCCTGACCTCGTGAACCACCCGCCTCGGCCTTCCGAAGGGCTGGCATTACAGGCGTGAGCCACTGTGCCCGGCCAATTTTTTGTATTTTTAGTAGAGACGGGGTTTCACCATATTGGCCAGGCTTGCCTTGAACTCCTGACCTCAGGTGATCCACCTGCCTCAGCCTCCCAAAGTGCTGGGATTACAGGCGTGAGCCACTGCATCAAGCCCCTTGGTTCCTATTTTATTCCCAGAAGAGAAACTCTTCTGGGGAGGTGGCCATCCACACGCTGAAAAATGGCTTCTCCTTTTTAATCTTAACCAACTGTCCAAGTCAGAGAAACACAAATTCACGCTGTAAAGTCTTGGCCTAGGAGTCACTTCCCCTGGGGAAGCTGGTAGCCCCCCATCTTGTCAGTGCCCTTCCTATCAACCCCTCAGTAAGCTCTCCTAAAAGAAAAAGGCTGTGAGTCCAATTATATGGTTTGTGGGAGAGAAAAACCCTTGGTCCCCTGGGTGGTAGCAAATGGAGGACACTTAAAGGCTGGCAGTTGGTGTCTGGGGAACAGTCTGGATCTCCTATACTCCACGACCTACAGATTGCAGGCAGCTGGTCAGGTGGAGTCAGGCAGTCAGTTCTCCCATCCCCCGTCCCAACCCCCGACATCATGGGACAGAAAAAGCTGGCACCCGTGGGTGGGAAGAATTTCAGAGAGAAAGAGGGAGATTGAGCAGAAGAGGGAGGCTGCTTGCAGCCCTGAATAACATCTTTCTTTGCATATTTTCTTCCTCCAGAACAGTTTGGAGGCACAGTCCAGCTGCTGCCTTGGCTTTTGATCAGAATGATTACCCACAGGCCCATCCTTTCTTAGCACTGTTAGAGAACAGAGAGATGGCACTGGCTTCCAAAGTGTCCCGCGGGTGTCTTTTCTGCCTTTTTCTATCCTTCCATCCATTCCTGTGGGTTCTCGGGCAGCTGCTCATTTGAAAGAGAGGAGAGAGACATTTTTTTGTTTGTTTGTTTTGAGACGGAGTCTCGCTCTGTTGCCAGGCTGGAGTGCAGTGGCACGATCTCGGCTCACTGTAACCTCCGCTTCCCAGGTTCAAGCGATTCTCCTGCCTCAACCTCCCGAGTGGCTGGGACTACAGGCACATGCTACCACCATGCCCAGCTAATTTTTGTATTTTTAGTAGAGATAGGGTTTCACCACGTTCGCCAGGCTGGTCTCGATCTCCTGGCCTTGTGATCTGCCTGCCTTGGCCTCCCAAAGTGCTGGGATTACAGGTGTGAGCCACTGCGCCCAGCTGAGAGACATTTTTTAAGAGCAAAATCCATGCATGGCCAGGCCTCGGAATCTTTCTAAGGCCTCCTAGACTCTCAGGGGACCCACCATGGCAGTGGCACTGACATGCAGCCCAGGGTTGTGGTCCAAGGAGGGCTTATGAGCTGACTCAGAGGAAGTAAGCTTGTTCTTGGCTGCAGGGCAAGACTAGCCATGGAGGTGGGCTCTGGCCAGCTGGTCTGATATTCTTGCTGGTCCTGACTTTCATTTCCTCTGGAAATCCCGCACACTTGACCACAGAGGCTTTTGCAATATGTGTGTATCCTAATTCCCCTGGGGTTTTTCTCTTTTTGTTTTCTGAGGAGTGGGTCCACTTCAGTAAAATTACACACAAAGTTGGAGCTTTCTGTTCCAGGAAGGCAAAGGTTACAATTCTAGCAAGCCTAACACCCAAAAACACAAAACGCTGAAACCAGGAGAATGAGTTAGAAAATATGTATCCATGGCCAGGCGCAGTGGCACACGCCTGTAATCCCAGCACTTTGGGAGGCCAAGGCGGGTGGATCACGAGGTCAGGAGTTCAAGACCAGCCTGGCCAAGATGGTGAAACCCCGTCTCTACTAAAAATACAAAAAAATTATCCAGGCGTGGTGGCGCATGCCTGTAATCCCAGCTACTCCAGAGGCTGAGGCAGAGAATTGCTTAAACCTGGAGGGGCAGAGGTTGCAGTGAGCCGAGATCGTGCCACTGCACTCCAGCCTGGGCGACAGAGCGAGACTCCGTCTAAAAAAAAAAAAAAAAGAAAATTTGTACCCTGGCAGGTCACGGTGGCTCACACCTGTAATCCCAGCACTTTGGGAGGCTGAGGAGGGTGGATCACCTGAGGTCAGGAGTTCGAGACCAGCCTGGCCAACATGGTGAAACCCCGTCTCTACTAAAAATACAAAAATTAGCTGGGCGTGGTGGCAGGCACCTGTAATCACAGCTACGCAGGAGGCTGAGGCAGGAGAATAGCTTGAACCCGGAAGGTGGAGGTTGCAGTGAGCCGAAATTGCTCCACTGCACTCCAGCCTGGGCGACAAGAGCAAGACTCCATCCAAAAAAAAAAAAAAGAAGGCGAGGCGCAGTGGCTCGCGCCTGTAATCCCAGCACTTTGGGAGGCCGAGGCAGGTGGATCACCTGAGGTCAGGAGTTCGAGACCACCCTGGCCAACATGGTGAAACCCCATCTCTACTAAAAATACAAAAAATTAGCTGGGTAGGGTGGCAGGCACATGTAATCCCAGCTACTTGGGAGGCTGAGGCAAGAGAATTGCTTGATCCCGGGAAGCAGAGGTTGCAGTGAGCCAAGATCGCGCCACTGCACTCCAGCCTGTATGACAAGAGCGAGACTATCTCAAACAAAACAAAACAAAACAAAAAAAACAGAAACCTAGCTCCTTCAGCCTGTTCCCACCTGTGTCACTTACTTTTAAAGTTCTGCAAGCCATGTGGGCCCACCCACTTTTTCCAGCCTGGGGTTCCCTGGGTTCTAGCCCCATGCAGACAGAGAACTTCCGACGGACTTGTTCACAGGGGCTGGGAGTCTTCCGGTTTAAGTAAAGGATGGTGGCAGAGGTGCATCTTCTGCCCCAGAAACATCTCGGCTGAAGGAGACTCCATCTGCCTGGCCCAGCGTAGGGAGAATATCAGCCCATTGTTGGTGAAGGTGTTTCCAGGGACAGGGACAGTGGGCTGCCTCTTTCTCCAGCGATCTCCCCTCAGGGGCATATGTGAAGAGGAAAGCTGAAGAAAGAAAAGGCCAACTCGTCCTCTTGGCTCAACTTGTCTCTCCAAGTCATCTTCTTCCTCACTCCATCCAAACCCAAGTACCATCCACCCATCCAATAGATAATGACTGAACATCCCCAGGTGCCAGACACCCTTCTAGGTACTGGGATACGGCAGTGATGATGACAGTAAGGCCCAATGACTCTCAGAAAGTTCACACTATAGTCAGTGGAGGCTGGAAAGGGTCAGTATATTCCACGGAAATAGTGTTAACTACAAGAAAGCAAAACCAGTAATGGCATAGAGAGGGACTGAGTCTTGGGGAGATGAACTCCTTTGCGGAGGGGTCAGGGAAGGCTGCTAGGAGCTGACTCTCCAGCTGAGCCCTCCATTCTGAGAAGAGGCCAGCCCAGGAGAGATTAAGGGAAGAGCATCCGGGCAGAGAGAACAGCGAATATGGAAGTCCTGAGGGGCATCGAAAATGCCGGAATCTGGAGGTCCAGGGAGCACTCTGGAAAATCTCTTGGATTGTTATCCCTCTCATCTGGTTACTCGCGGGGATGCTCATGGAAGCAGGAAATCTTTCCTGTCTGCATAAAGTGTATACACATTTACATGGAGCGTTGGCCAAGCATGGTGGCTCACGCCTGTAATCTCAACACTTTGGGAGGCTGAGGCGGGTGGATCCCTTGAGGTCAGGAGTTCAAGACCAGCCTGGCCAATATGGTGAAACCCTGTCTCTACCAAAACTACAGAAATTAGCCGGGAGTGGTGGTGCATGCCTATTTTCCCAGCTACTTGGGAGGTTGAAGCAGGAGAATCGCTTGAACCCAGGAGGCAGAGGTTGCAGTGAGCTGAGATCGTGCCACTGCACTCCAGCCTGAGCAACAGAGCGAGACCCTGTCTCAAAAAATAAATGAACACATGGAGCGTCATTTTGACTAAGCAGAGCCGTCGATGGCAAGCTACACTGTCAGCAGGGACCCTTAGCTTTCACGAGGAGAGAACACAGCCTTCTGTTTTCTCTTCAGTGCCTCATGGAGTCAGACATTCCCATCACTCGCTGTACAGACTGCCTGACTCCCATGCGCCAAGGATGAGGGTGATGAAATTTCTTCTCTGGGTGAAAATGCTTCTGCTGACTTCTCTTCGTACACACAAATCTACTGAATACTTACAAACACAGTCTTTTTTGGCAAGATAGGCTCCAAACTCCTCTTCCAGCAGAGGGAACAAAGGTTTTGCTCTCTTCTTCCAGCAGATGTGGAGCCAGAGAAGGTACAGATTAACCTTGCAGTGGGCTCCCTGCCAAGGCTCCGTGCAGCCCCAAAGCCAGGCCCTTGAACTGCGGACTAAGAGGCCTGCTCCCACACTGCTAGGCCACCCACTGAGCTCAGGACAGCTTCTTTTACTTAATTGACCAGAAAGACGCTGAGGGGTCTCAGGGGTAGGCAAGACGAGCTTAGGAACTTCGAGCCCTCACCCCTCTATTCACCCCTCTCATTGTTTCCTCCAGCTGACCCTCCTGAGTTAACCCCCCACACCAGGACTGGGAGATCCAATCGACAGGTGTGGTTTTCTCTAGGAAAATAATCATGATAATGACATGCAGGGGGAGGAAAAATCACTCAACCCCCTCCCAGATCCCAGGGTGAGGGTGTTCCTGATTTCGTCACTTCCTGGGGCTTCTTGACGGTTTCTCCTTAGGGTCTTTCTAAAGGCCCTGGGGCAGCACTTTGCCACCAGCCACCGTAAGCAACACAAAGCGCGCCCAAGTCTACCTCGGGCGGGGCCTGTCTTTTCTCTGCACCGGGCGCCACTTCGGCAGGCAGGAGAGCAAGGCTGGGGAGGGGACCAGGACGGAGAGGAGGTAGGAAGCATGCCACGTGGCACAAAGGCCCAAGAAGCAGACACTGGATCCGAAGACGATGAGCAGAGTGGGAGCAGGCTGCGTCATAGCGGGGGCACTCAGAGGCTGTGGATGTTACTCCCCAGGACAGGTAGCAATGGGTTAAGGAACAGGCAGAAAGAAGGGTCCCATTCTGCTATGGACCAGCAGAGGAAGGGGCCACATCATGGTGAGTCCCCCAACCCCACCTGGACTGAGCCTCTGGTTCTCCTGGCCCAGGTGGGCGGTCCGGGAGAGCTGGTGAACATCGCCAGCCTGGTCCTGCATGTAGAGGAGTCCTGGGCTGGGGGCAGCCTGGACTTGGTCAAACCACCCAGGTAATTCTTCCTTCTGTACACAGCCGAGGGTCAGGACATGCTCCCCTAAAAACCCCGGCTTCCCATGAAAGTCTCAACAGAGGCAGAGTGGGGGCAGCTCCAGCTGCTGAGAATTCCCAGACATCATGATTTCTAAAGCCACTTTTACTCTTTAACCATGTTTGACTCTGTGACACTTGGGCTTCAAGGCCACCTCAGAGAGATAAGGAGGTATAAGGTCAGAGCTGCTAAGCAATAAACTGTGGTTTAGCAGTGGGGGCAGGGGTTGCAAAATCTAGGCAAACGATCAATGATGTTATTGTCGGGACACTCAACAGGTTACAGGGTCTTCATATCCGTCCATCCTCACAGGGACGCCAGGAGGTGAGCAGAGCAGGAATGACCTCAAGCAGATGCACATCCAGAGAGGAGGTGGGCTTCACTGCCTATGGCCCTACCCTACTCTGGGCCTTTAGGGTCTGCCTTTATTTTATTCTATTTTTTAATTTTTATTATTTATTATTTTATTTATTTATTTATTTATTTGAGACAGAGTCTTGCCCCATCACCCAGGCTGGAGTGCAGTAGTGCGATCTCGGCTCACTGCAACCTCTGCCTCCCGGGTTCAAGTCATTCTCCTGCCTCAGCCTCCCAAGTAGCGGGGACCACAGGTGCCTGCCACCACGCCTGGCTAATTTTTTTTTTTTTTTTGAGACGGACTCTTGCTCTGTGGCTCAGACTGGAGTGCAATGGTGTGATCTCAGCTCACTGCAACGTCCGCATCCCGGGCTCAAGTGATTCTCCTGCCTCAGCTTCCTGAGTAGCTGGGATTACAGGTGCCTGCCACCATGCCCAGCTAATTTTTGTATTTTTAATAGAGATGGGGTTTCACCATGTGGGCCAGGCTGGTCCTTGTAATCCACCTGCCTCGGCCTCCCAAAGTGCTGGGATTACAGACGTGAGCCACTGCACCCAGCCTATTTTTTAATTTTTTTAGAGACAGGGTCTTACTCTGTCACCCAGGCTGGAGTGCAGTGGTATGATTATGGCAACTTCGAACTCCCCAGCTCCAGCAATCCTCCCACTTCAGCCTCCTGAGTAGCTGACACTACAGGTGCACACCACTGGGCCCAGCTAGTTTTTTTGTTTGTTTGTTTTAGTAGACAAGACCTCTCCCTATGTTGCCCACGCTGGTCTCAGAACTCCTGGGCTCCAGCGATCCTCCCGCCTTGGCTTCCCAAAATGTTGGGCTTACAGACATGAGCCACTGCATCCAGCTATTTATTTTATTTTTTAAATGACACATAATTGTACATATCAGTGGGGTACATAGTGATATTTCAATATATACAATTTCTAGTGATCAGATCAGGGTAATTAGCATATCCATCTTCTCCAACATTTATCCATTGTTAGAAACAAAATGCTTGTTCCTTGGTGCCGCAAGGAGAAATCAGCATTCAGACAAAAAGTTTTCACAGCAAGGCAATTTTACTTACTGCAGAAAAGGTGCTGCTTGTCAGCAATCTTGCCACGAGACCACACTGAACAAAGAAAGACAGGAATATTTATCCCCTATGCACTGGGTCCTTACTGCTGTGTCCTATCTCCATTGGTTGGAGCTGGACCTCACAGTCTAAGTTAAACCCAGCTGGCTAACAATTTAAGACTTTCCTAAATAGGTAAAGGTAATGGAGAACAAAAGGAAAAGAGGCTTGCGAAAGGACTTAGAGAAGTAACAACATTTCCAAATAAGGAAGGGGCAAAGGCTGTGAGCTGGGACATGCCTGAGCATGCCCAGAACAAATATCTTGGTTAAAGTACAAGGACATAGAATATACTTATTCCCTTATATCTAACAGCTACGTAGGATAGGGCTTAACAAAGAGTTATTAGCAAAAAGCAAGAAGGCTTTGGAGGAAGTTAGTCTTTAAAATAAACTATTATTTCTAACATTTATTATTTATTCTTTAACAAGAAGGGAAACTTTGAAGAGGAATTTTACTTTCCACATCCATTTTTCATTTCTTTTCTTTTCTTTTTTTTTTTTCTTTTTTTTTTCTGAGACAGGGTCTCACTCTGTCACCCAGGCTGGAGTGCAGTGGTGCCATCTCAGCTCACTGCAACCTCTGCCTCCTGGTTTCAAGTGATTCTCTTGACTCAGCCTCCTGGATAGCTGGGATTACAGGCATGAGCCACTGTGCCTGGCCCACTATGTCTTAAAAGTGCTGGAGGGAAGTGGGAGCCGCGACCCTTCCAAAGGACACCTTTCATACCTTTCATACCGTGCTGCAGGCAGACAATTTATTGAAAAGCAATCTGCCCCAAAACAACCCACCAAAAATCAATTTGACAAATTCACCCTAGAGCCCCTAGGCTGGAAATGACGTCTCTCTGTCTCCACTTCAAGCCTGTCTCCCAGAAAGTATTTTTTTGTTTCTTTATAACATGACAGCTCAGCATGTCATTAAAGATTTTTCCTCGTCATTCTATTCCCCTGGCCTTCTTCTCCTCCTAGAATTTGTATTTCTAGCCAGCAGAGTTGAGACATGGGACCAATGATTTACTTAAGCAGATGTAATCGCCGGGCATGGTGGCTCACACCTGTAATCCCAGGACTTTGGAAGGCCGAGGCAGGTGGATTGCTTGAGCTCCGGAAGTTTGAGACCAACCTGGGCAACATGGCAAAACCGTGTCTCTACAAAACAAACAAACAAACAAACAAAAAAAAAACCAAAAAAGACAAAAAATCAAAAATTAGCTTGGTACGGTGGTATGTGCCTGTAGTCCCAGCTACTTGGGGGGCTGAGACAGGAGGATCACTTGAGCCTGGGAAGCAGAGGTTGCAGTGAGCCAAGATCGTGCCACTGCACTCCAGCCTGGGTGACAAAGTGAGTCCCTGTCTCAAAAGAAAAGAACACATGTGTTGAACATTGCTCAGAAAACAAGGCCATGCCTCTTTTTATGATTTTTTTTTTTTTTTGAGACGGAGTCTCGCTCTGTCGCCCAGGCTGGAGTGCAGTGGCGCGATCTTGGCTCACAGCAAGCTCCACCTCCCAGGTTCACACCATTCTCCTGCCTCAGCCTCCCGAGTAGCTGGGACTACAGGTGCCCACCACCATACCCGGTTAATTTTTTTGTATTTTTAGTAGAGACGGGGTTTCACCATATTAGCCAGCATGGTCTTGATCTCCTGACCTCGTGATCCGCCCACCTCGGCCTCCCAAAGTGCTGGGATTACAGGTGTGAGCCACTGTGCCCAGCCTTTTTATGGTATTTTTATCTTGTAGACCCACGGAGCTTCTGCTCTCATCTCCCTAAACAAGGGGCAGGAACAGAGTGCTGACTCTCTCCCCCACAGCACAGAGCATTGTGCTTGCTATGGAGTGAATTAAATATTAAGTGAATATTTATATTAATATAAATATTATATCATCTTAATATATCATCTTAATATTAAGACGAGTGGATGGGTAGGTAGCTGCATAGATGATGGTTCTGTCTTGCTTATGAAGATTAGTCATCCCTCAAGGGCCATCATTAGCCAGGATTTGATTCCCTGCAGGCCCCAGCACTGGTTCTAAATGTAGAATGTTTGGTCCTATCCATCCTTTCCCCAGGGACAGAATAGGGGTCTCCTCCTGCCAGAGGCCCCTCCAATGCCCACTCTTCTTCTCTGAAGGTCATTCTCCAGAAATGCCTCTCTATCTGCAAAGTGTGGCTTAGTAGGGATTGGCAGATCTCCCTCTCAAGACCATTTGCCTCCAAAGCTTGATCTCTGAGCCTGGAACAAAGGGCTTTGTTGTCAGGTGAAAGCCTTCCGCAGCCCTAGAGCCAGCCCCACAGCGCCTCCCGCTACAGATGCTCTGCCTGACACCCTACTATCCTGGAGAAGCTGGGAGGACATTGGCAGGGAGGGATGAATAAAATGAAGCGATCCTTCTGAAGAACACAGCATAAAATCCAGAAATTGCTCCCATGGCCTATGGAAAGCTGATGTCTGATACAGACAGCATCCCAAGTCATGGGAAAGAATGGGTGACTTTGGTAGGGCACAATGGCTTATGCCTGTAATCCCAGCACTTTGGGAGGCTGAGGCGGGTGGATCACCTGAGGTCAGGAGTTCGAGACCAGCCTGGCCAACATGGTGAAACCCCACCTCTACTAAAAATACAAAAATTAGCTGGGCCTGGTGGCATGCACCTGTAATCCCAGCTACTCGGGAGGCTGAGGCAGGAGAATCCCTTGAATCTGAGAGGTGGAGGTTGCAGTGAGCCGAGATTGTGCCATTACACTCCAGCCTGGGCGACAGAGCAAGACTCCGTCTCAAAAAAAAACAGAAAGATGGGCTGGGCGCGGTGGCTCAAGCCTGTAATCCCAGCATTTTGGGAGGCCGAGGTGGGCAGATCACGAGGTCAGGAGTTTGAGACCAGCCTGGCCAATATGGTGAAACCCTGTCTCTACTAAAAACACAAAAAATAGCCGGGCATGGTGGCAGGCGCCTGTAATCCCAGCTACTCGGGAGGCTGAGGCAGGAGAATTGCTTGAACCCGGGAGGCAGAGGTTGTATTGAGCCAGAGATTGTGCCATTGCACTCCAACCTGAGTGACAGAGTGAGACTCTGACTCAAAACAATAAATAAATAAATAAATAAATAAATAAATAAATAAATAAAAAAAACAGAAAGAATGGGTGACTTCATAGCTGGTGTCAGGATAGCAGGAGAGCCTTGTGGACTCAGAACCAGCTGGAAGCACTCCTCATGCTGTGGACCACAGTGCATTCCAAAGGGGTTGGAGATTTATTTATTTATTTATTTATTTAGCGACGAAGTCTCACTCTGTCACCCAGGTTGGAGTGCTGTGGTGCAATCTGGGCTCACTGCAACCTCTGCATCCCAGGTTCAAGCAATTCTCCTACCTTAGCCTCCCGAGTAGCTGGGATTACAGGTGCCTGCCATCACACTCGGCTAATTTTTGTATTTTTAGTAGAGACAGGGTTTCACCATGTTGGCCAGGCTGGTCTTGAACTCCTGACCTCAAGTGATCTGCCCGCCTTGGCCTCCCAAAGTGCTGGGATTACAGGTGTGAGCCACTGTGCCCGGCGGGGTTGGAGATTTAAATGTAAAGATGAAACCATACAAGTCTAACAGAAAACATGGACCAATTCTCTTATAATTTGGGAGTGAGGAAAAATTTCCTAATTCTGACTCAACACCTAGAAACAATAAGGGGAAAAGATGAACAAGTCTCAAGGAATTAAAGTTCTGTATGGAAAAAAAATTAAATGAAAATTTTAAACATATGCGAAATTAAAAAGACAAATGATAGACTGGTTTAACAAAAAACAACAACCTTACAACCTACATCACGGACAAAGGGCCAATATTCTTAGTATATGAAGAGCTCCTAATATAGATTAAAAAGGCCAACAACCTGAAAGAAAAATGCCCTAAAAATACAAACAGTTTACAGAAAAAGAAAGGCAAATATTTCAAAACTATACGGAAAGACACTCAACCTTGCTTACAGTAAAAGAAACACAAATTGCCCCAAGTAACTATTTCTTGTTGATCAGATTGGCCAAAATCCAAAAGCTTAATACTCTATACTCTCTTTTCCAAACTGTGAGAAAACCAACATTCTCACATATTCCTGGTGGGAATGCAAAATGGTACGGTCACTGTAGAAGAGAATTTGGTAATAGCTAGCAAAATTATGAGCGCATTTGCCCTTTGATCCTGCAATCCCACATCTAGGAATCTATACTAACGATACACTGCAAACAATACAAAAAGACACAGAGATATGCTGTTTATTGCAGCTCTGTTTGTAAAAACCAAAGCATGGGAAAAAGCCAAAAATCCATCAATAAGGACTTTGAGAAATAAACAATAGCACATCTACACAATGGGGTACTTTGCAGCCACAAAAAGAACAAGGAAGATCTCTACAAACTAATATAGTGTGATCCTAAGGACATCTTAGGATCTGTTTCTCTAAGAAGGAAAGATATAAACAAAAATACGTAAATACAGGGCCGGACACGGTGGCTCACACCTGTAATCCCTGCACTTTGGGAGGCTGAGACAGGGAGATCATGAGGTCAGGAGATCGAGACCAGTCTAGCTAACACGGTGAAACCCATCTCTACTAAAAATATAAAAAATTAGCCAGGCGTGGTGGCACGCAGTCTGTAGTCCCAGCTCCTCGGGAGGCTGAGGCAGGAAAATCGCTTGAACCCGGGAGGCAGAGGTTGCAGTGAGCTGAGATCACGCCACCGCACTCCAGCCTGGCGACAGAGCGAGACTCTGTCTTAAAAAAATAAAAGTAAATACTTTCTTATAATTAAATACCAAACATTGATAGTTTAACAGAAAGAAAGAATACAGTGGGGGGAGAATAGACACAAGATCCACTTATTTATTTATTTATTTATTTATTTTTGAGACAGGGTCTTGCTCTGTCACCCATGCAGTAGCATCGTAATAGCTCACTGCAGCCTTAAAATCCTGGGCTTAAGCGGTCCTTCCACCTCAGCCTCCCATGTAGCTAGGACAACAGGCATGCACCACCACATTTAGCTTTTTTTAATACAAAATTTTTAATTGTTGTACAGATGGGGTCTTGCTACATTGCCCAGGCTGGTCTTGAACTCCTGAGCTCAAGTGATCCTCCCCACTTCAGCCTCCCAAAGTGCTGGGACTACAGGCATGAGCCACCATTCCCAGCCTAGATCCTTTTAAATATATCTTATTTTACACATTTGACTTTGACCATGCACATATTTTACATAATTATAAAACTAAATTAAACTTTTAAAAGCAATTCTAAAAATTGAAAGCAAAATGAAGTAAATGCTCCTAACTGTGTAATGGGTTGAATGGGTTGGTAGCAAAAACACAGAGAGGAGCTCTTCCAAAGGAGCTTTAAAGTACATTCATTTGACTGTATATTCCTCGTGGGATTTACTATACGAAGAAAACTACAAGATCAAAATATTAAGCTGTTTTCAATAATAATTGTTTAGTGGTAGTATAGGGATTATTACTTTAACACTGCTGTGTATGTCGTGGAGAAAAATATAAATAAATAATTCTGTAATTATACTTAATTCTGTAATTGTACTTGAGAACAGATATTTGGGGCATTAGAAGAAAGACAATTCGGATGTAAAATCTTTAAGATGAGGCCGGGTGCGGTGGCTCACTCCTGTAATCCCAGCACTTTGGGAGGCCGAGGCAGGCGGATCACGAGGTCAGGAGATTGAGATCATCCTGGCTAAAATGGTGAAACCCCGTCTCTACTAAAAATACAAAAAATTAGGTGGGCGTGGTGGCAGGCGCCTGTAGTCCCAGCTACTCGGGAGGCTGAGACAGAAGAACGGCGTGAATCCGGGAGGCGGAGCTTGCAGTGAGCCAAGATCACGCCACTGCACTCCAGCCTGGGCGACAGAGCGAGACTCCTTCCCCCCCCAAAAAAAAAAAAAAATCTTTAAGATGAAGCAAAAACCCTAGACTTCTGAATTCGAAATGAAAGTCTCAGAATGAACTCATTTTTCTTCTTAAAAAAATTTTTTTAAACGGTCCTGTGTCCTCTGAAAAGGTCTAGCATTATTGAACACAGAAACAATGAGTGCTTCTGGTACCCAGATGGTGACTTATAAATGCTATTAAGATTGGTGCAAAAGTAATTACTTTGGCAAACTGCAATTACTTTGACACTAACCTAATATTTCCACCAAAGGAACCAGGACTCCTTGGAGAAATGGCTGATTGCAAGCCTGGGGAGTAGAAGTAAATGTACAAAGTGAGCTTAAGCCTGGAACAGGTCATCATACCAGAAAGCAAAGAACTAATCAAAGATCTCTATTATAGAGGCCATGTCAAAAGGACTCACGGTCAAGGTGAATAGGCTGCTACTGGACCCAAATTGAGATAATTTGAAAATCAATACAGACAATAATTATAGTTAATTGAATTATAGTTAATCAAATACTTTTAAATCCAGGAGTTCATAATTTTTTAAGTTTACTGGATACTAGAAAACTAACTTATATGTGGGGGAAAGAAGTGGGGAAATCAAGGATTTCTTCAGCCATTTTTGTTGTTGTTGTTGTTGTTTGTTTTTGTTTTTTTGAGATGGAGTCTTGCTCATTCTCCCAAGCTGGAGTGCAATGGTGCAATCTCAGCTCACTGCAACCTCCAAGACATTCTCCTACCTCAGCCTACCAAGTAGCTGAGATTACAGGCGTGCACCACCACACCCGGCTAATTTTTGTATTTTTAGTGGAGATGGGGTTTTGCCATGCTGGCCAGGCTGGTCTCAAACTCCTGACCTCAGGTGATCTGCCCGCCTCGGCCTCCCAAAGTGCTGGGATTACAAGCGTAAGCCACCATGCCTGGCCTCTTCATCCTTTTTAAAAGAACTATTCTTCAGGCTAGCCAAATAGTTCATAAAGGGAAGATTCTCTCTACAGAAATATTTCACATAGTAAGGGAAGATGGAATGATAGGTTTGAATATCACCATTTTGCAAATCCTAATAAATAAAGACAGCAACAACTGCTAACAAGCAGAAAGACAGACACGTACCTCCTGATGGAAGAACAAAACACCACCTGTAAGGTAACTGGGCCAAAAAAAATATGCCCCAAATATCTGATCAAGCCTCTAGATTTAACTACCAACTTACAGGAAATTCAGGGGACAGAGGAGCATGTTAAATGCCACAAAGATAGCAAGCTCCAGATCAAGGAGTGGGGGTGGAGAAAGAAGATGGGGAGGAAGTCTGTTTTTTTGTTTTGTTTTGTTTTTTGTTTTTGTTTTTGTTTTTTTGAGATGGAGTCTCACTCTGTCACCCAGGCTGGAGTGCAGTGGCACGATCTCGGTTCACTGCAAGCTCTGCCTCCCAGGTTCACGCCGTTCTCCTGCCTCAGCCTCCCAAGTAGCTGGGGCTACAGGTGCCCGCCACCATGCCCAGCTAATTTTTTGTATTTTTAGTAGAGACGGGGTTTCACTGTGTTAGCCAGGATGGTCTCGATCTCCTGACCTCGTGATCTGCCCGCCTCGGCCTCCCAAAGTGCTGGGATTACAGGTGTGAGCCACCATGCCCGGCCAGGAAGTCTGTTAAGAGTCTAAAGAGACATATCAACCAGCCACATAACTTTTTTTTTTTTCTAACCCTGTCGCCCAGGCTGCAGTGCAATGGCACGATCTCGGCTCACTGCAACCTCCTCCACCTCCAGGATTCAAATGATTCTCCTGCGTCAGCTTCCCGAGCAGCTGGGATTACAGGTGCCCGCCACCACGCCCAGCTAATTTTTGTATTTTTAGTAGAGACAGGGTTTCACCATGTTGGCCAGGCTGGTCTCGAACTCCTCGCCTCGTGATCCGCCTGCCTTGGCCTCTCAAAGTGCTGGGATTACAGGTGTGAGCCACCATGTCCACAGAACTTTTTAAATCCTGTTTCAAACAAATTAAATTTTTTAAAAGGCATTTTTTGGTTTGTTTTTGGTTTTTTAAGCTATTCTTTAAATTTAATTTAATTTAATTTTAAGTTCCGGGATACATGTGCAGGACGTGCAGGTTTGTTACATAGGTAAATGTGTACCGTGGTGGTTTGCTGCACCTATCAACCCATCACCTAGGTATTAAGCCCCACATGCATTAGCTATTTATCCTGATGCTCTCGCTCTCCCCTGCACCCCACAGGCCCCAGTGTGTGTTGTTCCCCTCCGTGTGTCCATGTGTTCTCATTGTTCAGCTCCCACTTATAAGTGAGAACGTGCAGTGTTTGGTTTTCTGTTCCTGCGTTAGTTCCCTGAGGATAATGGCTTCGAGCTTCATCCATGTCCCTGCAAAGGATAAGATCTTGTTCCCTTTTATGGCTCCATAGTATTCCATGGTGTATATGTACCACATTTTCTTTATCCAGTCTATCATTGATGGGCATTTGGATTGATTCCATGTCTTTGCTGTTGTGAATAGTGCTGCAATGAACATACACATGCATGTATTTTTATAATAGAATGATTTATATTCCTTTGGGTATATAACCAGAAATGGTATTTCTGGTTCTAGGTCTTTGAGGAATCATCATCACACTGTCTTCCACAATGGTTGAACTAATTTACACTCCCATCAACAGTATAAAAGCGTTCCCTCTTTCTCCACAGCCTCAACAGCATCTGTTGTTTCTTGACTTTTTAATAATCGCCATTCTGACTGGTGTGAGATGGAATCTCATTGTGGTTTTGATTTGCATGTCTCTAATGATCAGTGAAGTTGAGCTTTTTTTCATACATTTGTTGGCCACATAAATATCTTCTTTAGAGAAGTGTCTGTCTGTTCATTCCTTTGCCCACTTTTTAATGGGGTTTTTTTTTTCTTGTAAATTTGTTTAGATTCTGGATATTAGACCTTTGTCAGACGGACAGATTGCAAAAATTTTCACCCAATCTGCAGGTTGTCTGTTCACTCTGATGATAGTTTCTTTTTCTGTGCAGAAGCTCTTTAGTTTAATTAGATCCCATTTGTCAGTTTTTGCTTTTGTTGCAATTACTTTTGACATTTTCATCATGAAATCTTTGCCCGTGCCTATGTCCTGAATGGTATTGCCTAGATTTTCTTCTAGGGTTTTTATAGTTTTGGGCTTTACATTTCAGTCTTTAATCCATCTTGAGTTAATTTTTGTATAAGGTGTAAGGAAGGGGTGCTGTTTCAGTTTTACACATATGGCTAGCCAGTTCTCCCAGCACCATTTATTAAAAAGGGAATCCTTTCCCCATTGCTTGTTTTTGTCAGGTTTGTCAAAGATCAGATGGTTTTAAGTGTGCAGTCTTATTTCTGAGATCTCTATTCTGTTCTATTGGTCTGTGTGTCTGTACTTGTACCAGTACCATGCTGTTTGGTTACTGTAGCCTTGTAGTATAGTTTGAAGTCAGGTAACATGATTCCTCCAGCTTTGTCCTTTTTGCTTAGGATAATCTTGGCTATACAGGCTCTTTTTTGGTTCCATATAAATTTCAAAGTAGTTTTTTCTAATTCTGCAAAGAATGTCAATGGTAGTTTAATGAGAATAGCATTGAATCTGTAAATTACTTTGGGCAGTATGGCCATTTTCATGATATTGCTTCTTCCTATCCACGAGCATAAAATGATTTTCCATTTGTTTGTGTCCTCTCTGATTTCCTTGAGCAGTGGTTTGTAGCTCTCCTTGAAGAAATCCTTCACTTCCCTTGTTAGCTGTATTCCTAGGTATTTTACTCTTTGTAGCAATTGTGAATGGGAGTTCATTCGTGATTTGGCTCTCTGTCTATTGTTGGTGTATAGGAATGCTTGTGATTTTTGCACATAGATTTTGTATCCTGAGACTTTGCAGAAGTTGCTTATCAGCTTAAGATGCTTTTGGGCTGAAACGATGGGGTTTTCTAGATATAGGATCATGTCATCTGCAAACAGAGACAGTTTGACTTCTTCTTTTCCCCTATTTGAATACCCTTTATATCTTTCTCTTGCCTAATTGCCCTGGCCAGAACTTCCAATACTATGTTGAATAAAAGCGGTGAGAGAGGACATCCTTGTCTTGTGCCAGTTTTCAAGGGGAATGCTTCCAGCTTTTGCCCATTCAGTATGATATTGGTTGTGGGAGTGTCATAAATGACTCTTATTATCTTTAGGTATGTTCCTTCAATCCTTAGTTTTACCACAAAATAATAAGAGCCATTTATGATGTTGAATTTTATCGAAGGCCTTTTCTGCATCTATTGAGATAATCATATGTTTTTTGCCTTTAGTTCTGTTGAATTATGTTTATTGACTTGCATCTGTTGAACCAGCCTTGCATCCCAGGGATGAAGCCAACTTGATCATGGTGGATAAGCTTTTTAATGTGCTGCTGCATTCAGTTTGCCAGTATTTTATTGAAGATTTCCACATGGATGTTCATCAGGGATATTGGCCTGAAGTTTTCTTTTTTTGTTGTATCTCTGCCAGGTTTTGGTATCAGAATGATGCTGACCTCGTAAAATGGGTTAGGGAGGAGTCCCTCCATTTCAATTGTTTGGAATAGTTTCAGAAGAAATGGTACCAGCTCCTCTTGGTACCTCTGGTAGAATTCAGCTGTAAAGCCATTTTGTAGACTATTTATTCCTGCCTCAATTTCAGAACTTGTTATTAGTCTGTTCAGGGATTCAACTTCTTCCTGGTTCAGTCTTTGAGGGGGTATGTGTCCAGGAATTTATCCATTTCTTCTGGATTTTCTAGTTTATTTGCATAGAGGGGTTTATAGTATTCTCTAATGGTTGTTTGTATTTCTGTGGGGTCAGTGGTGGTATCCCCTTTATCATTTTTTATTGTGTTTATCAGTCTAGCTAGCGATCTATTTTACTAATTTTTTCAAAAAGCCAGCTTTATTGATTTTTTTGAAGGTTTTTTTTTTTTTTTTTTTTTTTTTTGAGACAGAGTCTTGCTCTGTCACCAGGCTGGAGTGCAGAGGCACGATCTCGGCTCACTGCAACCTCCGCCTCCTGGGTTAAAGCGATTCTCCTGCCTCAGCGTCCCGAGTAGCTGGGACTTCAGGTGCATGCCACCGCGCCCAGCTAATTTTTGTATTTTTAGTACAGACAGGGTTTCACCATGTTGGCCAGGATGGTTTTTATCTCTTGACCTCATGATCTGCCCACCTTAGCCTCCCAAAGTGTTGGGATTACAGGCATGAGCCACCGCGCCTGGCTGAAAGGGCATGAGCCACTGCGCCTGGCTGAAGGGGTGTGAGCCACCGCGCCTGGCTGAAGGGTTTTTTGTGTCTGTATCTCCTTCAGTTCTGCTCTGATCTTGGTTATTTCATTTCTTCTGCTTGCTTTGGGGTTTGTTTGCCTTGGGTCTCTAGTTCTCTCAGTTGTGATGTTAGGGTGTAGATTTGAGATTTTTCTAGCTTTTAGATGTGGATATTTAGTGCTATAAATTTCCCTCTTAATACTGCTTTAGCTGTGTCCCAGAGATTCTGGTACATTGTCTCTTTGTTCTCATTGATTTCAAAGAACTTCTTGATTTCTTGATTTCTGCCTTAATTTCATTCTTTACCTAGGAGTCATTCAGGAGCAGGTTATTCAGTTTCCCTGTAGTTGTGTGGTTTTAAATGAGTTTCTTAATCACAAGCTCTAATTTGATTACGCTGTGGTCTGAGAGACTGTTTGTTATGATTTCAGTTCTTTTCCATTGCCAGGGAGTGTTTTACTTCAAATTCTGTGATCAAATTAGAGTAAGAGCCATGTGGTGCTGAGGAGAATGTATATGCTGTTGTTTTTGGGTAGAGAGTTCTGTAGATCTCTAACAGATCCACTTGATCCAGAGCTGAGTTCAAGTCCTGAATATCCTTGTTAATTTGCTGTCTCGATGATCTGTCTAATATTAACAGTGAAGCGTTAAAGTCTCCCACTATCATTGTGTGGGAGTCTAAGTCTCTTCGTAGATCGCTATGAACTTTTTTTATGAATCTGGGTGCTCCTGTGTTGGGTGCATACATGTATTCTGGATAGTTAGCTATTCTTATTAAATTGAACCGTTTACCATTATGTAATGTCCTTGTCTTTTTTTTTTTTTTTTTATCTTTGTTGGTTTAAACTCTGTTTTGTCAAAAACTAGGATTGCAACCCTTGCTTTTTTTCTGCATTCCGTTTGCTTGGTAAATTTTCCTCCCTTACTTTTTTCTGCTTTCTGTTTGCTTCGTAAATTTTCCTCCATCCCTTTATTTTGAGCCTGTGTGTCTTTGCACGTCAGATGGGTCTCTTGAATACAGCATACCTATGGGTCTTAACTCTATCCAGCTTGCTGTTCTGTGTCTTTTAATTGGGGCATTTAGCCCATTTACATTTAAGATTGTGTGAATTTGATCCTGTCATCATGATGCTAGCTGGTTATTTTGCAGACTTGCTGATGTAGTTGCTTCATAGTTTCATTGGTCTTTGTATTTCAGTGTGTTTTTGTAGTGGTTGGTAATGGGTTTTTCCTTCATGTTAGTGCTTCCTTCAGGAGCTCTTGCAAAGCAGGCCTGGTGGTGATGAATTACCTCAGCATTTGCTTGTCTGAAAAGGATTTTATTTCTCCTTCACTTATAAAGCTTAGTTTGGCAGGATATGAAATTCTGGGTTGGAAAATTCTTTTATTTAAAAATGTTGAATATTGGCCCCAATCTCTTCTGGCTTGTAGGGTTTCCACTGAGAGGTCCACTGTTAGTCTGATGGGCTTCCCTTTGAGGTGACCTGGCCTTTCTCTCTGGCTGCCCTTAACCTTTATTTTGACCTTGGAGAATCTGATGATTATGTGTCTTGGGGTTGATCTTCTCGTGGAGTATCTTACTGGGGTTATCTGGATTTCCTGAATTTGAATGTTGGCCTGCCTTGCTAGGGTGGGGAAGTTCTCCTGCAAGATATCCTGAAATATGTTTTCCAGCTTGGTTCCATTCTCCCGTCTCTTTCAGGTACCCTAATCATTTGTAAGTTCAGTCTTTTTACATAATCCCATAGTTCTCAGAGGTTTTGTTTGTTCCTTTTCATTCTTTTTTTCTCTCATCTTTTCTGACTGTCTTACTTTAGCAAGTTAGTCTTAAGCTCTGAAATTCTTTCCTCCGCTTGGTGTATTCAGCTATTGATACTGGTGGTTGCACTGTGAAGTTCTCATGTTGTATTTTTCAGCTCCATCAGGTCATTTATGTTCCTCTCTAAACTGGTTTTTCTGGTTAAGGGCTCCTGTAATGTTTTGTCATGGTTCTTATCTTCTTTGCATTGGGTTAGAACATGCTCCTTCAGCTCAGCGAAGTTTGTTCTTACTCACCTTCTAAAGGCCACTTCTGTCAGTTCATCCGTCTCAGCCTCAGCCTAGTTCTGAGCCCTTGCTGGAGAGGTGTTGCAATCATTTGTAGGAGAAGAAGCACTCTGGCTCTTTTGAGTTTTCAGCAATTTTTCATTGATTTTTTTCTCATCTTCATGAGTTTATCTAGCTTCGAGCTTCAAGGCTGCTGACCTTTGGATGGGGTTTGCGTGGGGACTTTTTTGTTGATGCTGTTTTTGTTTTTTCTTTCCGTTTGTTTGTTTTTCTTTTAACAGTCAGGCCAAAAAGCATATGAAAAGATGCTCACCGTCTTTTTTTTCAAGCGTATGAAAAGATGTTCACTAATCACCAGGGAATTGCAAATCAAAACCACAATGAGCTATCACCTTATGCCCATTGGAATAGCTACTATCAAAAAAACAAAAAGTGGGCTGGGTGCAGTGGCTCACGCCTGTAATCCCAGCACTTTGGGAGGCCGAGGCGGGCAGATTACCAGTTCGGCAGATTATGAGGTCAGCAGTTTGAGACCAGCCTGGCCAACATAGTGAAACCCTGTCTCTACTAAAACTACAAAAAAAAAAAAAATCAGGTGGGTGTGGTGGTGGGTGGCTGTAATCCCAGCTACTTGGGAGGCTGAGGCAGGAGAATCACTTGAACCCGGGAGGTGGAGGTTGCAGTGAGCTGAGACCGAGCCACTGCACTCCAGCCCAGGCAACAGTGCGACACTCTGTCTAAAAAAAAAAAAAAAAAAAAAAAAATTATCAAGTGTCAGTGAGGATGCGGAAAAACTGGAACTCTTGCAAACTGTTGGTAGGATTGTAAAATGGTGTACTGCTATGAAAAATGATATGGAGGCTCCTCAAAAAATTAAAAATAGAACTACCATATGATACTGCAATCCCACTTCTGAGTATATATCCTAAAGAATAAAAAACAGGATCTCAAAGAGATATCTGCATCCCCATGTTCATTATGACATTATCCACAATAGCCACGATGTGGAAGCAACCTAAATTTCTGTGGATGGATGAATGGATTTAAAAAACGTAGTATATACATACAATGAAATGTCATTCAGTCTTTTTTAAGAACCAGAAATCCTGTCATATACTATACCAACGATAACCCTGAAGACATCATGCTAAATGAAATAAGCCAATCACAAAAGGGGAAATATTGCATGATTCCACTTATAAGAAGTACCTAAAGTAATCAAATTCATAGAGACAGAAAGCAGAATGGTGGTTTCCAGGAGCTGAGGGGAGGGGAAATGGGGAGTTGTTGCTCAACGGGATGGAGTTTCAGCCATGGAAGAGAAAAAAGTCTGGGAGAACTCTCGTACAACAATGTACATATAGTTAGCAATATTGTGACGTACACTTAAAAGTTGTTAAGAGAGGGCTGGTGCAGTGGCTCACGCCTATAATCCCAACACTTTGGGAGGCCAAGGCGGCAGGATTGCTTGAGCCCAGCAGTTCAAGAACAGCCTGGGCAATATGGAAACACCTCTTCTCTACTAAAAATCAAAAAAGAGGCCAGGCGCGGTGGCTCATGCCTGTAATCCCAGCACTTTGGGAGGCAGAGATGGGCAGATCACCTGACCAACATGGAGAAACCCCGTCTCTACTAAAAATACAAAATTAGCCAGGCGTGGTGGCACATGCCTATAATCCCAGCTACTCGGGAGGCTGAGGGAGGAGAATCACTTGACCGGGAGGCAGAGGTTGCGGTGAGCCAAGATCGCGCCACTGCGCTCCAGCCTGAACAACAAGAGCGAAACTCCATCTCAAAAATAAAAAAATAAAAATAGTTAGCCAGGTGTGGTGGCACACACCTATAGTCCCAGCTACTCAGGAGGCTGAGGTGGGAGGATTGCTTGAGCCCAGAAGGTCGAGGTTGCAGTGAGCCATGTATGTGCCACTGCACTCCAGCCTGAGTGACAGAGCTAAACCCTGTCTCAAAAAAGGAAAAAAAAAAAAAAAAATAACAGAAGGGAGTCACCACACTGAGGCTAAGAGGCAGCTACAGCCCCTGGCCCTTTCACTCTTGCACCCCAGGATCATTGCTGAATTGACTTGGTTTGGGTATTTTACCTTCCTTAGCAAGGAAAGGGCACTTCCATTGGCAGGCTCTTCCATGGCTCTTTCAGGCTCTCAGGCTGCTCATCTGAATCCCACTGTGCCCCTTCCACACGTCTCTGCTGAGCCTATCTTTCTGGGCTACTGTGAACACAAGCTCTGGCTTAGCCATCTCTACTCCTCCAGAGCTTGGCTGCAAGCTTGGCTTAGAGTGGGCAGCCAACCAGTGTCAAATGGATCCCAAAGAAATTGGGTTTACTCGGCTCAATGGCAAGACTCAGTTAAGCCCCTCCAGTCTCCCCAGCTGGAAGAAATGCCCCTTCAGCAAAGAACACAGGGGAGAAATAGAGGTGACATTATCTCCAATTGACAAGTGACTACACAGAGGTCCAGAGAAGTTGGCAGCTTGTCCAAGGTCACCCAGCTAGTTAATGGCAGAGCTGGGACCAGCTTCCACAGTCCTGGCTCCAGGCCTGGTGTTCCTTCAGGGACACACACACAAATCACCATCACTGCCCTCAAACAGGCAGATTTCTCTATTAGGCAAGACAGGCCCAGGCCTAGTGCCTATGAGCTTTACAAGGGTCCAAGAAAATGTACTGGCTCCTAAATTTAAAAAGAAAACAGCAAAATTAATAAAAGTAAATGTTTATGAGCTGTAAAGCTGTCATCTGCAGTTGAGCTCAGGTCTTCTTTACTTATTTTTCGCTTATAACCAAGTGCCCCCATTTTTCTATGAAAAAGAGAATGGAAGCCAGGTGCAGTGGCTCACACCTGTAATCCCAGCACTTTGGGAGGCCGAGGTGGGTGGATCACCTAAGGTCAGCAGTTCGAGACCAGCCTGGCCAACATGGTGAAACTCCGTCTCTACTTAAAATACAAAAATTAGCTGGGTGTGGCGGCATTCGCCTGTAATCCCAGCTACTTGGGAGGCTGAGGCAGGAGAATCACTTAACCCAGGAGGCAGAGGTTGCAGTGAGCCAAGATCACGCCATTGCACTCCAGCCTGGGGAACGAGAGTGAAACTCTGTCAGAAAAAAAAAAAGAAAGAAAAGCCAGGCACGGTGGCTCACGCCTGTAATCCCAGCACTTTGGGAGGCCGAAGCAGGCGGATCACGAGGTCAGGAGATTGAGATCATCCTGGCTAAAATGGTGAAACCCCGTCTCTACTAAAAATACAAAAAATTAGGTGGGCGTGGTGGCAGGCGCCTGTAGTCCCAGCTACTTGGGAGGCTGAGACAGAAGAACGGCGTGAATCCGGGAGGCGGAGCTTGCAGTGAGCCAAGATTGTGCCACTGCACTCCAGCCTGGGCAACAGAGCGAGACTCCATCTAAAAAAAAAAAAAAAAAAAAACAAAGAAAGAAGAAAGACAGAGAGAGAGGAAGGAAGCAAGAAGGAGTTATTTTTAATTATTTTTTCTCTTCTCTTTCCTCTATTTCCCTATTATCTACATCCCACTTGTCCCTTTAGAAATGCAGTTATAACCTTTCACTTTCCCTTCACCAGACACTCCCTACAGGGCAAGTTTATCTAACTTCGTGCTTAGAAGCTCCAGGGTGGAACTCTGTCCCACCAGGGGACTGCCTTGAGAGACAACAGTCCATTTACAACCCAAAGCATGCCTGCTATGAAACTCTCTCCCACCTGGAGAGTTTTGGCCACCTTCACAACCCAGTTCTGTCCTCAAAGACGCCAACTCTCGGCCACCTGGTAGATAAGGCACCAAAGCAAGTACACAGCCCCCCACCTGCCTGCTTCCTCCCATGTGCCATTCATGTCTGTGTGCCAGGCACCCTTTAAAAGTACCCACCTTCCACGCCAAAAGTGAAGTGATACTCTTTTTTTTTTTTTTAGAAGGAGTCTTGCTGTGTTGCCCAGACTGAGTACAGTGGCATGATCTCAGCTCACAGCAACCTCTGCCTCCTGGGTTCAAGTGATTCTCCTGCCTCAGCCTCCTGGGTAGCTGGGATTATAGGCACCTGCCACCATGCCTGGCTAATTTTTGTATTTTTAGTAGAGATAGGGTTTCACCATGTTGGCCAGGCTGTCTCGAACTCCTGACCTCAGGTGATCTGCCTGCCTGTGCCTCCCAAAGTGCTGGGATTACAGGCATGAGCCACTGCGCCCAGCCCAAAGTGGTAGCCTTTTTTGTTTTTGCTTTGTTTTGCTTTGATTGTTTTTGAAACAGAGTTTTTCTCTTGTGGGCCAGGCTGGAGTGCAATGGCGTGATCTCAGCTCACCACAACCTCCGCCTCCTGGGTTCATGTGACTCTCCTGTCTCAGCCTCCCGAGTAGCTGGGATTACAGGCATGCGCCACTACGCCTGGTTAATTTTGTATTTTTAGTAGAGAAGGGGTTTCTCCATGTTGGTCAGGCTGGTCTTGAACTCCCGACCAAGATGATCCACCCGCCTTGGCCTCCCAAAGTGCTGGGATTACAGGCTTGAGCCACCTCGCCCAGCCCCAAGGTGGTACTCTTAAGGTAAGAAGCCTGTACCTCTTCCCCTAAGCTAGTTTTGAAATAAAAAGTCACTTTACTTATACCAGACCTCACTCTTATTATTTGGACTCTGCAAGTGGCAGGCAACTGAACCTGTGTTTTGGTTACAATGCTGCATGTGGAATGTGGGCATGTTTTAACGTGTTTGCCCTGATGTGCAGTGGGGCCTCCCAAATCTGAGTGCTGGGCTCCTAGAGGTCTTCACACAGATCCACATACAGCTCTGAAGTCTGAATGGTGCAGGCCTGAGTGTCCCAGCTGAGGTCACTGTACTCTGGTAAAATCAGACACCAGCAAGCGAGAGCAGAGAGCAATTGGTAAAAACTCTTCCTGTCTCCAGTGAGCCCTGGGGCCCAATGCCATTCAGAAGTGCTCATCAACTCCATTTCCTTAATTTGCTTAAACAACCATTAAGATTTAGACACTCCAAGAGGCAGTACTGGCTCAAGCAAGACCCAGTCAGACAAAGCTCAAGACCTTTTCACAATGCTTGTGAGATGCGGCAGGGCAGGGGGTCCTAACTTTACCCCTGGAAGAAGGAAGCCTGCAGCTCTGGAGGATGCTGGAAGACAGCCAGAGGATGAAGCCCGGTGGATGGGAGCGGATCTGAGAGAATCACAGAGAAACGGGGCCCGAGCCCTGATGGAACCACGTCTAAAGTCCACCTCGTCTGGGCTTTTCAACTCCACAAGTCAATAAATCCCCCTTGTTGCTTAATCTATTGTGGGTTGGGTTTTGTTGCTTGAAAGCAAAATCATCCCGACTGATGTGAGACCTCCCAGCTCTCTCCTCCATCCACCCAGGGCACCATCTCAGAAGCCATGTCTCTCCAGAGCGATTTTCCCTGGAGTATTTTTCACAGGGGTTGGTCTGGAGGCAACTGCACTCAGCCCTTCCATCCTAACACTGACAGTGATGACAGCCCATCTGAAATTCAGGACCTTTTCAGAAATATCCTCCTTCCCTGGGAACGGCAGAGAGTAAGGACATGCAAGAAGCCTGGCTCGGGTGGGATATCTGTGCCAAGGACTGATCACACAGCAAGACAGAGCTGCAGCATCCAGCATTTTTATTTATTTATTTTTTTGAGACGGAGTTTCACTCTTTTTGCCCAGGGTGCAGTGCAATGGTGCGATCTCAACTCACCGCAACCTCCGCCTCGTGGGTTCAAGCGATTCTCCTGCCTCAGCCTCCCGTGTAGCTGGGGTTACAGGTGCATGCCGCCACGTCTAATTTTGTATTTTTAGTAGAAACGGGGTTTCACCATGTTCGCCAGTCTAGTCTCAAACTCCTGACCTCAGGTGATCCGCCCGCCTCAGCCTCTCAAAGTGCTGGGATTACAGGCGCGAGCCACCGCGCCCAGCCCAGCATCCAGCATTTTTGTTGTTCCCCCTTATTCCCTCCATGCCTTGCTAGGGATAACCTGGTAAACAAACAGAAATCTCAAATTCAATAAGCACCCCCATTTGATAAGCATTTACTAAATCCCCATATGGGAGGCACCATGGGCAAACAGTGGAATGACAAGTGGATAACAGGATGGAGCCGAATGATCTGGGCAGTGGGTGGGGACAAGGAGCGGTTCAGAGTGTGGGCTCTGGACTGGAACAGCAGGTGTGTGTCCTTGGGCAAGGTACTTTGTAGTTCTGTGCTTCAGTTTCCTCATCTGTCGAATGACATGTTTGGCCTATGTAGTAAGGGGTCAAGAAGTATCTGCTTTTATTAATAAGTATTAGTTTTTATTCTTACTTGATTCATTTTTAAGAAAAGAGTCTGAGTCTAACCCACCCAGCTGGGTGGAGCTTGGGCCTGAGGACCCCTGCCCTTGGAATACAGGAGTTTTGGGCTAAAGAGCTGACCAAGCTGGTTGGGCTTAAGGCAAACTCCAGAGACCAGTTCCAACTCCCGAGGCTCCCATTCCAGGCTCTTAAGGGGAAACTGCAGGATGGGCCCTCCGTTACCTGGAGTTAAGTGCAAAGAACCATCTCTCACGGGGCAGTACTGGCTCAAGCGAGACCCAGTCAGACAAAGCTCAAGACCTTTTCACAACGCTTGTGAGATGGGGCAGGGCAGGGGGTCCTAACTTTACCCCCCGTTTCGCCCCCCAGCAGGGCAAGGATTCCCCTTTCTCACGATGATTCAATCACATCCAACCAGAGTCTTAGCTGAGGCCCTGCCAGGTGCCAGGGCCTGGTCCCATTCCTGGGAGCAGAGATGAAGACCAGCTTCCTACAAGCCTCCTATGATGCCTTCCTACGAGCCTCCCCTATGATGATGCAATGGCACAGGGCCTCCTGTCACTCAGTAAAGGCCGAAGGAATAAACATTAGCAGGAATAAGAGACAAGCTCTGAATCCAGGAAGACTTCTCGGCAGAGGCAGGATCTGGACTGCAGCTTGGAGAAAGGGTGGATCTTTGATAGATAAAAGTGAACAGCTAGGGGAGGAAAGACTTCAACAAAGGACAGAGGCGGGGGACCAGGGGTGCGGTGGGGCACCCCAGGGGCTGGTGTGGATGAAGCAGAGGACTGTTGGGGCCCAGAGGAGGGACACCAGAGGACAAGCCCTCAGGCAGCCCCACGAGCCTGTTTTGCCCCCCGCCAGAGAGCTGAGGCTGGCACACAGGGGTGGGAGAAGTTCCTTTGTCCTTCTCCTCTTTCTCTGCAACCCTGCCCAGGAAACCAATGATAGCTGCTTGGCACAGAGTTCCCTGTGTTTTTTCATAATCACATAACCGTACTTGAGCACTGCCAGAAGAATTTAATCTCAGGAAGCAGAGAAGCATGAGGAAAGAAGGCTGGTGTGGGAGTCAGAAGGCCTAGGTTTTGGTCCTTGGCTCAGCCACCGACTTTCCCTGTAACCCTGATCTGGTCACCCCAAATCCCCAGCCCCAGATATCATTTTCTTCATCTAACCCAAGGACTGGCATAGAGCTGGCATTTAAAAATGTTTGAAGCCAAGTGCAGTGGCTCAGGCCTGTAATCCCAAGCTTTGGGGAGGCTGAGGCAGGAGGATCTTTGGAGGTCAGGAGTTTGGGACCAGCCTGGGCAATATAGTGAGACCCCATCAAAAATTGCTCTAATTAGCCAGGTGTAGTGGCATGCACCTGTAATCCCAGCTACTCAGGAGGCTGAGGTGGGAGGACTACTTGAGCCCAGGAGTTGGTGGCTGCAGTGAGCTACGATCGTGCTACTGCACTCCAGCCTCGGTGACAGAGTTGAGACCCTGTCTCTATTTTTAAAAAAATAATAACAAAATAAAAACATTAGTTGAGTGATTGAAAGTATTAGATAGTCTCAAAGGCTCCTTCCTGTCTTGAAAATTCTGAGACCCATGCAGGAATCAGTTGCCATTTAGATGATGTAAAACAGTGGTCCCCAGCCTTTTTGACACCAGGCACCGGTTTTGTGGAAGACAATTTTTTCCATGGACAAGGGGTGGGGGAGGGAGATGGTTTCAGGATGAAACTGTTCCACCTCAGATCATCAGGCATTAGTTAGGTTCTCATAAGGAGCGCACAACCTAGATCCCTGTCACGTGCAGTTCACCGTAGGGTTCACACTCCTATGAGAAGCTAATGCCACTGCTGATCTGACAGGAGGCAGAGCTGGGATAACCAGCAGGCAGAGCTTGGAGGTAATGTTCATTCACCCACTGCTCACCTCCTGCCATGCAGCCTGGAGGTGCACAGTCTATGCACCTTCGGTACCAGTCTATGGACCAGGGGTTGGGGACCCCTGATATAAAAGGTAAGTTGACTGAAAAATCTGTTGCAAGTAAAACAAAACATGTCTATCCCTGAATCTAGGGATGGAGGCAGTTCCAATTATAGCACATCACAGAGGTTGGAGGGAGGGAAATAGTTCCCCAGAGGAAAATCTGGATCTAGTGTCCAGAAGACAGGTGGATATTGGGGAGTAGGTATGGATCTGGAGAAATCAATTCCAGAAAAAAGCAAAAAGCAAAACATCCGGATTCCTGCCACTACACATACACACCCCTGTCCACCCACATACACACCCACGATATTGAAAGGGCAGCTGGATAGGTGAGTAAATAGTGGGGAAAAACGAGAGCCACTTGGTTCCAACTAATGCTTTCAAAGAATTACAAAAGGCAGGGATGTTTGACAGGGGGTTAGCATATCATCCGTGCAGCTGGAAACAGATGAGAAAGGTAATAGCATGTAAAGCCCCTTCCCATGGGAAGGCTCTCCTGGCTCTGACTCAGGCCAACTGGCTTCTGAGCCATCAGAAGCTTTGTCAGAAAGGTGGGTGAGCCCTCCGCACAGAAAACCAAGGGTGGGCTAAGGCCCCAGGGGAGGAGCTGGTGTTGCCCCAGTTTGGAGGTGGGTCATCCTATGCTTCCCGGCATGTGAACAGCTTCAGCTCCAGAGGCCCCGAGACTCTTTTAGGCAAGTTTATATGGTTCTCAGATCCTACATACGAAGGAGGTACCATGAGACCCTCAGGGAAGCATCTCCCACCACTCCCTAATATGGTGTGTCTTGTGGCTGAGCAGAGGCCCCCAGCCCCTGGGAGGACCAGCCAAGCACAGTGGGAGTAATGGGGGTCTGAGGAGCCAGCCATGGTCCCTGGGAATTACATGCTCCAGAAATACCCTTAGCTCTCCCATGTGGGCCGAGACCCACTGCCCTGCTCAGAATGCCACTGGATAGCCCCAGTCTACGGGCTGCCCAGGCATCTCCTGGGCCTGCCAGCCATTAGCACCAAGTCCAGATAACTCAAGACCAAGTCCAATTCGCTAAGCCCTGCCACGAGATCCCCAAGAGTGCCATCCAAAGAACCACAAAACTCCCACCAAGCAAACAGACTTCAGTTACTAATCAAATCAGCCCATTAATTTCAAAGATCACCCGTGACAGCTTTGCTGCTGGTAGAATCACAGCAACTACTTTGAAAGCACCCTCGGCCAACTCCAGTGGCTTGAAGCCCACCGAAGTTGGGTGCTGGCTCGCCTTCAGGATTCAGGGCTGCAGGAAGTGCTCTCCACCTGCAGGGATATTTCAGAAGCCTCAGCAAGTGGAATCTTGGAGCTCTTCTTCCTGCATGCTTCGAGATTAAGGGTAATGTATGTGCTGAGTTTAAGAATTGCCGTCATGGCTGTGTCAGGGCACCAGATTCAGAAAATTGCACCACAATCAGAGTCCAGATTCTGGTCAGAGCCCTGTCTCTTACCAGCTGCGCAATCTTAGGCAAGGCCGTCTCTTAACCTCTCTGACTTCCAGTTTCCTCACTGGATAAAGGAAACCTCTGCTGCCAGCACGGGCTACCTGCCCTACCTACTCAGAGGTGCTGTCAGTGTCAGCCCCGAAGGTGTCAACTTACTTTATGTAAAAATCTGTTATTTTATGGAATGAAAACTCCAACAATGCACTGGCCCACCGCCAGGAAGGATAGGACATTGTTTTGTAGTAGCAAGCTGATTTTTATACCAACCCTTCTTGCTTTCCTCCCACATTGGTCCCTAGTGACAGCCCACAGATTCCTCCAGTTGAGGAAACACTCTGTGGCCACAAAAGCAAGCCACAGGAATTGGTCCTCAGAGCCACAGAGCCTGTGACTGTGACATCTCCATCCCCATGGCCGCGCTGGTCCCAGCCCCGACTGCCTCACAGTGTCTTCAGGTCTCTGCCTAGGAATAATCCTGAAACCCCAGAAAGACTCACCAATTCCCAGCATCTTCCATACGGGAGGTAGAAACAGCTGGTAGTCTTAATTAAGTAAAGATGGAAAAACCAAACCTGGCCGGGCCCAGTGGCTCACGCCAGCATTTTGGGAGGCTGAGGTGGGCGGATTGTTTGAGGCCGCACTTCGAGACCAGCATGAGCAAAATGGCAAAACCCTGTTCTACTAAAAATACAACAATTCGCTGGGCATGGTGGTGCATGCCTGTAATCCCAGTTACTCAGGAGGCTGAGGTAGGAGAATCACTTGAACCCGGGAGGCAGAGGTTGTAGTGAGCTGAGATGGCCCCACTGCACTCCAGCCTAGGTAACACAGCAAGACTGTCAAAAAAACAAAAAACCTATGAGGCACGGGGTAGTGGTGGGGCAGCCTAACGCTCAGCAACAGGAAAGATGAATAAGAGTTGGGCTAAGAGCTAAGTCCAAGTTAAATCCAGCCCATATTTGTCGGTAGTCTGGGAGCCTGTGAAACTGTGAGTACTTTGCCAGGTGCTGAGGTGGGAAAGGCAAAGGCATGGCCAAGATAAACAGGGCAGAGGTTCCCTTGCTGTGGGGGAGGTGGGTATGGAGCAGGTCACTGTAATACTGCGTGGCAGTGGAGACCACGCGCTCGGAGTGCTGGAGGGCACAAAGAATGGAAATTCTCAGCTCTGCGGGGCAGTGCAGGGAGCTTTGGGAGCATATTTGAGCCCGGTGTTGAAGGCTGGGTACTTTTTCATGCAGAAGAGTGAGGGGCAGGCCGTCTGGGCAGATCAAACAGCTGTGCCAAGTCCCAAGGTGTGAGGGGAACCCTGGAGGGCTAGAGAGAAGCCTGGGGGTGAGTGGCTGGGCCATACCCTGGAATTACAATTATATCCCAAGGGCAGTGGAGAGCACTTAAGGAGTTTTATTTTATTTTTTATTTTTTTTAGAGACAAGGTTTGGCTCTGTCGCCCAGGCTGGAGTGCAGTGGCACAATCATTGCTGACTGCAGCTTCGAATTCCTGGGCTCAAGCAATCCTCCTCCCTCAGCCTCCTGAATAGCTGGGACTACAGGCCTGTGCCATCATACCCGGCTAATTTTTGTGTTTTTTTTTTTTTGGAGAGAGAGGGACTTGCTATGTCACCCAGGCTGGTCTCAAACTCCTGGGCTCAAGCAATCCTCTTCCCTCAGCCTCCTGAATAGCTGGGACTACAGGCCTGTGCCATCATACCCGGCTAATTTTTGTGTTTTTTTTTGGAGAGAGAGGGACTTGCTATGTCACCCAGGCTGGTCTCAAACTCCTGGGCTCAAGCAATCCTCCTCCCTCAGCCTCCTGAATAGCTGGGACTACAGGCCTGTGCCATCATACCTGGCTAATTTTTGTGTTTTTTTTTTGGAGAGAGAGGGACTTGCTATGTCACCCAGGCTGGTCTCAAACTCCTGGGCTCAAGCAATCCTCCTCCCTCAGCCTCCTGAATAGCTGGGACTACAGGCCTGTGCCATCATACCCGGCTAATTTTTGTGTTTTTTTTGGAGAGAGAGGGACTTGCTATGTCACCCAGGCTGGTCTCAAACTCCTGGGCTCAAGCAATCAACCCACCTCGGCCTCCAAAGTACTGGGATTACAGGTGTGAGCCACTGTACCGGCCTCCTTTAAGGAGTTGTAATCACAAAGTGCTTATCTTTGTATTTCATAATGCTGGGACAGACAGAAAAGAGACAAATTAGAGAGAGTGGGACTGCAGGAGGTGGTAGAGGCAGGAAATAGGGAGCCTGGGACAGTGGGAACAGCCACAGGCTGGAGGGAGGCCTCATCCATGCTGAGGGTGAGATCTTTGGGGTCCTGACCCTCTCATAGGACACTCAGGATTTCCCTCTGCTGACCGAGGCCCCATCTGCTGGCCCAGCAAGACTCACTAGCTCTCCTGGATTGTGCCCCTTCTCTGGGGGCAGGAAAGCCCTAGCCGCTCTTTCCGGCTGCTTCATTCTGCTGCCTCCCAGCTGGGTTAGTCCCTGGCTGCTGATCTCTCAGATCCTCTTGATCCCTACTCCCTCCGACCCGGTGCTCAAGGGACTGTGCTGTGCAGCCATCGTTCCCCTCCACCATAGTGAGTGTCTACACAGTGAAAACTCCTGAGGCATAGTTCCCATTTCCATGAGGAGGCACTCCCAGCCCCTGGCTGCCAAGGCCTCTGGCTGCTGAGGTCCCTGCCCAGACTTGCAAGACATTTTTCTGTTTTTTCATCCTCCTCCCAAGGCTGCTAGCCATGGCTCCCACCTGTCACCTGCGCTGAGCTGGGCCTCCCCTGATTTGGCCAGGGTGAGCACAGCTGAGCCTGGATGGGGTGATGTGGGGATGCCATGTGGCTGGGTCCCAGCTGACGGGGTGCAACGGGAACTGTGGTAAAGAGGGCGCCCAGAGCGGGTACTCAAGGTAGCATGGGAGAGGGCTGGCTTCAGATACCATAAATAATACAGGAATCAAAGTTCAGAGAGGCCACGTGGCCTCTTCACTGTGTGCATATCCCAGGGGCTCACTGGGAAGGATACAGCTGGGGACTGTTAAAGGCAAGACCCTTGATCTCCAGGAGCCGCTAGTCCAAAGGTAGAGAGCCGATGCTCTGCTGGGCATGACCATTCCAGAGAAGAGGTACAGAGCTGCAAACTGCTACAACTGGAGGGACCCCCGGGCTGTGCCAGGGTTGGGGACACAGCTTAAAACTTCAAAGTCCAGCCAGGAGGTAAACACATAGCTAGGGCATGTGATAGGGTCTCTGGCAGAAGTCTGGAGTGCAGTGAGGCCTGAGTTAGCATTCAAAAATGGGCCTTGCCTTCCATTCACAGTTGTCCTCAAACATCGCAGGCTGTGGCTCTCGTTAACCTTCTGGAAGCGGGGGATTCCAAGTACCTAGACTCTGAGTTTACATGGCCTCAAGGGTTTTCAAGAAATGATTTCAGGACAAGCTCTGTGAGTATGATTGCATCATCCAGAAATGTACCCAAATACTGATTTAGTATTGTTTTTCCTTTGGTCTGAATTTCAAAACTCGAATTTCCTGCTTTACTTCACTTCACTTCAGGGGAAATCCCAGACATTTAAAACATCAGCTCTTCAGTTAAAATACCACGTAACCCATTCTCTCCCAATCCTCATCTATGTCTCCAGCCCTGAGGTTTTTCTTTGTTGCAATCAGCCTGTGGAACGGTTTGGGGTCTGGCCTTTTCACATAGCATTCCTGCACACACACATTCCAGCAACACACTTATTAAACACACTTACTGTATTTAATGGCCATGCGGGGTTCCATCATGTGCCCTGTCCTAGTTTTCAGCTTGTGTTTCAGCCAGTGACTCTACGGCTTTGGGCAAGCCTAACCTTTTTTGGGTCTCACCTTATCTGTAAAACATGATGATTTGGAAGCTCTAACGTCCTTTCCAAAGCCTTAAAATTTGTGGGGGGTCTATGATTTCCTAGCTGTGGATCCTAAATTGTGACTACACAATAACAATCCCTAGAAGAGAAAGGGACCCAACATCTATTGAGAATTCCCCATGCGGCGGGAAGGCACTGAGCGAGGGATAGGTAGGAAAAGTGACACCTAGGCTTGCCAGCAAAAACACCATCAGAGGCCCCCCTGAGTGATCTCAGACCCCTTTGTTCCCAGTCCGGCCTCTGGACTTTGTCCCATTAGGAAATGGGGGGAGGGGGACACTCTCCCTCCCTCCCTCCCTCCCTCCCTCCCTCCCTCCACAGTGAAGCCACAGCCCTCCAGGTCTTATGACTGCTCTTCTCCTCCATGACAAAGCACTTTTTGAGCCCAAGCCCAGCCTAGCAGAGTGCTGAGTCACGGTGGGACAGCAACTCTCCACCGCAACCCCCACCACCGCCCCCTCCTGCTCCAGGATGTGCTGAACCTCCAGAAACCACCGGCTTGGCTCTTCTCTCATCTGAGGTCCCTCCCGCCACTCCTGGCCCTGGGAGGCGGCTGTCCTGGGAGACCAGCCAAACTCTCTGCTGCCTCCAAGTCACGAGGAGCTGAGCTGGAGGGTGGGGGAGGTAGAACCCTGGTCAACAAAGGTCCCAAGACCAGGCCACAGCTTCGGAAGAATCTAAAGGCTTAGACATTGCAGTTCTGACACCTCAAGTTACCAGAAAGTAGGGAACGGACACAAGCAATCATATAAACAATCATAAACACACACACACACTCACACTCCCCCACCAATAGATTTCCCTTCCATTGTTCCCAGCCAGCCTCCTCCCAATGACCTTCTACAGCACAAGCTGTCCCTCAGTCTTGCTGCGATGTTCACTGCAGCTACATGCATGTTTAGCCAAGCATGGAGCCAACACTGATTCAGGAAACCTACTCCCTGCAGCAGACCGACTTCCCTCCAGTGGGTCCGAGAGCTTCATGCTGGCTTTGTCCCCCTGGACATCCCGGAAGCCTGGAAACTCAGCACATCTAGTCCAAAACCAAGCAGGCCTTCCCCAAGGGCTTTCCCCGAAACCTTCATTTCCTCCTGTGCTCCTTGGCTCAGGGAATGGCAGCAGCAGCCAGGCCTACCAAATCATAAAGCTGAGAGATCTCTTACACACTGCCCACCCCTGGCCCCCGACTTTCGCCAATCAGTCTGTTCATTTGATCTTCTCCAGATCTGTCAAATCTGTGTTCTATCTTCTCTGCTCACTAATAACTAAGGCTGCTGCCTCCTGACTGGTGCCCAGCCCTCTAGCCTCACTCTCATCCATCCTCCACATTCAATCATGAATCCATCTGTTCATGCAACAGATACTGGGCACCAAGTAACAAGCAATTTGCAAAAAGCTGGGAGTGCAGAGACAAGACAGAAACAATGCCTGCCTTCCAGGAGCTTACCATCTACAGCACCAGCGCAGGCAATCAAAAGGGTCTCATAAGGCCAGGTGCGGTGGGTCATGCCTGTAATCCCAGCACTTTGGGAGGCCGAGGCAGGTGGATCACTTGAGGTCAGGAGTTCGAGACCAGCCTGGCCAACATGGTGAAACCCCGTCTCTATTAAAAACACAAAAATCAGCCAGGTGTGGTGGTAGGCACCTGTAGTCCCAGCTACTTGGGAGGCTGTGGCAGGAGGATCTCTTGAACCCGGGAGGTGGAGGTTGCAGTGAGCCGAGATCAAGCCACTGCACTCCAGCCTGGGCAACAAGGGCAAAACTCCATCTCAAAAAAAAAGGTGTGACACATACATAGTACTTCATTAAACATACAAATATATATTATAGTTCCTAATCTTCATCACTTACATGAGCTACAAATATCATCCCAATTTGTCATCTCTGTTTTAACCTTGTTTACAACATCTTTTGTCTTACAGCTTTTCATTTTTAAATAGGCAAACCTGCCAACTGTACTTTTACGGCTTCTGACAGCCTCAGAAGAACATTCCCTACCCCAAAATTATAAAAATAATCTTGTATATATTCTTCTCAAAACTTTATACTTTTTTTAAGGCTTGGATTTTTAATCTATCTGGAATGTATTTTTAAATACTGAGTGAGTCACTTTTCTCCACATGACTGTCAATTGTTTCAACATAATTTGTTAAACCCATTCTTTCTTCCCTAATGTGACACAACAGTTTAGCATATACCAAGTTCTCATAATAGGGGGGCAGGACTATTTTGTTGCATTAATCTAGTCATCTCTTCCTGTGCCAGTACCATACTGCTTATAGCACTTTACTGTACCTTTATTATAGCACCAAATGCAAATCTATCAACACACTGACTCCTCCAAATGAACTTTAGAATCATTTTGTGAAGTTTCAAAAAAAAAAAAAATACTGTCCCAGAGACAGTAATGGCTGAGGAAAAACAAAAACAAAAAACTGCCTCTTATGGAAATTGCAGTGAATTTATGCTTATTTGGGGAAACTGACATCTTTACAGAATGAAGATTGACCGACCATTTGGGAATATGGTACCTCTTCATTTATGCTAGGCTTTTTGAATTTTTTGTCCAGCAGTAAGCATTTATAGTTTTTTCTATATATTTCTTGTTAACTTTATTCCAAGGTACTTTAAGCTTTTGTTGTCAATGTAAGTGAAAAACATTTTTTTTTCCATTCTTTTTTCCCCATATTTTCTAACTGGTGGTTACTGTTATAAAGGAAAGCTTTGGATCCTATATATGGTGACTTTGCTATACTCTTATCCTAAGAGATTCCCAGTGTAAGGTTTCTAAAAACAAAGCTAATGAGGTGTCTCTATGCTGTCTCTAGGATCAAGTTTAACCTCTTTTTATGGAACACAACCCTGCCCGATCTTGCCCCTATTCTCCACCCTAACCAGCATCCCCCAACATAAACTGTACTTTCCAGGCCAACATTCTTTCTTTCTTTCTTTTTTTTTTTTTTTTTTGAGACGGAGTTTTGTTTTGTCTTCCAGGCTGGAGTGCAAAGGCGCGATCTCGGCTCACTGCAACCTCCGCCTCCCAGGTTCAAGCGATTCTCCTGCCTCAGCCTCCAGAATAGCTAGGATTACAGGCGCATGCCACCACGCCCGGCTAATTTTTGTATTTTCAGTAGAGAAGGGTTTAGCCATGTTAGTTAGCCAGGCTGATCTCCAACTCCGACCTCAAGTGATCCGCCCGCCTCGGCCTCCCAAAATGCTGGGATTACAGGCATGAGCCACCGCGCCCAGCCCCAGGCAACATATTTTCTTAAGGCAGCTTTAACAGGCCATGCATTTCCACATTTCCACACCTTTGCATATGCTGTTCACTCTGCTCCAAATTCCCTTCCCTGTTTCTCTCCCGCACTTCACCTTCCTTTTAACTTTTTCTTCAAACTCAGCTCACGTGTCTTGCTTAGGGAGGGCTTCCCCGACCTCCTCCTATCCCAGACTGGGTAAGGTACTCCTGGTCTAGCAGCATCCTTCTGTTTACCTTATTCTTGTAGCTCTAGCACCACTAAAACGTTTTTCCTGTAAATAACATAGGTGCATTTTTAAATGAAACCGTGAACAAGAAATCACCCTAATTCCGTCGGCAATTTATTTTAGTATTTCAGTAGAGTTGCTTTTTTAAACTAAGGTTTGGAAGTCTAGCTTCCAGCTGCAGGTTTGTGAGCATCCTGAAATTCAGTTCTTCCACCGATGCGTCAAAAGACGCGACAGAACAGTGGACCTCGAAGCCAGGACCTAGGTAAGGGCAGGGCCTAGCTCTAGCTCTGCCACCCATAAATTCACATCCACCCTGTGCCTGGGACTCAGCTTAGCCACACACACCGGCCCCACCCCTCCGGGGTCTCTTTCACCTGTCACCCGCCATTAACCCCGTCAGCTTCTCTCCAATGACACCCCAGGGTTGTCCTACAGGGCCACCGAAGCCTGAAGCTCCTGTGAGTGGGGCCGATAAGAGGCCATTTTGAAAAGTCCTCAGCATGGGCTTCGCCTTTAGATCCACGTCGTTTCTCCTTTCTAACCCGAGATGTGTCCCTTGGGTGCGAAGCGACACCAGCGATTCTCTCGGAGGCCCCGGTGGCTCACCCCCACGACTCCCCGGGG
Source organism: Homo sapiens (assembly GCF_000001405.40). Classification (NCBI taxonomy): domain Eukaryota; kingdom Metazoa; phylum Chordata; class Mammalia; order Primates; family Hominidae; genus Homo; species Homo sapiens. Next base: position 61,968,344 of record NC_000011.10, on the reverse strand, counting down.
AGGCGGTCCCCATCCCTAGGGAAACCCGGCCCGCCCAGCCTTTGTTGCAGAAACCGCACACGGAGCCATATTTGCTTTCAGCCAAAGGCAGACGTGGTCGGAGGAGTCGGAAGGGCAGGGGCGGACCCGAAACCCGCCGTGCGCCCCACTTCTCCATCGCGCTCCTTCCTGGACTCTGAGGAAGAGAAAATGCGCTCGACCACCTAAGGACCGCGTCTCCACCTTCCACCTTCCCAATCATCTGCAGCTTCCCAATCTGCAGCAAGGTGTCACAAGGGCTTCTCCGCAGCTATGATTTCTAACACCATGCCCCGGGCCAGGAGCCTCAGGGTGCCCGTTCGGGAAAATGGGAGCCGAATCAGGATCACCCCATGCGCCCCCGCACCCTTCCCCCGCCGGTTCCAACGCCCGGGCGCCCCTAGACCGGGGGGGGGGTTCTGAGGTGGACTTCCTGCGCCTCCTCGCAGCTTCCCTCCAACTCCACTAAACGGGCACAGAGACGCCACCGCTGTCCCAGAGGCAGTCGGCTACCGGTCCCCGCTCCCGAGCTCCGCCAGAGCGCGCGAGGGCCTCCAGCGGCCGCCCCTCCCCCACAGCAGGGGCGGGGTCCCGCGCCCACCGGAAGGAGCGGGCTCGGGGCGGGCGGCGCTGATTGGCCGGGGCGGGCCTGACGCCGACGCGGCTATAAGAGACCACAAGCGACCCGCAGGGCCAGACGTTCTTCGCCGAGAGTCGTCGGGGTTTCCTGCTTCAACAGTGCTTGGACGGAACCCGGCGCTCGTTCCCCACCCCGGCCGGCCGCCCATAGCCAGCCCTCCGTCACCTCTTCACCGCACCCTCGGACTGCCCCAAGGCCCCCGCCGCCGCTCCAGCGCCGCGCAGCCACCGCCGCCGCCGCCGCCTCTCCTTAGTCGCCGCCATGACGACCGCGTCCACCTCGCAGGTGCGCCAGAACTACCACCAGGACTCAGAGGCCGCCATCAACCGCCAGATCAACCTGGAGCTCTACGCCTCCTACGTTTACCTGTCCATGGTGAGCGCGGGCGGGCCTAAGCGGTGGCGGGGGCCGGGCGCGGTTCCCGGGGCGCGCGCTGGGGCGGGCCGGGGGTGTGGCCACCCGCGGGCTCTCCCGCCTCCCTGCGCCCTTCTGGAAAATGGAGGCTGCTCGAGGTTTCCGAGGACTTCTCTGGCGCAGAAAGTCGGGGCAGCTGGTTCTTCTCGGCTGTACCCTGAGAATGCTCCCTCCTAGGCCAGGGCCGCCTCTGCACACCCTTCTTTTTTAAGGAGACCTTGGTGTCCTGAAATCCTGGGGTTGCAAGACTGCCAGCCTGTGTGATCAATCCTGCGGTTAGGAAGGTGGAGTTTTGCTTTCCCATCTTTTCCTCTGCCTCCGGCATTTGGCCCTAAATGCCAGCGTTTTTTGCTTAGGTATCCAGCTCCCGTCCGCCTGTGTGTGGCGGAGCTGCTGGGTAACGGTGTCGAATAGCAAACCTTGGGGGCTGGCGGGAGGTGGCTTATCTTGTGGGTAGATCCCTCTCGAGCAGCCGTATCCACCTCTCGGCTCTGCTTATCTCTAAGTCCCACTTGCTTTGAAGCATATCTCTAGGAATCGCCCCTTCTGCAGTCACCGAAGTGTCACCTGACCTTGCGCCTAGGGGACCTAATTTATCTTTTATGTATCTTACTGTAAGAGGTGTGGAGTTTGGCCTACTAATTGAACCCCCAGTTCTTGGATAAAGTCCACCGACAGTTACTGGGCAAGAAATTTTTCAGTGATCAGTGGAATCAGTTTTCCCAAATCTTGGTCTTAGGCAGTGTCGTGGGAGTCTTCCTTAGAATTGCCTTGTGATTGTCCAAACTATCCCAAGAATAAATGTGTTCCAAATGGATTTGAAAACAGGCCTGTATTTCTGTGACTGTCACTGCCTTTCACAAACACTTGACTACATCAAATGTCTAAAACTGAAAATCAAATTTTTGTGATATAACTATTATAAAAGTATGTTTACATCAACATACTGTCCACATTTGCCACCTTGCATGGGGGTTTTTAATTTGTGTGTGTGTGTGAGAGACAGAGTCTCGCTCTGTCGCCCAGGCTGGAGTGCAGTGGCGCGATCTCGGCTCACTGCAGCCTCCGCCTCCTGGGTTCAAGTGATTCTCTTACCTCAGGCTCCTGAGTAGCTGGAATTACAGGCGCACGCCACCACGCCCAGCTATTTTTTTTTATTTTTAGTAGAGACGGGGTTTCACCATGTTGACCAGGATGGTCTCGATCTGCTGACCTCGTGATCCGCCTGCCTCGGCCTCCCAAAGTGCTGGGATTACAGGCTGAGCCACCGCACCCAGCAGGGGTTTTTAATTTTATAAATAAATATGTGGTACAGCTGGCAGACTCCTGAGCTCAGTTTTAACCATGCTTTAACATGGTTAATACAGGAGCAGGGAGGAGAAAAGGACTAAGTGCAGGGTCAGTACTCCAGCGCCCTCTCATCAGACAATGAATTCTGACACTGGCTGTAAGTTTTCTGTGCAGTAATACAGATCCTTAAGACATTGCCCCAGGCAATGCCCATAATATCCTAAAGGTTCCTTGAAGTTAAGTTTCAAGGATCAAGTTTCAGTTTTCTATTTTAGAATAGAAACATTACTCTTGGGTTCAATCCAGTAGCTCATCTGCCCCCCAGTCTCCTTAGGCACTGATTCCTTCATGCTGTGCTTTGAGAAAGGAAGCCTAGGCTGACGAGACCATCTTGCCTCCCTGTAGATCGTCACAGCTACCTGTCTCTGGGGATCCCTAGTATAACACATTCAGTGTTCCCCTTTCAGTCTTACTACTTTGACCGCGATGATGTGGCTTTGAAGAACTTTGCCAAATACTTTCTTCACCAATCTCATGAGGAGAGGGAACATGCTGAGAAACTGATGAAGCTGCAGAACCAACGAGGTGGCCGAATCTTCCTTCAGGATATCAAGGTGAACAAAAGATCCTAGGGGTGTCATACTTCATCATCTGGCAGTGTTCGGGTATCAGAAATCACTTAAACTAGCAATTGCCCTTATAAAGTGATGATACACTGGGCTTTTGCCTTTTGTGCTTTTTTAGGCTTACCATCTAAACTAAATTAGGCAAATAGTAATGTCCCTTTTGCCAAAACGTGGTGGTTAGAGATGATGGGCTTGCTGACTTCTAGGTTAGTTGGTAGAGATGCATTAACCTATTCTCATTCAGAAACCAGACTGTGATGACTGGGAGAGCGGGCTGAATGCAATGGAGTGTGCATTACATTTGGAAAAAAATGTGAATCAGTCACTACTGGAACTGCACAAACTGGCCACTGACAAAAATGACCCCCATGTGAGTATTGGAACCCCAGGAAATAAATGGAGGAAATCATTTGCCTTAGGGATTGGGAAAGCTGCCCACTAACTGTCTTCCCCATTGTTTTGCAGTTGTGTGACTTCATTGAGACACATTACCTGAATGAGCAGGTGAAAGCCATCAAAGAATTGGGTGACCACGTGACCAACTTGCGCAAGATGGGAGCGCCCGAATCTGGCTTGGCGGAATATCTCTTTGACAAGCACACCCTGGGAGACAGTGATAATGAAAGCTAAGCCTCGGGCTAATTTCCCCATAGCCGTGGGGTGACTTCCCTGGTCACCAAGGCAGTGCATGCATGTTGGGGTTTCCTTTACCTTTTCTATAAGTTGTACCAAAACATCCACTTAAGTTCTTTGATTTGTACCATTCCTTCAAATAAAGAAATTTGGTACCCAGGTGTTGTCTTTGAGGTCTTGGGATGAATCAGAAATCTATCCAGGCTATCTTCCAGATTCCTTAAGTGCCGTTGTTCAGTTCTAATCACACTAATCAAAAAGAAACGAGTATTTGTATTTATTAAACTCATTAGTTTGGGCAGTATACTAAGGTGTGGCTGTCTTGGATTCAGATAGAACTAAGGGTTCCCGACTCTGAATCCAGAGTCTGAGTTAAATGTTTCCAATGGTTCAGTCTAGCTTTCACAGTTTTTATGAATAAAAGGCATTAAAGGCTGAAGTAGTCTGGGATTTTTATCTATTAAGCTAACCATTTGATTCAGGCTGTTGTAGGACATGTTCTTCAGTGTGGACAGCTGTATGGCTGTGACTGGATCAGTGTCCTGCTGGTGTACACACAGGTGAGGACCTGGCTGGCGAAGCATCCCCATTAGGAAGCAGGTTAGGAATGTGCTTCATCCCTAGTGAGAATGAAAGTATTAACAGCATAAGTATGGAAGGTCCCTTCATTTCAAATACCAAAATGTTGCAGTAGGAGGGCAAAGGTTGAGACGATCCTTTTTTTTTTTTTTTTGAGACAGTCTCACTCCGTCGCCCAGGCTGGATTGCAGTTGCTCAATCTCACTGCAACCACCACCTCCTGGGTTCAAGCAATTCTCCCCTCAACCTCCTGCGTTGGGACTACAGGCACACCACGACGCCCAGCTGATTTGTATTTTTTTTGGTAGAGATGGGGTTTCATCATGTTGGCCAGGTTGGTCTCAAACTCCTGACCTCCTGTGATCCACTTGCCTCCACACCCAGCCCAAGACAAGATTCTTAAATATTAACATCCTTTGCTGAACAGGCCACAGATGTTTGCCAAGTTCCTGTCTAGCCCTAGAAGCAAGACTGAAATTGTTGCCCTTTTAAGTTTTCAATCATAATAGCTGCGTGTTCTGACCGTGAAAGTAACTGCTTGAGAATCCAGAAAAGGGAAGTTACACTTCCTCCCACGTGATTGGGGCTGAAGTGGGGTGTTTATAATTGGGTGAAAGTGTCCAGGAAATCTGGAATAAAGGGAAATATCTGATTTTGTGACAGCTTTGGGCTGACCCCAAGGAAGCAAGAAGTATTTTGGTGAGGTTCCCAGGCAGTGAGAAAATGACCTAAGGGCGCTGGACACCCTCAACCTCACCATCTACCAGTTCCTAGGAGTGAGGCAGTTCCTGCCACCCTTTCCTGTAGTGCTTGGGTACTACCCTAAATAGTTATGGGGGAAGTGTTCATCTGTCATCCAGCTGACTGCCACCTCATGGTTTTGGGTCAGCCACCCTTGCTCAAAGTAAGTTGGGGCCAGTGATAACATCTGCTCAGCTAAGCCTGGCCTGTCAGCCCTGGGGCAGTTCTCCAGCAGCATTCTGGTCAGCACAACCTCATCTTCCTTCACCTGGTCCCAAGAAGTCTTCCGGGTGATACCAGGGTGAAGTGAGAAAAGGTCCCGAACACTTCCCTAGGATCCCTGTGAAGGTGGCCAAGTATATACCCCAAGCCAGTGCTGGGCGTAGGTCCAGTGTGCTCTGGCAGTGATGGAACCCTAGGAAATTGTGGAGGAAGGGTAGGCTCAGAGCAAGGGAAGCTGGGGTGGGGCACAGGGCAATGCAGTGCCCCTGGTTCAGGTGGAGGACAGACCTGTTTTCCAAGGCCCAATAAGGATCCATGTGATCTTTGAGTGTAGTGTGTATGTTGGTTGGTGATTGTTCCAAAGGTTCTTTGAGGTGATTTTCGGGGATCTCTGGCATATCCGTCAGGTTAAACTCCACAGTTTTCCTCCTCACTTGAGATACTTCTGGGTGCTCCATCAAGGCCCCATCGCTCTCTGAGAGCAATTCAAAACTTTTCTTGGCCCCAGAACTCACAGTCTTTAAGCTTTTGTCTTTGGTGTCTATGCCTGTGACACTGTGAAGCTTTGACGGCGCTGATGGTTCTAGGGGGAAGAACATGGGAGTGGGGCTGAGGGGCGTCTGTGGGGCACTGTAGTAGCCTGGCCTCTGATACAGTGGGGCAGACTTGAAGGCGTCCACAGCCTTAAGCTTCCAGGCCTTGTTGTCTTCCTGGCCCCTAACGTTCTGTTTGGCTGCCTTGTGGTTTTTGGGCAGGCCCTCGTGGAGAAGGGATTCCCTCTTGGGCCACAGTAGTTTGGTCCTTGAGTTTGCCCTGGGAGGATGGTGATCATGGGACTGCAGGCCTAGGAAGCGGCCAATGATGCCAGCGTGAGCATCCTCCTCGTCCTCCTGATTGGGCTGGAACTCCATCTCCTCTTTGTTCAGGCTGGAAAGAAACAGGAGATGCAGGGCTGAGCCAGTGGACAAAGGACCAACACCTGGCCTTACTTCTCCCTTACCCCCGCTCCTCTCTCTCAGTTGGCCCAAGCCAAGGCCACACCGTCTTCCTCACCATGCCCCAGCTCTCACCTCTCTCCTGATCTGTCCTGTACCTCCCGGTGATCCCTCCAGGCCCAGCTCACCTCACTGTTTGTTGATTCCCTCTTGACCAGAGTTAACATCCAACCCCCGCAACCACCCCGCCTGGCGTGTAAAGGCCTCCTCATCATTCACTTCCCCTGTAAAACCCCTCACTCCAGGCAGTCAGAAACACTGGTGCCCTGGCATGAGTGGTTCAGATGAGGCCCATGAGTGACTCTGGGCAATGCCAGGAATTTGTGGTTCCAACTGGGAGTGACATCCACAAAGAGAAATTTGACTTCCTAGCAACAGGCATCCCGGGAGCCCCAGACCTTTACCCTGCAAGGGAAAGCTTATCTACCAGAGAGTATGGCCTGCCCTTGCCCAAGTTCAGATTCTTCCCATGTTCCATGGCTCAGCTCCAGACCCAGCTGGAAGCCGCCTCCCAGGCAGACAAAGATGACTGTGTTCCATGTTCTGTCCCTTTTCTGGACATCCAGTACTTTGTACCTTGTATCCAGAGTTTGAGGCTTGGGTTTGAGCTCCCTCCATAAATTGTGCATTCCTTGGAGACAAGGTCTATGCTTTATCGTTCTGTTTTCAGCCCTCCCCACCCCTCAACAACCTTCAGCTGCTGGGGTACAGACCATGTAGGGCTCAAAGTCATCCTCCAGAAATGTTTCTGACCTAAGCAAGCCTCCAGCCTTCATTTGATCACCTTCCCAACCCTTCCTCACACTATCTATAGACTGTAGTTAAACTCGATTGCAGTCTAGTAGGATATTTGGTTCTTAAAAGAACAAGCAGCCAGGCACAGTGGCTCACACATGTAATCCCAGCACTTTGGGAGGCTGAGGAGGGTGGATCACCTGAGGTCAGGAGTTCGAGACCAGCCTGGCCAACATGGTGAAACTGTCTCTACTAAAAATACAAAAATTAGCCGGGCTTGGTGGCTGGCACCTATAATCCCAGCTACTCAGGAGGCTGAGGCAGGAGAATTGCTTGAATCTGGGAGGCGGAGGTTGCAGTGAGCCGAGATTATGCCACTGCACTCCAGCTCTGGGCAACAAGAGTGAAACTCCGTTTAAAAAAAAAAAAAGAAAAGAACAAGCGAGAACAGCACTGGATACCGTGGAAGAAACCCTTGAGTATGAACCCTGACATGTGCCCAACACTCTCCAAGGCACTTTCAACTCTGTTGTCCTGGGGAGAAAGGACCAGCTGGGATAGCCCTTCAGCCCACTGCAGCTCAAGAGGGATTCAGATGGAATCAGGGAAGTGGGACCATGTGGGGATAAGTCTGGCTGCTGTGGGTGGCCTGAGCCCTTTACTCGGTAGGACAAAGTCAATTCAGGAGGTACCTGTGATGGCCTGGCTGCCTGCTGGGACTTTGCTGCCCCTCCCCCATCCCAGGGAACCCCACTTCCACTTCCCATCCAAGCATCGTAGCTTATCAGAAAACATAGTTTTGACACCTATAATTCCAGCATTTTGGGAGGCCAAAGCGGGCAGATTACTGGTCAGGAGTTGGAGACCAGCCTGGCCAACATGGTGAAACCTCATCTCTACTAAAAGTACAAAAATTAGCCAGTTGTGGTTGTGGGCACCTGTAATCCCAGCTACTGGGGAGGCTGAAGCAGGAGAATCACTTGAACCCAGGAGGCGGAGGTTGCAGTGAGCCAAGATCACGCCACTGCGCTCCAACCTGGGCGACAGAGCGAGATACTGTCTCAAAAAGAAAAGAAAACATAGTTCTGGATGACAAGAGCCAGGTCCTAACGTTCCACTGCATCACTGATCACAGGCTGTCCTTCGAGTAGCAAATGCACCATTTGGTAGCTATGTGGCCTTGGACAACTTACTCTCTCTGAACCTGTACTTTAATTATCTGAAAACTTGGGATAACAAACCAGAATTATTGGGAGGAAAAAAATAGTTAATGTTTATAAAGAGCATAGTACAGTGCCTGACACTTACTGAAGCAACCTGTATGCATTAACTAGTGCTATTCTAAGTTCCTAGGCAGACCCCTGCACTAGGAGGGGCTTCCCACCCAGCCCCCTGGCTCTGGCCACACCTGATGTTGAAGGTGGAGCCCATAAAGGAGGCTCGACGGAACTGGGCGGAAGCAGCTGTGTAGGGGGGCTGTGGCTCGGGCTTATTCCAGTACATGTCCGGCTCCATCCGAGGCAGGTCCTGGTGCATCTCATCCACAGCCAACAGGGACACCTGGTCACCAGGGACAGAAGAAGTCCCACAGAAAGATCATCCCAGGCAGGACCTTGTATGTGCCTGATGACTTGGAGGAATCTCTCCCTCTCTCTGGACCTCAGTTTCCCTGCCTGTGAAATGGGGAGATGGGTGCCTGCCTGCAGCCTCAAAGATTGAGGTGAGAATCCTGTGAGTGAATGACTGGCTGCAGGAGGGAGGAGGGGAAGGGTTGATCATTCACTGTGAGGCCTCCCTACAGAACAGTGGGGTCCTCTCTTTGGGTCCACTTTGGGGAAGGTCCATGGTATGGTTTCTCTCCCTCTCCCCATACCTGCAAATTCCTGTCGACAATCCAGTTGGTCTCAAAATCATCATCATCCTCTCCAAAGGGGTTGATGAGCTGCTCTGCCACCTTGGGGACAGGTGAGGCTCTGTAAACCCTCAGGCAGAACTCCTCAAAGCCAGCTTCCCCCTTTAAACCTCAGCTGCTGCTATTTCCACACCCCATGACGCCCTTCCTGCCTGACCACTGTCTTCAAAGGCAGAGTTTAGGGCTCCAGCCCCCCACACTTGTGGGCACCCACACACTTCTGGACACAGCCCCTCTAACTCTTCTGAGCCAGTCCTTCCCTGAACACCCACAGCTGTCCCTGAGTGTATCACTCGGCTGAGTCACTGCCTTTATCTCACCTCATGTATCTTACCTGGAGTTGCATAATTTTATTCATTCATGCAACAGAGATATATACTGAAGCTGGGCTGAACTAAAGGGCAGTCTAGGTGGGCAGATTCCTGGATAGCAACCTCTAAAATGCCCTAACAAAGCCCCGAAGAGGTGACACGCGTCTGCCTTAGGGGTCCAGGGGACATCTTGCAGGCCACTGGGGCACCCCGGAGAATTTCAAGCATAAAAGTGTGATTTGTTTTGATCTGCAGAAACCAAAGATAACTGGGGGGGCAGGGGGAATTTAGAGGAATAGGAATGCGTGTGTGTGTGTGTGTATGTGTGTGTGTGTGTGTGTGTGTGTGTGTGTGTCACAGTGACAGGAAGGGCAGAGACAGAGACTTACACCCCCATTACCAAAAAATAAAGGAAGGTAGGAAGGGAGAGAGAGTGGGTGGGCAACAGAAGGAAGGAAAGATAAAGAGGTGGAGAGAAAACTGTGTGATTCAGAACATCTGTTCGGAGTATTGGCTGTGGTGGGAGGGAATACCTGGACAAGCCACTTGAGGTGAGGAACAAGACAGCCCAACAGGCATCTTGAATAAGGAGAGGTGGTGCCGATCTGCCTTCTAAAGGGCAGGGGCTTCTGAACCTTAGGGCTTTGTTTTGTTGTTGTTGTTGTTTTTGAGATAGAGTTTCATTCTTTTGCCCAGGCTGGAGTGCAGTGGCACGATCTCAACTCACCACAACCTCCGCCTCCCGGGTTCAAGCGATTCTCCTGCCTCAGCCTCCCGAGTAGCTGGGATTACAGGTGTGCGCCACCACGCCTGGCTGCTTTCTACCCGTGAGACCTTCCTTTCCTGACACTGCATCCTCGTCTCAGGCAGCTGCTGGCCATGACCCCTCTGGCCATGCCTCCAGCCCAGCAGGGCCCTGGAGAGGCCCACCTTCAGCCAGCCAACATAGAAGAAGAACTGCAGGAACGTGAAGACGGGCACAACGAGGTCCAGCTCATGGCCAGGGTAGGCCTTGGCTGGGTTCAGAAACTGCCGCCCAACTAGACAAGTCAGGAAGAAGCTGTACACCGCCACAGTCACCACCTGGGAGGAGGAGGAGGATGTGGTAGCAAAGGGCTAGGTGGGAACCCTGAAATCAGGATGCTCCAGGGGCTGGGAGTCTGAGACAGGAGACCAAGGCCTTGTTCTGACTTGCACACTTATGTGACTTAGGGGCTCTGTTAACCCCTTTGTTTGTTTGTTTGTTTGTTTGTTTGAGACAGAGTCTTGCTGTGTCGCCCAGGCTGGAGTGCAGTGGCATGATCTCAGCTCACTGCAACCTCCACCTCCCGGGTTCAAGCGATTCTCCTGCCTCAGCCTCCCAAGTAGCTGGGATTACAGGCGTGCACCACCACACAGCTAATTCTGTATTTTCAGTAGAGATGGGGTTTCACCATGTTGGCCAGGCTGGTCTCGAACTCCTGACCTCAGGTGATCCACCTGCCTCAGCTTCCCAAAGTGCTGGGATTACAGGCATGAGCCACTGCACCCGGCCAACCTCTCTTTAATATGGGGATAATCACATTGCCTCTACTGGACTGGGCCAGGCAGGAGCCTGGACTCTTAGAACTTGGCACTTCAAAGTCCAGACCCAACTTCAAAGTGTGGACCCAACTCCCAGGGGAGCCACTTAGCCTCTAGGTGAGCCCTTCCCACCCCAGCTGCTTCCTTGGTCCTTCTAGCCTCAGTTTCCCAAAAGGGCAGCCTCACCAGCCTAGTCCTCACCTGTGTATACACCAGTGGGATACTAATCCAGTCGTAGGCATACAGGTGTCCACACTGAGTACGCAAGGTGTTCATCTCCTGGGGGGCAGAAGAGGGGGATGGGGTTCTGAACACCACCTGCCCCCACCCTGGGCTCGCCCCCACCTCTTCTCCAGGTACCAGGGCCTGGTACCTATGGTCCATTCCTGGCTGTGTGGCCATGGGAAGCTCACTAAACCTCTTTGTGTCTCAGCTTCCTCATCTATCAAAAGGGAACCAGGACCTCACAGACTTGGAGAAGAGGGAGGGGCCTCTGAGAAGGGACCACCTCGGGCTGTGGATTGCTGTTGGAAAAGATTCTGCAACCCCACCTCAGGCTCTCGGAAGACCCTCAGGGGCCCAAGGCTTCTCTTTGTAGGAAACCTTGTTTCCTGTGGACCACAGCCCTTCCCACTCTGCGGCAGCCCTGTCTGTACAGTGGGCTCACGTTCAGCAGGCTCTGGAGCAGGATAGGGTCCCGGATTCGACCTCCAAGCCACGCCTTCATTGACAGGTTGGCAAACCACACCCAGGGCACCCAGAACATGTTGTGTGGTAGGCTCAGTTTCTCCAACTGCTTGTGTTCTGCCGGAGTCATAAAGCCTGCAGAGTGGAGTGAAGAAGGCGGTGGGTGGGAGAACCTGCAGAAGGGATGGCCGGCACCTGCTGACCTATAGGAACCTCAGCACTCCTTTGCCATCCTCTTTCTTTCAACAACAAAAAAATTTCTGAGCACCTACTAGGTGCTGTTCTGGGCTGAGCATGTGGGCAGGGTATTTATTTATTTCCAGAGAAAGGGTCTGGCTCTGTCACCGAGGTTGGAGTGCAGCGGTGCGATCTTAGCGCACTGCAGCCTGGAACTGCTGGGCTCAAGTGATCCTCCTGCCTCAGCCTCCCGATACTCAGCCTCAGACTGCAGGCACACGCCACCATGCCCTGCTAATTTTTAATGTTTTTGTAGAGATGGGGGTCTCGCTATGTTGCTCAGGGGCGTCTCAAACAGCTGGGCTCAAGCGATCTTCCCACCTTTGCCTCCTAAAGCACTGGGATTACAGGCGACAGCCACCACGCCTAGCCTGGGTCTGTCTTATTAACCAGGACCAGGTCAGGCCAGGCTGAGGGGGTGTCAGAGACCAATGTCCCATACCTCCAGAGTGGAAACCGGAGATCAAGAGGGGCAAGGGCAGAGGGAAGTAGACCCTAGTACCTCACCAGTTCCCAAGCCGTCACCCTTCTTTCCATTATCCCTCAAGGGTCCTTAGCCCTGCCTCAGACTCCTACTCTCGGAGGGTGGGCTCCTGGCCTCGCCCCACCTTCAGACACCCGACTCTGTCCCGCCCAATTGGACCCCCAAATCTTGACTACACCCCACTCCTGGCTCCACCCAATCCCCCGAGTCCGGGGGACTTTGGCTCCACCCATCTTCCATTCCTGCCGCGCCCATCTCGGCCCCTGGCTCTGCCCGGTGCCTCCCCGTTGCTCCCGGTCCGCCCACCTGCTTGCACCAGGTGCTGGGCGCTGGGGAAGCGCTTGTAGACTGCGGTGCTGACGCTGCGCAGGATGAGCACGTTGCCCAGGTTGGCGTAGCGGATGAGCGTGCGCCGCAGCAGCCGGCCTTGCTCGTCCTTGCCTTCGACGAAGCCCGACACCAGGCTCATGAGGCGGTCGGGCCACGGCAGGTTCTCGTACTGGTTCCACCAGCGGGTCACGACCAGCGTCACGTAGAAGCCTGGGCAGGAGGGGCGGGGGGCGAGGGGCGAGGGGCCAGGCTGCGGCCAGAGCCCAGGGCCCAGCGCCCGGCGATGCCTCGGCTCCTCCAGCTTTCTGCTGCGAGCGGGCCTAGCCCCCAGCCCTCCTGGAAGGCGCTCGGGAGCGAGAGGCAGGCAGAGCCTCGCATGGAGGCGCGAGAGCCCCAAGGGTTCTGTCACCCGGGGGTCCCCCTGCTGGTCCCAGAAATCCGCCAGACCCCCTCCCCTCCCGCGCAGGGGCTCCAGGGACCATGATGTCAGCGCTTCCCTCAGAAAATGGGGTTTTCATTGCTAACGGCAGGACGTCTTACCTAACGTCTAACTTCAGTTTCACTGGCTGCAGTCCGCACCTTTCCCTACAGAGAGGCGCCGACCTGCCGCTGGCGTTCCCCCGCCCCCTCCCCAGCCCCTTGCCGCAGCTCCTCGTGATCCTCCCCTGGCCTGTCTGGAGCCTGGGCGGCCACAGGGACCCGGAACAGCCAGAAGGGGGAACTCACCCAGCACGAAGGAAATGGGGATGAGCTGGATGTAGCTGTCGCAATACAGAGTCAGTTTCTCAAACATCAGCTGTTGTTCTTCCGTGAGGGCCAGCCTGGGGGTGGGGGTGGGGGTGGAATTGTGTGGACGCAGCGAGGAGATGGCTGAGACTGTCCCCAGGTCTAGCCCGGCCCTGGGTAGGAGTGGGACTGCCTCGATGCTATCCCACATTTTCCCCAGCCCAGGGCCCCTCCTGAGGCCTGAGCCAGGTCCATGATGCTCCTTGTACAGCCCCAAACCCGGACAGGAGGAGGCCCCCTCCAGTGGTTTCTTGTGGGGAGAATCCTCACACTGGCCACTGGGAGATGTGTAGGAAGGAAGGTCCTGCTGCAGAGGCCAGTTTCAGACACCCTGATCCTTTGAATGCAGCCAAGGGTCAGTTGTTTAAAAGCAGGTCGAAACAGAGTGTTTGGGACGGGCACGGTGGTTCACGCCTGTAATCCCAGAGCTCTGGGAGGCTAAGGCAGGACCAAGAGTTCAAGACCAGCCTGGGCAACATAGCAAGACCCTATCTCTACAAAAAATTAGTTGGGTGCCGTTGCCGTATGCCTGCAGTCGTAGCCACTGGAGGCTGAGATAGGAGGATCACTTCAGCCCAGGAGTTGGAGGCTGCAATGGGCTGTGATTGCCATTGCACTTCAGCCTGGGTGACAGAGCGAGACACTGTCTCTAAAAAGAAAAAAAGAAACAGAGTGTTTGGCTTTAATGAGAGGGGTGAATAGGCAGAGGATTTTGTTAGAGCAGTGAAACTACTCTGCCTGATGCTGTGATGGTGGAGACATCATTACACATTTATCCAAACCCATGGAATGTACAGCCCAAGAGTGAACCCTGCTGTACGCTATGAACTTTGGGTGATAGTGATGTGTCACTGTGGGTTCAGGGATTGTAATAAATCTACCACTGTAGTGTGGGGGTGTTGATAGTGGGGAGGCTGGGGGCAGGGGGAGGAGCAAAGAGACACATGAGAACTCTACCTTCTGCTCAATTTTGCTGTGAACCTAAAACTACTCTAAAAAATGAAGTCTGACTCTTTTTCAGCATGCATTAGTGCCCAAGTAAAAACCAAAGACCAATGTGCTTTGTATTTGGTATTAGGAGGAACTTAAGAATTTTATGTATTTGATGTTTTATAATCCATTGTAGTCATTAGTGCTTTTTCAATTTAAAATGCTATCATATATTCGGTGATTATATCTGTCCTTTATTTTATTGTTTAGATAAATGTTTTTGGTTTATTGGTTTTTGTTTGTTTGTTTGTTTGTTTGTTTGTTTTGAGATAGGGTCTTGCTCTGTTACCCAGGCTCAAGGGCAGTGGCACAGTCATGACTCACTGCAGCCTCAACCTCCTGGGCTCAAGCAATCCTCCCGCTTCAGCCTCCTGAGGAGCTGGGTGGGACTACAGGCATAAGCCACCATGCCCAGATCATTTTTTGATTTTTATTTTATTTTTAGACGGAGTCTCACTCTGTCACCTAGGCTGGAGTGCAATGGCATGGTCTCGGCTCACTGCAACCTCTGCCTCCCGGGCTCAAGCGATTCTCCGGCCTCATCCTCCTGAGTAGCTGGAACTACAGGTGCGTGCCACCCCACTCGGCTAATTTTTGTATTTTTAGTAGAGATTGGGTTCACTATGTTGGCCAGGCTGGTCTTGAACTCCTGACCTCATGATCCACCCGCCTCGGCCTCCCAAAGTGCTGGGATTACGGGTGTAAGCCAAAGGGCCTAGCCAATTTTTTAATTTTTTATAGAGACAGGATCAGGATCTCCCTATGTTGCTCAGGTCCTAAACTCCTGGGCTCAAGTGATCCTCCTGCCTTGGCCTCCCAAAGTGCTGGGATTACAGGTGTGAGCCCCTGTGGCTGGCCCTAACTTTTTTTAAAGTACCTTGGTGCCCTAGTAAAAACCAAATGTGCCTTGTTGCTAGCATTATTAAGAACACAAGAATTTCATGTATTTGATATTTTACAATCCATGTAATCATTAATGCTTTTTCAATTTAAAATGCTATCATATATTCTGTGATTATATTTTATTGTTTAGATAAACATTATTTTGTTTGCTTTTGAGATAGCCTGTCACTCAGGCTGAAGTGCAGTGGTGTGATCATAGCTCACTGCAGCCTCGACCTCACAGGCTTCAGCCATCCCCACACCTCAGCTTCCCAAGTAGCTGGGACCACAGGCAAATGCCACCACTCCCAGCTAATTTTTTAAATTTTTGGTAGAGACGGGGTCTCACTATGTTGCCCACGCTGAACTCCCAGGCTCAAGTGATCCCCGCACCTTGGCCCCTCAAAGTGCTGGGATTACAGACGCGAGTCACTGCTACTGGCCTTAGATAAACATTTTAATTAAAAAATAATTTTAAAAAATGTACCATGTGGGCTGTGCATGGTGGCTGACACCTGTAATCCCAGCACTTTGGGAGGCCGAGGTGGGTGGATCACTTGAGGTCAGGGGTTCAAGACCAGCCTGGCCAACATGATGAAACCCTGTCTCTACTAAAAATACAGAAAAAAAAAAAAATTAGCCAGGCGTGGTGGTGTGTGCCTATAATTCCAGCTACTCAGGAGGCTAAGGCAGGAGAATCGCTTGCACCTGGGAGGCAGAGGTTACAGTGAGCCAAGATTGCCCCCACTGCACTCCAGCCTGGGTGATGGAGTGAAACCCTGTCTCAAAAAAAAAAAAAAAAAAAAAAAAGTACCATGTGGTTGGTCAAGTGCAGTAGCTCACACCTGTAATCCCAGCCCCTTGGGAGGCTAAGGCAGGGGGATTGCTTGAGCCTAGGAGTTCGAGACCAGCCTGGACAACACAGTGAGACTCCATCTCTCTCTCTCTCTCTCTCTCTCTCTCTCTTTTTTAATGTACTATGTGGGCCTATGAGTCTGTGTGGGATTCAGTAAAACAGGCCAGTTGAGTGGGGCCAGACAAAGCCTGGGCTCCAGGGGTCCTCCTGGGGTTGGAGGAAGGGTGGCTAAAACCCTGCTGGCCTGGCTTGAGCAGCCTCTCAGTCTGACTTCTTTTCTCTCCCCAGCCCCCAGCCCCAGCCTCAGCTCCAGTGCCCAGGACCTGGTCAGGAGCTCAGCTTAGTCTTGTAGTGAACTGGTACACTGGCCCCTGAGCTGGCTGGGAGGCCCCCAGGAGCTCCCAGCCCCAGCCACATCCTTCCCAGGCCCCCCGGCCCAGCCCTGCCAGCTTTACCTATAAATAAAGCGGATGATGTAGTAGCAGAGCAGGAAGATTAAGAACTCGCCATATAGCAGCTTGTAGATGCTGCCCCGCCAGCACAGCAGCAGGCGGGAGAAGGAGCCTAAGCGGGCATTAGCCACTTGGCTTGTGTAAGTGATGGTCATGGCCAGGCAGTGGGCTGCAGCAGGTGGGCTTGGGTCCTGGTAGAGAGGGACACCGATTGGGGGTTTGTAGGGATCAGAGGCCCTGGTCAGAGCCTGTCAGGACCCTTCCCTGCTCTGGACCTCAACTCTCCCATAGGGACCCTAGGAGGTGGATGAAGTGGTCTCCAAGGCCCTGCCAGTTCTGACTGCCTTTTGGAAGTAGAAACGCAAGAAAGTGAGCCCAGAGGCTGCCCTTTGCTTTGGCAGGGAAGACGTAGATAGGCGTGTGCATTGCCATGTGCCTTTAACTTTCTATAATCACTGGGCGCAGTGGCTCATGCCTATAATCCCAGCACTTTGGGAAGTCGAGGCAGGTGGATCACCTAAGGTCAGGAGTTCGAGACCAGCCTGGCCAACATGGTGAAACCCTGTCTCTACTAAAAATACAAAAAAATTATCCAGGCGTGGTGCGGGTGCCTGTAATCCCAGCTACTCAGGAGGCTGAGGCAGGAGAATCGCTTGAACCCAGGAGGTGGAGGTTGCAGTGAGCTGAGATCACGCCATTGCACTCCAGCCTGGGTAAGAAGAGCAAAACTCTGTCTAAAAATAAATAAATAAATAAATAAATAATACAATGACAAAGGCAGTAACAGCAGCAATGTCTACACACTAAGCTCAGGTCCTCTGGGCTAGGCAGTGTTCTCAGCCCATCTTGTTCGTTAGCTCCCAAGCTCTCTCAACCACCCTAGTGTGAGAAGTATGGAAGGGACCAGGCAGCCCTGTCCACCACCATATTCCCATTCCCATAATGGAACCTAGCTGGTAGAGATGCTCAAATGATGTTTACTGAATGGTGGCTCCAGGGCCTTTCCACCTGCTGATCTTCCTGCCTGGAGGAAGCTCTTCCTGAGATACCTGCATGGTTCCTTCCCACTCCAGGTTCCCTTTAGAAAGGATGTTCCCAACCATCCAACCTGGAAATAGAGCCCCACTGCCACCGGTGCTCTGTGTCTCCTCACCTTGCTTGATATTTCTAGAGAGCACTTATCACTACTTGAAATTATACAGGATATCTGCCTGTTTCCTGCCTGTTTCCTCCTCAGAATGGAAGCTCCTCTTGTGTTCTCGTAGAAGGCGCTCAATAAAAATTTACTGAAGCAGTGATTGATGCCCCCTCCATTCTTTCCCTGTGTGTTTTGCTGCAGCCACACTGGCTGGCTGTGCCTGATGCACACCAAGCTCATTCCCACCTCAGGGCATTTGCACAGACACACAGGTGCCCACACACCTGCGCATGTGCTGCCTGTGTGTGCATATCCCACACAAATACGCAAGATGGCCATCCAACCCTGAAGGCCTCAAAGCCCCAGCCCAGTCCACCTGGGGCACCTTGTACTCACAGGTGGGGTTCCAGGTGGGTCCGATGATCCCACAGAAGGTCTGGCGACTAGGCTGGTGGGACTCCCTGGGACTCTGTGGCCAGTGCCCCTGCCCACTCTTAGAGGCTGGCACTGCCCACGTGAGTGCTGAGCCGCCGTCACTTGACTCCCTAAGCCAGGACCTCCACAAAGGAGTCCTTGTCTTAGTCCCTTCTTGTAATCTGCTCAGAAGCAACGGCTAGCACAGCCTGGCCATGGCCCCTCTAATTTCTTCTTGGAGGGTGTTGGGCTGAGACCAGGGCTGGAATTTAGGGCAACACCCCCTCTACCATGGCCCTAAAATCCAGAGGCTAAAGGATCTGCTCCACCAGTGTTCTGACCCCTGAGGCCTTGCAGAGAGAGTTGGGGGTTAGGGGGCTGTGCTGAGCTTCAACTTCTGTGCCAGGAACTCTCCAGGAAGGAGGAGCCTCTGACTAGGCCCTGGGGTCTTTGACAGCCCTGTGGGCTATGGAAAGAATGAATACCGGGCTGCAGTCAACAGTCCTGGTTTCTGGTCCCAGCCTTGCCACCTGTGTGTGGTGACCCCGGGTAGGTTTCAGCTCCTCTCTCAGCCTCAGTGCCCTTATCTGAAAAGGATGGTGTTGCTTGGGAATTTCATCACCCTAGTAAAATGACAGAATTCTGCATATGCTGACGAGGAGCTCTGATTGGCTGCTGGTGACATCATACGTTATTCTGGCTGTGATTGGCTGGCAGGGCCCATCAGTAAGTTGCTTCAGAGAGATGGAAGGAGAAGCCTGCCGGGGCTGGTGGAGGGGGGTGAGTCTGGTGGGGGTTGACAGAACAGCCCTGGAGTTTATGCTGCTGGCTTCCAGCCAGCCAGTGCAATATGGGAATAAATGCCCAGATCCCCACGGGCAGCTGGTGAAAATCTCAGCATGTGATTCAATAAATTTTAATACATCAATCCATACTCAAGGGCTCTCCTAAGCTGTTGGAAGTGGTGGGTGTCTACCTACACACTCCTCTTGTATTGTTCAATGAAGAGAGCAGAGCTCTAGGCAGCAGTGGTTCTTGGTCTTTAGAGGCCGTAAGAATCGCCCAAATGTTTATTAAACGGGCAGTTTTCTGGATCTTTCTCCAGAGTCTGAGTCTGTGGCCTTAGGGATGTTGCATTTTAATCAAGCACTGCAGGGGATTATGAGATGTGTGGTTTTGGGACTAAACTTCCAGAAGCCCTGATTTTATAATATGACCTTGTGTCTTAAACCCACTCTCATCCTCCCTTTCCTGTCACCCTCTCTCTCTGAAATGTACTAAGCGTTAACTATGCTGAGATTGCAGGTGATTTTTCTACACACCACTTTTTTTTTCACTTTAAGTTCTGGGATACGTGTGCAGAATGTACAGGTTTGTTACATAGGTATACATGATGTGCAGGTTTGTTACATAGGTATACGTGTGCCATGGTGGTTTGCTGCACCTGTCAACCCATCATCTAGGTTTTAAGCCTTGCGTGCATTAGGTATTTGTCCTAATGCTCTCCCTCCCCTTGTCCCCCACCCCCACACACCATTTTTGCCTTTATATAATTATCTGCCTAGAAAAAAAAACACTATTTCGCAATGACCTTGAATACTTTTCTAATCATGGCAAACAATAAAGCTGTTGTTATTATAAGACTCTCTTTAGAGGCAGCCTTGTAGGAGTATTTACTGCCTCCCCGCTGCCCCATCGCTGTCCTCAACTGATATGGGGAAAGAAGCAGGTTCACTTCAGCCTCAGTCTCCTCATATGCAAAATGGGACAACGATGCCTACCTTGGCAGCCGAATGAGAATGATGGATGGGACATGTGTCCGTCAACTCTCCAAACCACTGGTGCCTGTGCCTGACCCCTACGAATTCTGATTTGATTGGTCTGGATGGACCCCAGGTGTTGGGATTGTTCAAGTTCTCCAGGTGATTCTGATTTTATGGCCTGTGCTGAGTCATTGCTTAATGGATTATTTCCCTATCCTGTATTCCCTTCCCAACCAACACATCCTGAAACTCAAGAGCTTTCCATTTAGAAGATGATAAATATATATTATATATATTTATATATTAACATATGTAAATATGTATTAATATGTCTATAATATTACAAATATATTTGTATGTACACATATATTTATACATATAAATATATAAGTAAATATATAACTATATTTTTGAGACAAGGTCACCCAGGCTGGAGTGCAATGGGTGTGATTTTGGCTCATTGCAACCTCCACTTCCCAGGCTCAAGCAATCCTCCCATCTCAGCCTCCCAAGTCGCTGGGACTACAGACGCACACCACCACACCCAGCTATTTTTTTTTTTTTTATAGAGATAGGGTCTCACTACATTACCCAGGCTGGTATTGAGCTCTAAGTTCAAGCAGTCCTCCCACCTAGGCCTCCCAAAGTGGTGGGATTACAGGAGTGAGCCGCCACACTCGGCCAATAAGTATGTTTTAACTAAAGTTAACACACATGCCTGGCACCATGCCTGGAACATTGATGCTCATTCTGTACTCTCTGAAGGAATAAATGAAAATCCTGCCTTTGTGGAGACAAGTTCTTGCCTTCCCTGTGGTGGCCACTAGAGAGCGTGCTTGACTAGCTGGCTCTGGCTGGGGAAGCCTGGTTCACTGGTCAGGATCAGTGCAGACCACGGAGCTGGCACTGCTTCATCTCCCTGACCCCGACCAGCAGCCATAGAGCCATGAGAGGGAGTTGGAGACACTAGAGTCCCTCCTCCCTGTTCCCTGAACCGCAGGCTCCTTGGCAATATCCCAGGAGTACCACCAGGACCATAGACAGTGCATGGCCAGTCTCCCTTCCCCTCCCAGAGGCCCCAGCATGTCCCCAGAGACATCCCATGAGCAGCTGCTCCTGGCCCTGCCCCAGAGCTGAGACAGGCACACCCTGGCACAAGTCATGGTCTCTCCTACTGGGTCTCAGCTATGAAAATGTCCCCAGTTAGCCAGGCACGGCTCAGGCACACAGCAAAGTCATGAGTGCTGATTGACCCAAGCCATGCCTGGAACAAGAGTCCCAGGATTGACCCCTGCAGAGATGGCACCCAACCCAGTCAAGGTCGCCCTCTTCTGCTTTCCGTTCCGCAAAGAAAATATTCGCCAAACCATTTCTCCTTCCAGAACTGAGCCTAATCTGATTCCTGCCTGTACGTATTCATAGTCAAAAAATTTGGAAACACTTAAATAACAACTCTAACACAGAATGGCAAGGCCTAAGATCTGTGCCAAGTGCACAGAGGTCAGGGAAATTTTTACAGACAATGGGGCATTTCGGTTGGGTCTTGAAGCATGA
The DNA here is from genome assembly GCF_000001405.40 of Homo sapiens. Lineage (NCBI taxonomy): Eukaryota > Metazoa > Chordata > Mammalia > Primates > Hominidae > Homo > Homo sapiens. The sequence goes on along the minus strand of NC_000011.10, from coordinate 61,947,092 downwards.
GTAGGAGTTCATGGAGCTGAGAAGAATGGAAGAGCATTACACATCAGGGGAACAACCTACGGAAAGTCATAGAGCTATTCCTGAAGGATGATTCAGTATCGCATGTTTATCCACATTTTACAAAGGAGGACACTGAAGCTCAAGGCCTGCCTTGTCCAAGGTCACACAGCTATAAATGGCTTGAGACTAGGATCTAGGTCTTTTGATTTTGGATCCTGAGCCCTTTCCCACTATCAGCTCTACAGTAAAGGTCAGTTTCTGAGAGGTAGAGTCTTACCTGCTAGGGTAGTGGTCTCTCTTGGGGTTGAAGGGAGGTCCAAAGGATGGGGCCTGCATGAAAGATACTTTTTTTTTTTTTTTGAGACGGAGTCTCGCTTTGTTACCCAGGCTGGAGTGCAGTGGCATGATCTTGGCTCACTGCAACATCTGCCTCCTGGGTTCAAGTGATTTCCGGCTAAGTATTGTATTTTTAGTAGAGATGGGGTTTCACCATGTTGGCCAGGTTGGTCTTGAACTCCTGACCTCAAGTAATTCACCCGCCTCGGCCTCCCAAAGTGCTAGGATTGCAGGCATGAGCCACTGTGCCTGGCCGCATGGAAGAAACTTTGACTGCAGCAGATTCCAAGCTCTCGAGCTCCCCAGCAGAGAGCCATCTCTTGGGGCAGCAGGGCAGAGCTGGGGAGATGCGCGGGGGTGCCAGACACAGAATGCTATGGCCTTCTCATCTAGAATTACCATAGCAACAGGAGCATCACAGAGGGCCTGCCTCGGTGCCCTTCTAGGCCCTGCCTCAGCTGGGCAGGAAGAAGGAGACCCAGCTTGGCTGGGGGCAGTAGGCAGGGGGCCCCGGGGTAAGTCAGCCAGGCCTGGATGCTGCCTCCAGGCTTTATGTGGGACACCTGCCAGCCCACACCCCTCTCTTGGGCCAGTCACAGAACAAATAGGGCAGAGGCCAAGAAAGAAAAGGAGGGGGCTTGGCATAGCTGGACAGGGGTGCTGGGGGACACTGCCAGTCCAGGGCCCGGAAGCCAGACAGACAACAGCACCTCCACCCTGAGCTCAGGCAGCCCTGATCCCTGAAGGACGGAGTAAACTCAACATTCAAAGAGATAGAAACATAAGCCCTGGGCACCACAGAAAGACGACAGAAACCAGGAGAGGCTGGGATACACCTAGGTCCAACTTCATCAAACCCAGTCCTGCCCATGACAACGGAATAGCATGGAATAGACCAGAGCTGGACCAACTAGAGACACAAGGCAAGAGGATCCACTGTGCTGCGAGGTCCCCCATGGACTCTGCCAGGCTGCAGTCGGCCAGGTGAGGCACTGACCACTATCCACCTTCCACCCACCCCCACCCCTCCAGCTCAGAACTGGGGCTCGTGGCAGGTGGGTAGCGGAAAGGACATCATGGGTCAGGCTTCTCCTAGACAACTGTGCAGGGCCTGGATGCTGTCAAAGGTTCACACCCAGTGAGTAGCCTCAGTGTCTTCAGCTCAAATGGGCATGTTGAGTTTGACGTGCTGTGAAAGAATGGTAAGTTTCTAGTCCAGCTGCTCATTTTGCAGACAAAGAAACTGAGGCACAGAGAAGGAAAATGACTTGCCTGAAGTCACAGTAGGCCGCCTGTCTAGGTGAGTGCAGCAACTCCCCGCTGCCCCAGGATGCTCCTGCGGTTCGCTTCCACGGCGAGCACTGAATGCCGACCGACCGTGTTTAGCGCTGCGGTGGCCACTGTGAGAGGGAAAGAATAGTAGAAACAATCAGTTCTCCCCATCTTGACCACTTACCAGGTGTCAGGCAGTGCACTAAGCGCTCTTTAGAAATGTCATCTACTCATCAAAACAACCCCTGGGGAAGAGGAAGGGTCATCCATCTGTCAGGTGGATGGATGTTGGAGAGGACGGCACAAGGGTAGGCTAGATGAGGAGTAAGCCACATTGGCCCCTATCTGTCAGGTCAATGGGCTGACGGCAGGCTGCCTTAGCTGCCTTTCCCTGCCTCAGATGCAGACTGGCTGGGCTTCCACAGCTACAGCCTTCTCCACCCATGCTAGGGCTACCAGACTTAGCCAATAAAACTACAGGCCAGGCCAGGTGTGGTGGCTCCTACCTGTAATCCCAGCACTTTGGGAGGCTGAGGCGGGTGAATCACGGGAGGTCAGGAATTCAAGACCAGCCTGGCCAACATGGCAAAATCCCGTCTCTACTAAAAATACAAAGATAAGTAGCCAGGCATGGTGGCGCATGCCTGTAATCCCAGCTACTCGGGGAGGCTGAGGCAGGAGAATCACTTGAACCCGGGAGACAGAGGTTGCAGTGAGCCAAGATTGCACCATTGTACTCCAGCCTGGTTGACAAGAGCGAAACTCCGTGTCCAAAACAAAAACAAACATTAGATGACATCCTGGCAAAACAACTACAGGACAGTCAGGCAAATAAGAACTTCAGATAGAAAAGTGAATAATTTTTAGTGTAAATATGTCCCGGGGGAGGGGCCCGGGAGCATCGTCCTTTTTTCTGTGGTCCCTCTGCTTTGCTGATTTGCTTAATTGGTCCATTCCTTCCTGCTGCTGACTTCTAGAACCTGGCTTCTCAAACTGAGGTCTGGGGCCCAGTTACATCATTTGGAAGCTTGTTACCAATGCAGAATCTGCCCTGGTGCAGTGGCTCACACATACAATCCCTACATTTTGGGAGGCTGAGGTCGGATGATTGCTTGAGCCCAGGAGTTTGAGGCTGCAGTGAGCTATGATCACACCAGCTCAGAACTGCAGTCCAGACTAGGTGACAGAGCAAGACCCTGTCTCAACAAAGGAGGGAAGGAAGGAAGGAAGGAAGGAAGGAAGGAAGGAAGGAAGGAAGGAAGGAGGGAAGGAAGGGAAGGAAAGGAAGGAAGGGAAGGAAGGGAAGGAGGTAGGGAGGACTCCATTCTGTAGGTCGTCTTTTTTACTTTGTTGAGGAGGTTCCTTGATGCACAAAAGTTTTTAATTTATTTTGAAGGAGGGAGGAAGGGAGGGGAGGGGAGGAAGATTCATGTATGCCTGCTTTATACAACTATAAGAGAGATTTAAGACTATTGCTTACAATTCAAAAGGACTAAATGCTTGTTATAAACAATTAGGAAACTACAGAGCAGTTTAAAACAAAACAAAACAAACTCCCAAACAAGGTTATCATTTTGATGTATTTCCTTCCAGTCTTTTTTTTATAATTTTAATATTGAGGGGCAATCCGTGTCCTGTAAAATTCACCTTTTCCACTTATGTATGTAGTGTTTACATATTTACTGATGCTAAAGCCATCCTAGTAGGTGTGCAGTAGTATCTCATTGTGGTTTTGATTCTCATTTCCCAGATGGCAAACGATGTTAAGTATCTTCTCATGTGCTTATTGGCTGTTTGTTTATCCTCATTGGAGAAATGTCTATCCAAGTCTTTTGCCCATTTTTTCAGTTGGATTGTTTGCCTTCTTGTTGTTGTTAGAATTATTTATATATTCTGGATACTAGACCATTATCAAGCACGTGATTTACAAATATTTTCTCCCATTCTGTAGATCATCTTTTTTACTTTCTTGAGGAGGTTCCTTGATGCATGAAAGTTTTTAATTCATTTTGAATTTTAAACATTAAAATTTTAATTTAGATAAATTTTGACACTGTCAAATCCAAGGTCATGAAGATTTACCCGTACGTTTTCTTCTAAAACTTCTATCGCTTTAGTTCTTACATTTAGGAATTTGACCTATTTTGAGTTAATTTTTATGTATCATTTGAGGTAAAGGTCCAACTTTCTTCTTTTGCATGTAGCTATCCAGGTGTCCATGTATATTTGTTGAAAAGCATATTCTTTCCTATTGACTTGTCTTGGCATACATGTTGAAAATCAATTGATAATACATATATGGGTTTATTTCTGGACTATCAATTCTATTGAGCTATATGTCACTTCAATATTTCATTGTTTTAATTATGTAGCTACGTAGAAATTTCGAAACCAGGAGTGTAAGTTCTCCAACTTTGTTCTTTTTCAAGATGGTTTTAGCTATTTGGGGTCCATTGCAATTCCATGTGAATTTTAGGATCGCCTTGCCCATTTCTGCAAAAAACGCAGTTGGAATTTTGATGGGGATTACACTGAGTCTGTAGATCACTTAGTCATCTTTACAACATCAAGTCTTCCAATCCATGAACATAGGATGTCTTTTCATTTATTTAGGTATTCTTTAGTTTCATTCACCACTGTCGTAGGGTTTTCAGTGTACAAGTCTTGCATCTTCTTGGTTAAAAATATTCCGAAGTCTCTTATTCTTTTTAATAAGAATAAAGTTCCATTTTGTAAATGGCATTATTTTCTTAATTTTATTTTCAGATTGTTTATTGCTAATGTATGGAAATACAGCTGATTTTTGTATATTAATCTTGTATCCTGTAACTTTGCTGAATTTATTTACTAGCTGTAATAGTTTTTGTGTGGATTCTTTAGGGTTTACTACATATAAGATCATGTCATAATTTGCCAGGTGCAGTGGTTCATGCATGTCATCCCAGCATTTGGGGAGACCAAGGAGGGAGAATTGTTTGAGCTCAGGTGTTTTTTGTTTGTTTGTTTGTTTGTTTTTTAATTTATTTTTTTATTGATAATTCTTGGGTGTTTCTCACAGAGGGGGATTTGGCAGGGTCATGGGACAATAGTGGAGGGAAGGTCAGCAGATAAACAAGTGAACAAAGGTCTCTGGTTTTCCTAGGCAGAGGACCCTGCGGCCTTCCACAGTGTTTGTGTCCCTGATTACTTGAGATTAGGGAGTGGTGATGACTCTTAACGATCATGCTGCCTTCAAGCATCTGTTTAACAAAGCACATCTTGTTTGTTTGTTTTGAGACGGAGTTTTGCTCTTGTTGCCTAGGCTGGAGTGCAGTGGTGCGATCATGGCTCACTGCAACCTCCATCTTCTGGTTTCAAGCGATTCTCCTGCCTCAGCCTCCCAAGTAGTTGGGATTACAGGAGCACGCCACCATGTCTGGCTAATTTTTGTATTTTTAGTAGAGGTGGGGTTTCACCATGCTGGCCAGGCTGGTCTCAAATTTCTGACCTCAAGTGATCTGCCCGCCTAGGCCTCACAACGTGCTAAGATTATAGGCATGAGCCACCATGCCTGGCCTTTACACTGATTTTCATATGTTCAACTACCTTGCTTGCATTCCCATGATAAATCCCACATGGACACGATGTATAATCTTTTTAACATGTTGCTGGATTGGATTTGCTAGTATTTGGTTGAGGATATTTGCATCTATATTCATAAGGGATATTGGTCCGTATATTCCTTCTTTTTTTTGAGACAGAGTCTTGCTCTGCTGCCCAGGCTGGAGTGCAGTGGTGCGATCTGGGCTCACTGCAAGCTCCGCCTCCTGGGTTCACGCCATTCTCCTGCCTCAGCTTCCCGAGTAGCTGGGACTACAGGTGCCTGCCACCACACCTGGCTAATTTTTTGTATTTTTAGTAGAGATGGGGTTTCACCACATTAGCCAGGATGGTCTCGATCTCCTGACCTCGTGATACACCTGCCTCAGCCTCCCAAATTGCTGGGATTACAGGCGTGAGCCACCACGCCCAGCCTGGTCTTTATATTTCTTTCCTTGTGAGATATTGTCTGGCTTTAGTTTTAGGATAATACTGGCACAAGAGAATGGGTTATGAAGTATATTCTTCTCTATTTTTTGGAACAGTTTGTGGATTGGCATTTATTCTTTATTTGCTCCTAATCGTTTCTCTATTGGAAGTTTTTTGATTACTGATTCAATCTTGTGTTTGAGGTCTATTCAAGTTTTCTGTTTCTTCTTGAGGAAGTTTTGGTTTCTAGGCATTTGTTCATTTAATCTAGGTTATCTAGTTTGTTGTCATACAATTTTTCATAGTGTTCTATAATTCTTTCTGTATCTGTAAGGTTGGTAGTAGTTTTTCTTTTTAAAATGTTTTATTTATTTTATTATTTATTTATAGAAACAGAATCTCACTTTATCACCCAGGCTGGAGTGCAGCTGTGTGATCATAGCTCACTGCTACCTTGAATTCCTAGGCTCAAGGGAGCCTCCTGCCTCAGCCTCCCAAGCAGCTGGGATTACAAGCACGTGCCACAGTGCCTGGCTAATTTTTACATTTTTTTTTTTGAGATGGAGTCTTGCTCTGTTGCCCAGGCTGGAGTGCAGTGGTGCATTCTCGGCTCACTGCAACCTCCACCTCCCGGGTTCAAGTCATTTTCCCACCTCAGCCTCCTGAGTAGCTGGGACTATAGGCAAGTGCCACCATGCCCCGCTAATTTTTGTATTTTTAGTAGAGACAAGGATTCACCATGTTGCCCAGGCTGGTCTCAAACCCCTGACAAGTGATCCGCCCACCTCGTCTTCCCGAAGTGCTGGGATTACAGGCGTGAGCCACCGCGCCCAGCCTAACTTTTAAACTTTTTGTAGAGATAGGGTCTCACCATCTTGCCCAGGCTGGTCTCGAACTCTTGGGCTCAAGGAATCCTCTCGCCTTGGCCTCCCAAAATGCCAGGATTACAGGCATAACCACTATGCCTGGCCACATTTTTATTTTTAATTTTTATTCATTCATTTATGTATTTACTTTTTTTTTTCTTTTTTTTTGAGACGGAGTTTCACCCTTGGTTGCCCAGGCTGGAATGCAATGGCATGATCTCGGCTCACCGCAACCTCCACCTCCCAGGTTCAAGTGATTCTCCTGCCTCAGCCTCCCGGGTAGCTGGGTTTACAGGCATGCGCCACTATGCCTGGCTAATTTTGTATTTTTAGTGGAGACAGGGTTTCTCCATGTTGGTCAGGCTGGTCTCGAACTCCCGACCTCAGGTGATCTGCCAGCCTCGGCCTCCCAAAGTGCTGGGATTACAGGCGTGAGCTACTGCACCCAGCCTATGTATTTACTTTAGAGACAGCATCTTGCTCTATCACCCAGGATGGAGAGAAGTGGTACGATCATAGCTCACTGCAGCTTTGAACTCCTGGGCTCAAGGCAATCCTCCTGCCTCAACCTCCCCAGTAGCTAGGACTACAGGCACGAGACACCATGTCCAGCTAGTAGTAATTTTTCTACTTTCGTTCCTTTTTTTTTTTTTGAGACAGAGTCTCACCCTGTTGCCCAGGCTGGAGTGCAGTGGCAAGATCATAGTTCACTGCAGCCTCAATCTCCTGGGCTCAAGTAATCCTCCTGCCTCAGCCTCTCAAATAACTGGGACTACAGACATGTGCCACCACACCTGGCTAATTTTTTAATATTTTATTTTTAGCAGAGACAAGGTTTCCTTATGTTGCCCAAGCCGGTCTTGAACTCCTGAGCTCAAACAATTCCCCCGCACTGGCCTCCAAAAGTGCTCAGATTACAGGCGTGAGCCACTCCAGCCTTATTCCTAACTTTAGTAATTTGAGTCTTCTTTTTTTTTTTTTGGTCAGTCTAAAGTTTCATCAATTTTCTTGATCTTTTTGAAGAATCAACTTTTGTTTTCATTGATTCTTTCTGTTGTTTTTCTCTTTTCTATTTCATTTATCTCCACTCTTAATTTTTATTCTTTCTTTTGCTTGCTTTGGGTTTAGTTTATTCTACTTTTTCTAGTTCCTTAAATTGGAAGTTTAGGTTATTAATTGGAGATCTTTCTTCTCTTTGATGTAGGTTTTTACAGCTATAAATTTCCCTTTGAGTACTGCTTTTGCTGTATTCGATAAGTTTTGGTATGCTGTATTTTCATTTTCATTCATCTCATCTAATTTCTCTTGTGATTTTTTCTTTGATCCGTGGGGCAGTTAAGAGTGTGTTGCTTAATTCCCACATATTTGTGAATTTTTCACTTTTAATTCTGTTATTTCTAATTTCATTCCTTTGTGGTTGGAAAGATAATTCATATGATTTCAATTCTTTAAAATTTATTAAGACTTATTTTGTGGTCTAACATATGGTCTATCCTGGGGAATGTTTTATGTGTACTTTGAGAAGAATGTATATTCTGCTATGGTTGGGTAGAGTTAGCACTGTTCAAGTCTTCTATGTCCTTATCTAGTGTGTAGTTCTAGCCATTATTGAAAGTGAAGTATTGACGTTTCCAACTATTCTTTTTATTTATTTATTTATTTATTTATTACTTTTTTTTATTTTTTGAGACAGAGTCTTGCTCTGTTACCAGGCTGGAGAGCAGTAGCACAATCTTGGCTCACCGCAACCTCCACCTCCCAGGTTCAAGCCATCCTCCTGCCTCAGCCTCCCAAATAGCTGGGATTACAGGCACACACTGCCATGCCCAGCTAAATTTTGTATTTTTAGTAGAGACAGGGTTTTACCATGTTGGGCAGACTGGTTTTGAATTCCTGACCTCAGGTGATCTGCCCACCTCGGCCTCCCAAAGTGCTGGGATTAGAAGCATGAGCCACTGTGCTCAGCCGATATTTCCAGCTATTCTTGCTGGCCTGTTTCTACTTTGAATTCTGTCCATTTTTGCTTCAAATACTTTGAGGACTCTCCTGTTAGGTGAAATATATAATTGTTATATCTTCTTGATGAATTGAACCTTTTATCATTACAAAATGTTTCTCTTTGTCCCTTGTAACAATTTTTGCCTTGAGGTCTATTTTTTATAATATTAGGATATCCACTCCAGCCCTCTTTTTGTTAGTTTTCATGGAATATATGTAGTATTTAAATACAGAGTCCCTTGTCACTCAAGCTGGAGTGCAGTGGCTGCAGCCTCAAACTCCTGGGCCGAAGGGATCCATCCTCCCACCTTAGCTTCCTGAGTAGCTGGGACTACAGGTGTGTGCCACCATACCAGGTTTTTTTGTTTGTTTGTTTGTTTTAGTAGATAGCATAACTTCGTTGCCCAAGCTGGTCTTGAACTCCTGGCCTCAAGAAATCCTCCCACTTCAGCCTACCAAAGGGCTGGAATTACAGGCGTGAGTCACTGCCCCTAGCCTGGAATATCTTCCATCCTTTCACTTTCAACAATTTGGGTCATTTGAGCTAAAGCGAAGCTCTTGTAGACAGCATATATAGTTGGATCATGTGGGGTTTTTTTTTAATTTTTTAATTTTATAATGGAAAGCTTCACAAATTTGCATGTCAACCTTGCACAGGGGCCACGCTAATCTTCTCTGTATCATTCCAATTTTAGTATATGTGCTGCTGAAGTGAGCACTGGATCATGTTTTTTTTAAAAAAAATCAATTCTACTAATCTCTGCCTTTCAATTGGATAATTCAATCCATTTACAGTTAATGTAATTACTGATAAGGATTTATTCCCATTTTGCTATTTTTTATATGCATTATATATTTTTGTTTTTTTGTTCCTCAACTCCTTCATTATTGCCTTCTATTGTGTTAAATATTTTCTAGTGCCCCATTTTGATTCTCTTTTTTTCTTTTGATTCCCTTCTTTTCTTTTCTTTTAGTTATTTTCTTAGTGGTTGTCTTGGATATTGAACAATTTGGCTGGGCATGGTGACTCAAGCCCTACCACTTTGGGAGGCTGAGGTAGGAGGATTGCTTGAGGTCAGAAGTTTGAGACCAGCCTGGGTAATAAAGAAAGACCCCGTATCTAGCCACCCCCCCACCAAATTAGCCAGATGTGGTGATGTGCACCTGTAGTCCCAGCTACTCAGAGGCTGAGGTGGGATGATCACTTGAGTCCAGGAGTTCATGGCTGCAGTGAGCCATAATCGCAACACTGCACTCCAGCCCAAGCAACAGAGCAAGACCTGGTCTCAAAAACTGCAACTACAACAAAAAATTTAAATAATAATATTTAACAATCTAATTCTAATTAATACCAACTTAGTTTCAATAGCATGCAAAATCTTTGAACCTCTATAGCTTCATCCCCTACCTTTCATGTTTTTATTGTCAGTAATTACATTTTTATGCCTTACATGCCCATCAACATAGATTTATGGTTATTGTAGATGTATTTTAAATTATATAAGGGAAAAAAGAGGAGTTTAAACTAAAAATACAGTAATACTAACTTTTATATTTATCTATGTATATTTACCTATGTATTTATTTTACTGATGTTCTTTATTTCTTCATGTGGTTTTGAGTTACTATCTAGTGTCCTTTAGTAGCAACCTGAACAGCTCCCTTTAGCATTTCTTATATGGCAGGTCTACTAGCGACAAACTCTCTCGACTTTAGTTTATCTGAGGATGTCTTGAGTTCTCCTTTTTTTTCTGAAGGATAGCTTTGCCAGATATAGAAATCTTAGTTATATATAGATAGATATAGAAATCTTAATCCTCTTTTGTTTGTTGGTTTCAGCATTTTCTGAATATATCATCCCACTATCTGGCCCCCATGGTTTCTGATGAGAAATAAACTGTTAATCTTATTGAGATTAGCTTATATGTGATGAGTCACTTTTCTCTTGTTGTTTTCAAGATTCTCTCTTCAGGCGGGGAATGGTGGCTTACGCCTGTGATCCCAGCACTTTGGGAGGTCGAGGTGGGTGGATCACTTAAGGTAAGGAGTTTGAGACCAGCTTGGTCAACATGGCGAAACCCTGTCTCCCCTAAATATACAAAAATTAGCCAGGCACGGAGGAGGCAGATGTTACAGTGAGCTGAGATCGTGCCACTGCACTCCAGCCTGGGCAACAAAGTGAGATTCTGTCTCAAAACAACAACAACAAAAATCAAGATTCTCTTTTTATCTTTGTCTTTCAATAGTTCGATTCTAATGTATCTTGGTTTTGATCTCTTTGTGTTTATCCTACTTGGGATTCATTAGGCTTATTGAATGTGAAGATTGAATCTTCCATTACATATTGGAAGTTTTGGGCCATTATTTCTTCAAATATTCTGTCTTCTTCTTTCTCTGCCTCCTCTCCATCTGGGACTTTCATTATGCATATGTTGTTATGCTCGATGGTATTCCATGGGTCTCTTAAACTCCATTTGCTTTTCTCCATTCTTGTTTCTCAGATTGTTAATCTCAGTGGACTTATCTTCAAGTGTGCTGATTGTTTCTTTTGCCTGCTCTAATCTATATTGACCTCCTCTAGCGAATTTTTATTTCAGTTATTATACTCTTCAACTCCAGAATTTATTTTTCTCTTTTTTCTTTTTTTTTTAAATGTTCCTCTTGGCATATACCTAAAACTCCAGGATTTCTATTTGTTTTCTTTTTATAATTTATCTTTATTTATACTCTATATTTAGTGAGATATAGTTCTCATGGTTTCCTTTAGGTCTTTGAGTAGATTTAAAATAGTTGATTTAGGCCAGGTGTGGTGGCTCACCCCTGTAATCGCAGCACTTTGGGAGGCCGAGGTAGGTGGATCACCTGAGGCCAGGAGTTTGAGACCAGCCTGGCCAACATAGTGAAACTCCATCTCTACTAAAAATACAAAAATTAGCCAGGCATGGTGATAGGTGCCTATAATCCCAGCTATTCGGGAGGCTGAGGCAGTAGAGTCACTTGAACCTGGGAGGTGGGGGTTGCAGTTAGCTGAGATAGTGCCCCTGCACTCCAGCCTGGGTGACAAAACAAGACTCCATCTCAAAAAATAATTAATTAACTAATACAATAAAATAGTTGATTTAAAGTCTATCTATAAAGTCTAATGTCTGTGCTTCCTCAGAAACAGTTTCTTTCTTTTTTTTTTTTTTTTTTTGAGACACAGTCTTGCTCTCTCACCCAGGCTGGAGTGCAGTGGCTCAATCTCAGCTCACTGCAACCTCTGCCACACGGGTTCAAGCGATTCTCCTGCCTCAGCCTCCCAAGTAGCTGGGATCACAGGTGCGTGCCACCACACCCAGCTAATTTTTGTATTTTTAGTAGAGATGGGGTTTCAACATCTTGGCCAGGCTGGTCTTGAACCCCAGACCTCGTGATTCATGGCCTCCCAAAATGCTGGGATTACAGGCGTGAGCCAACACACCTGACCTAACAGTTTCTATTAGTTTATTTTTTCCCCACACATAAACTATGCTCTCTTGTTTCTTTGAATGTCTCATAATTTTTGTTTGAAACTGGACATTTTTAATATTTAAATGTAGCAACTCTGGAAATCAAATCTGAAATCTCCCAGCACCCCAGAGTTTGTTATTGAGGCTTGTAGTACTTGTTGGGATTTTTTTGTTTTGTTTTGTTTTGTTTTTTGGTGACTTTTCTGAACTAATTTTGTAAAGTCTGTATTTTTTCTTGTGTATATCCACTAAAGTCTTTGTTTCATTAGCTTAGTGATCAGCTAATGACTTGACAGAGATTTTCTTAAATACCTAGAACAGTGATAAAAATCTTCCAGTCTTTGCAGAATGGCTCTGTATGTGTGTCGGCACATACCTTCAACTCTAAGCCAGGCAATTTACAACTGTGCTTTAACCTTTGTCTTCTGCTTACAGAGAGCCTGAAGATCAGGTAGAGGTGGGAATTTAGGACCCCTTCAGGTCTTTTCTGAGCATGCACCCAGCCCTAGGCACGCATGTGCACCTCTATTCCCTGGACTATGTAGGAGCTTTTCAAAGCCCTTAGGGACTTTTGAAGTTTTCTACTATACCATTTGCACTGACATCTGATCCTTTTCTTTAGGCATAGAATATATATATATATATATATATATATATATATATATATATATATACATACACACACACACACACACACATACACATATATATGTATATATACAAATATATGTATATATGCACACAATATATATTGTGTGTATATATATACATATGTGTGTGTGTGTGTGTGTGTGTGTGTGTGTGTATATTTACTCAGGCCAGGCACAGTGGCTCATACTTGTAATTCCAGCATTTTGGGAGGCTGAGGTAGGAGGATCACTTGAGCCCAGGAGTTTGAGGATGCAGTGAGCTAGGATTGTGCCACTGCACTCCAACCTGGATGACAAAAGAAGATCCCATCTCTTTTGCTTGGAAATCATCTCAGCTAAATATTCAAGTGCATCACTCACAAATTCTGCTTTCCATGCAACTGTAGGACAAAGTATAGCTAGACTTTCTACCTCTATAGAACAGGGACCTCGTCTCCTTCAGTTTCTAGTAACATTTTCTTCATTTTGTTCTGAGTCCTCACTGGTAGAGCCTTAATAGCCATCTTTCTTTTTCTTTTCTTTTTTTTTCTGAGACAAGGTCTTGCTCTGTTACCCAGGCTGGGGTGCAGTGGCGCAATCTTGGCTCATTGCCGCCTGCACCTCTTGGGTTCAAGTGATTCTCCTGCCTCAGCCTTCCTAGTAGCTAGGACTGCAGGCACACACCACTATGCCCAGCTAATTTTTGCATTTTTAGTAGAGACAGGGTTTCGCCATGTTGCCGTGAGCCACCACACCCAGCCAATATCCATATTTTTACTAACAATCTGTTCAAAGAAACCTAGGCTTTTTCTGTCATGCTCCCCAAAATTCTTCGTCTCTACTCATTACCCAATTCCAAAGCTACCTCCACATTTTTAGGTTTTGGTTACAGCAGCACTCCACTCTTGGTTCCAAAATCTGCATTACTTTTTTTAATGATAATTGTAACAAATTATCACAAACTACGTGACTCTAAACAACAGAAACTTATTTTCTCACCATTCGGGAGGCCAGGATGTCCAAAATCAGTATTACTGGGCCTAAAGCAAGATGTCAGTAGATCTATGCTCCCTCTGGAGGCTCTCTTGTCTCTTTCAGCTCCTGGTGGCTGCCAGCACTCCTTGGCTTTTGGCCACAACACTCCTCCATCTTGTGCCTTTTCCTCTTTTGTCTGTGTCAGATCTCTTTCTGCCCCCCTCTTATAAGGATACATGTGATTGCATTTAGGGTCTACTCCAATAATTTGGAATAATCTCCCCATCTCACGGTCCTTAACTTAATTACATCTTTACAGACTCTGTTTTCATATAAGGTAACATTTACAGTTTTCAAAGATTAGGATTCAATATCTTTGAGAGGCCATTTTTATCCTACCACAGTTATGGTCCTATCATGGAATATTATACAGCAATAAAAATGAATGAACTGGCCAGGCATGGTGGTTCACACCTGTAATCCAAGCACTTTGGGAGGCTGAGGCAGGCAGATCACAAGGTCAGGAGTTTGAGACCAGCCTGGCCAACATGGTGAAATCCTGTCTCAACTAAAAATACAAAAATTAGCTGGGCATGGTAGTGCAAGCCTGTAATCCTAGATACTCAGGAGGCTGAGGCAGGAGAATTGCGTGAACCTGGAGGCAGAGGTTGCAGTGAGCTGAGATTGTGCCACTGCACTCCAGCCTGGGCGATAGAGTGAGACTCCGTCTCAAAAAAAAAAAAAAAAAAAATGAACTATAGTTACATAAAATAAGGTAAGTCTTGGATATAATGTTGAGTTAAAAAAAAGTTCTAGAAGACTTTATCACTATTTTCTATTTATGTCTTTGATTTCTCTTTTATTTATGTCTTTTATTTCTTTTTAATGTCTTTTATTACATTGTAAGCCCTATAAAGCTTAGAATGTAAACCTCATAGGGCAGGGCCTTGTTTTGCTCATTGCTATACACCCTGTGCCTGGAAGAGTGACTGTCAGGCAAAGAAATACCAAACAAATAACTGCTGAATGAATGAACTATTAAAATGGATATTTTTGAAGACTGATATAAGCAAATAAAAAATCTTACAGTATAACACTAATTTTTTTATAAACCAGAATCCCAAAGTGCTGGGATTACAGATGTGAGCCACCATGTCCAGCTAAGGTGGTCTTTTTCAATTTGAAAACTCATATACTTCAGTTTTGGGAAATAATCTTGAATTATTTATTTGATGCTTTACCCCCTTCATTTTCTTTTCTTTTTTTTTTTGAGACAGAGTCTCGCTCTGTCTCCCAGGCTGGAGTGCAGTGGTGAGATCTCGGCTCACTGCAAGCTCCACCTCCCGGGTTCACGCCATTCTCCTGCCTCAGCCTCCCGAGTAGCTGGGACTACAGGCGCCCGCCACCACGCCCAGCTAATTTTTTGTATTTTTAGTAGAGACGGGGTTTCACCATGTTAGCCAGGATGGTCTCAAACTCCTGACCTTGTGATCTGCCTGCCTCAGCCTCCCAAAGTGCTTGGATTACAGGTGTGAACCACCATGCCTGGCCAGTTCATTCATTTTCTTCTGTTGCTTCTTTATTCAGATATTGAATCTTCTAAATTGATTCTCTACTTTTCTAATCTTTTCACTATTTTCCATTTCTTTCTTTCTGAAGGATATTCCCTCAACTGTGTCTTCCAACCTTACTCATTGTTTTCATTTCTACCATCATGCTTTTAAAAAATATATTATTTTCCAATAGTTTTTGTTGTTCTGTGAATGTTTACTTTCATAGAATCAGGTTATTATTTCATGAATGCAATACCTTCTTTTCTCATCCTGAGGTTATTAATGCCTCTCCTTCTTCCTCCTCCTTGCCTTCCTTCTCCTCCTCCTCCTCTTCACCTCCTCTTCTTTTTTCTACAGAGTCTCTGTTTCCTGCAAGTTGCTTTTCTTCTGCTTACTGGGTTTGGTCTCTCTTAAGGTAGAGGTTCTCCTTAGTTGTCTAATAATCCTTGATTGCTCATTATTAAGAGCGAGATCTTAAAAACTGATGGCAAGCATGTTGACTTTGAGCTGGATGGATATTTTGTTGGGTAACATTCGTCTTAGATCTCTCTTCTTGGGTTGGCCAGAGTCCCATAGAGGGGCTGTCTGGAGGGTAAAAGTCTGTCTTTACCCTCCTGGTGACTGAGTGAGTTGCCACTTTGGCTGACAAGTGACAGAAGAGGGTTGGAGGTCTTGGATTTCAGTGTGTATATAATCACTTAACCCTCTTATTCAGCTACTGGCCCAAAGACCTTCTGTTTTGCCTTCTCCAGAGAATAAATCTCCAGTGTTATGCTAGACTAAGAAAGGGGCAGTTGGCCAGTGGCATGGAGTAGAGGAGGGGACCTAGGGATCAAATTGCTTATCGGTTCGCTTTGATCTAGTGCTCTATACTTCAGTTACTACCAAGGCCAGTGGTCTCTGCTGCCACCAGCTCCTGATGTTTTGCTGCCTTGATGTAGCCGTAGTTCAGAGACATTTGTTGACATCTCACACCATAATGATAGATGTGTCTATTTTCCCCTGTAGCTTTAATTATTTTTGCTTTAAATATTTTAGGCTATTTTATTAGGCACATATTAATTTAGATGGTTATATCTATCTGGTGAATTTTTTTTAAACATTGTCATCACTTTATTATTACTGCATAGTGACCACCTCTACACTAATAATGTTTTTCGTCTTAAAGTTTGTTATTAATTTGGTCTTTTTAAGACAGGGTCTTGCTGTGTTGCCCAGACTGAGTGCAGTGGCATGATCACAGCTCACTGCAGCCTTGACTTCCCAGGCTAAAGTGATCCTCCTGCCTCAGCCTCCCAAGTAGCTGGGACTACAGGCCTGCACCACCACGCCTGGCTAATTTTTGATTTTTTGTAGAGATGGGGTCTCCCCATGTTGCCCAGGCTGGTCTTGAACTCCTGAGCTCAAGTGATCCTCCCTTCTCAGCCTCCCAAAGTGCTGGGATTACATGCATAATTCACCATGATTCGTCTTAAAGTTTGGTTATTAATGCAGAAATACCACCTTGCTTTTGGTGTAACTTTTTCAAGCTCACCCTTTCCATATCCTTATGCTTAGGTGGTCAAATATGCCTTTTTAAAAAATATTTTGAACATTTTTAAGTATATAGTTTAGTGACATTAATTACATTCCCATTGTTGTGCAACCATTATCCATCTCTAGAACATTTTTTATCTTCCCAAATGAAACTCCATACCCATTAAACAAATATCACCTCCCCTCCATTCTCTATTTTCTATTCTTGATTTCATAGACCTTATAAGTCTATGCTTGGCTGGGAGTGGTGGCTCATGCCTGTAATCCCAGCACTTCAGGAGGCTGAGGCAGGTGTATCACTCTAACCCAGGAGTTTGAGACCAGCCTGGGCAACGTGGCAAAACCCTGCCTCTACTAAAACCACAAAGATTAGCCGGGCATGGTGGTGGCATTCGCCTGTAGTCCCAGCTACTTAGGAGGCCGAGGCAGGGGAATCACTTGAACCTGGGAGGCAAAGGTTGCAGCGAGCCGAGACTGCACCACTGCACACCAGCCTGGGCAACAACGGAGTGAGACCTTGTCAAAAAAAAAAAAAAAAAAAAAAAAAGCCGGGCGCGGTGGCTCATGCCCATAGTCCCAGCACTTTGGGAGGCCGAGGCAGACAGATCACTTAAGGTCAGGAGATCGAGACCATCTTGGCCAACGTGGTGAAACCCCGTCTCTACTAAAATACAAAAAATTAGCTGGGTGTGGTGGTGCACACCTGTAGTCCCAGCTACTCAGGAGGCTGAGGCAGGGGAATCGCTTGAACCCAGGAGGCAGAGTTTGCAGTGAGCTAAGATCACACCACTGCACTCCAGCCTGGCGACAGAGCAAGACTCTGTCTCAAAAAAAAAAAAAATC
This sequence comes from Homo sapiens, assembly GCF_000001405.40. Taxonomy (NCBI): domain Eukaryota; kingdom Metazoa; phylum Chordata; class Mammalia; order Primates; family Hominidae; genus Homo; species Homo sapiens. Next base: position 61,929,588 of record NC_000011.10, on the reverse strand, counting down.
TGCTTGGTTCTCCTTGATAATCTCTTGTTGTTTATTCATGTTCAGATCATACATTTTTTTTTAAATTTTTTTAAAGCTTTTTGAGACCAAGTCTCACTCTGTCACCCAGGCTGGAGTGTAGTGGTGCGATCTCGGCAGCTCACTGCACCTCTGCCTTCTGGGTTGAATCGATTCTTGTGTCTCAGCCTCCCAAGTAGCTGGGACAATAGGCGCATGCCACCACACCCAGCTAATTTTTGTGTTTGTAGCAGAGACAGGGTTTCACCATTTTGCCCAGGCTGGTCTCAAACTCCTGGGCTCAAGCGATCCACCTGCCTCAGCCTCCCAAAGTGCTGGGAAGCCACCATGCCTGCCCATATGTATATATTAACAATAACTTATCATATATGTCAAAATAGCTACAAGAGATGATTTGTAATGTTCTCAACACAAAGAAATGATAAATGTTTGAGGTGATGAATATCCCAGTTACCCAGATTTGATCATTATACATTGTATGCTTGTGTCAAAAGGTCACATATACCCCACAAATATGTACAACTATAATGTAGCCATAATTAAAAATAATTTTTTTTTGTTTTTTGTAAATTTTGTGTGTGTTCTTTTTCTTTAAAAACAGATTCTAAAAATTCATGTGTTAACCTTTCTATATCATATATAGGAGACCACTACCTGGAGTTCTGTAGCATCTAAATCTGTTGTGTGTTGTTTCTGTTGATTCTTACTCATAGTGGCTAGCATCTTTATGTGCTGGTGATCTCTGATTGTGAGCTCACTGCTTGATATTGAGCAATAGGAATCCTTCATATCTAAATTTGGACACATTCCTCCAAAGAGGATTTGAATCTGCTTCTGCCTGGAGCCAGGGGTGTCACCAACATGAAACACTTCAGCCCTCTTTGAGGGTCCTAGCTCCATGTATTTTGAGGGTTCTCACTTCATGTAGTTGGAGGGTCCTAGCTCCATGTATTTGGAGGGTCTTAGCTCCATGTATTTTGAGGGTCCTCGCTTCATGTAGTTGGAGGGTCCTAGCTCCATGTATTTGGAGGGTCTTAGCTCCATGTATTTTGAGGGTCCTAGCTTCATGTATTTTGAGGGTCCTAGCTCTGTGTATTCTGAGGGTCCTAGTTCCGTGTATTTTGAGGGTCCTAGCTCTGTGTATTTTGAGGGTCCTAGCTCCATATATTTTGAGGGTCCTAGCTTCATGTATTTTGAGGGTCCTAGCTCCATGTATTTGGAGGGTCCTAGCACCATGTAGATGCCCACATTCATGTCCCCAACCTCCCTCCTGGCCAAAGCTCCCAGCTTTGGCTGCACTTTCCTTTGTGGGTAAGGAAGTGGCTTTGGCAGACAAGGCCTAGAGCTTGATAGACAACACATCCTCAAAGAATTATAGCCTCTTTTTCTAGAATTTTTTTTTTTTTTTCTGTAGCAGGAAGGCTCCTCTCTGCTTCAAGTCCACCACATCCCTAAGGAGCAGAAATTCTCCAAGCCATTCCACACTTATCCATAGTAGCCATCTTTTTGATATGTGAATCCGTTCACATCACACTCCTGCGTAAATCCTTCAATGACTCCTCTTAGTCTTTAAGTATAAAGTTTGAACTCCTTACCTAGCATACTGTATTAGTTCATTCTCACACTACTATAAGAACTACTCAACGCTGGGTAATTTATAAAGAAAAGAGGTTTAATAGGCTCACTGTTCTGCAGGCTGTACAGGAGGCATGGCTGGGGAGGCCTCAGGAAACTTACGATCATGGCTGAAGGTGAAGGGGAAGCAGGCACATCTTACATGGCCAGAGCAAGTGGAAGAGAGCAAAGGGGGAGGTGCTACAGACTCTTAAACAACCAGATCTTGTGAGAACTGGCACAAGAACAGCAGGGGGGAAATATATTACCATGACCCAGTCAACTCCCACCAGGCCCCTCCTTCAACACTGGAAATTACAATTCAACATGAGATTTGGGCAGGGATGCAGAGCCAAACCATACCACATACAAAGCCCCACAAGATCTAGCCCCTGACTCTCTTGCCAGCCCCAACTCTTTCAATGGTCTCCCTTTCCACTCCCAAACTCCTGCCTCAGGAAATTTTTCCAGACTCCTAACCTTAAGTCTAGGTTGGGAGTTCCTGGATGTGCTCCCAGACGACTTTGCACTTCCCCTATCCTTGTACCTGACCTGTGGTCCTGTGTGTTAGTCTGTTTTGCATTGCTATAGGGAATACCTGAGTCTGGGCAATTTGTATAGAAGAGTTTTCTCTGGCTCGCTGTTCTGCCAACTGTACGGGAAGCATGGCACCAGCATCTCCTTCTGATAAGGGCCTCAGAAAGCTTCCAATCATGGCAGAAGGTTAAGGGGGGGGCATGCATGTCAAGTGGTGAGAGAGAGAAAAAGAGAGAGATGGAGGGAGGTCCCAGACTCTTTTTAAGAATCAGATCTGGCTGGGTGCGTTGGCTCATGCCTATAGTCCTAGCACTTTGGGAGGCCAAGGCGGGTGGATCATCTGAGGTCAGGAGTTTGAGAGCAGCCTCGCCAACATGCTGAAACCCCGTCTCTACTAAAAATACAAAAATTAGCGGGGCATAGTGCCTGTAGTCCCAGCTACTCAGGAGGCTGAGGCAGGAGAATCGCTTGAACCTGGGAGTTGAAGGTTGCAGTGAGCCAAGATTGTGGCATTGCATGGGCCTGGCACCAGGCAAGAAAGAGTGATGAAATAAAAGTTTTCTGTATCTCGGCCAGGTGTGGCTCACATCTACAATTCCAGCACTTTGGGAGGCCGAGGCGGGCAGATCACAGGGTCAGGAGTTTGAGACCAGCCCGGCCAACATGGTGAAACCCCCATCTCTACTAAAAATACAAAATTTAGCCAGGCATGGTGGCGTGCACCTTTAATCCCAGCTACTCTGGAGGCTGAGGCAGGAGAATCACTTGAACCCAGGAGGCAGAGGTTGCAGTGAGCTGAGATGGCGGCACTACACTCCAGCCTGGGCGACAGAGTGAGACTCCATCTCAAAAAAAGAATCAGATCCTGCAGCAACTCATTACCACAGGGAGGGCACCAAGCCATTCATGAGGGAACCAAGCTCCCATGACCCAAACACCTCCCACAAGGCCCACCTCCAACATTGGGGATCATATTTCAATGTGAAATTTGGAGGGACAAATACCCAAACCATATCATGCTGTAATTAGATGTCTGAATCCCCCGCTACACATAATCCCCTCCTAAACTGTATACTTCATGAGTGCAGAAACATTGTCTGTCTGGTTCACTAATATGCCATCAGCACTTGGCATGTGTGTTCTTAAAAATCTGATGAATGAGTGAACACCTCTATTGAGCTCCCAGTGTTTTTTCTTATTGATTTTCGCAAATTCTTTATGTGTTAACTATATTAACGCATTGCCATTGCCTGGGAATATTTTCGCCAAGTTATTTGCCTTTTAATTTTGGCTTTTTTTTTTTTTTTTTTTTTTTGGCAGGAAGGAGCATAAAGCAGCTTTACATTTGAATGCGGACAGATCTATTGATCTTTTTCTGTTAAGATCTCTTCAAAATGTTTCCAAGTTTAGAAAGTCTTTCCCTTGCTAGATGTGTAATAAGTGTTCACTTCTATTTTTTATGCACACAGCTGTCCATTTAATCTTCCCAAAGCAGGGCTCTGATCATTTCTCTCCTCTGCTCAAAAATGTTTAACCATCTCCTTGGAGCCTTTAGAATAAAGTCCAAATTCTTTAACTCGCCTCCAAGGCTTTTCAGGATTTAACCTGAGGCTGCCTTTCCAGACTTTTTTTTTCCTGTCCCCCAAATGAGCCTGAGCTCCTGGCAAAGTGAAGGGTTTGCCTCTCTCTGTCTGTGTTCTGCCCTTCCCACCTCCAGGCCTTTTACCTGTTGGTCCCTCTGCAGGGAATGTCCATCCTTCATTTCTATATGGATTTTTTTTTTTTGAGACACAGTCTTGCTCTGTTGCCTAGGCTAGAGTGCAGTGGTGTGATGTTGGCTCACTGCAGCCTCCACCTCCCGGGTTCAAGCAATTTTCCTGCCTCAGCCTCCCAAGTAGCTGGGATTACATGTGTGTGCCACCATGCCTGGCTAATTCGTGTATTTTTAGTAGAGACAGGGTTTTTACCATGTTGGCCAGGCTGGTCTTGAACTCCTGACGTCAAGTGATCCACCCACCTCAGCCTCCCAAAGTGCTGGGAATTACAGGTGTGAACCACTGCACCCGGCTCTATATGGATATTTAAATCCTATTGATTCTTCAATCCCTACTTTGTTTAAAAAGCCTCACTTTACCCTTCCTCCTGAGAGAGTGACTGGTGGAGAGATAAGAAAACAAGCTTTGGAGTCAGACAAACCTGGGTTAAAATCTGAGTTCCTTTACTTGTTAGCCATTGGCCAAATCCTTTAACCTTTCCAAATCTGTTTCCTCATCTTTAAAATGGGAACAGAAAGCAATGAAGGACCACCAAGGACTGTCGGGCCGCTGCAAGGATGAACAGAATCTGAGATTGCGCGTAAAGATCCTAGCACAGTCTCCAGTTCACCCCACATTCTGCCACCTTGGAAGGGAGTCATCAGCTCTCTGGGGGTCACACCCTCCTCCACTAGTCATGTTTTCCCCCCGAAGGTTTCTGATGGATTCTCTGTTCTCTAATAATTCCACAAGGTGGCTGAGCTTTCCTTCTGAGGAGTTGAGAGCGGGTGAACAGGTTTCATCTCTAGGAATTCAGCTCAGGCCCCAGGCACCTTGGTCAGACTCCCACACCCATCTGGGCCCAAAGGAATCCCCTCCTTCCTTCCTCCCTTCTTCGTCTGAGGTCAGTTTCATTACCGGGAACTGTTGATATTTCCAAAGGGGTTCACCAGCACTTCCCGGCCCTCACCATCAGCACCCCACAATATGATGATAAGTCAAGTGGAACAAAGATAATCCTCCCAGGTTTAAGGTGGGTAAACTGAGGCTCAAACTAGCTTCCATATATTTGTGTCTAGAACTTATGGGTCTTCGCAGCCAGAGAAGGGATTCATTTCGTGGGGGCGCTGAGGGGCCTGGGCAGCTGTGGTGGAGAACTGGGGGAGCTCTGGCCCCAGAGCAGGAGATGGGCCAGGAATCCTGTCTCTCAGGGCCTCTGCCTTGTCCTCGAGTAGGTTAATTCGAATCTCTCAGAGGCTGGCCTGGAGCTTAGTGTCTGTGCTTGCTTTGTGAACTGACTTTCTGAGTAGATTCTTTTGCCTGCATCTTTTGGGGAAGAAGCAAAGATGACGACTTACTGGCAGGGGCTGTATCTCTGGGGCTGAGAGTGAGGATGGGAACTTCCTGGACAGTGAAAAGAGCAAGTTTAGCTTCCGGAGGCCTGGCTGCTAGCCCCGCTCTGTACCCAGCATGCTGTACCACCTGGGACAAGTGCCTGCCCTCTCTGGACCCCAACTGCCCTCCCTAAAAAATGGAGATGGTGGTCGAAGGAGGTCTGTTGTGAATCTTAGTGTTCTCAAAGTGCTGTCCTGGGCTGAGCCCCTCCCTGAGCCCAGACTGTCCCCGGGGCCTGGCTTCACCAGGTTGGCCTGAGCAAAGCTGTGACCCCATTCGGCCGCCTCCACACGCTCTGTCCTGCCCTTCCCTGAGGGGCCTGGGCCTGGTCTTGGTCAGGCCTGGGGACAGAGCAGGGAGCCTCCAGGCCCAAGTTTGACCTCCTGAGTCGCTTCCCCTCTCCCTGGAGCCAGAACCAGCGTCCTCTTTCCCTCCTGCTTGAAATCTGAGCTCAGAGATCCAGGGAGGACTTTGGCTGCAAAACATTCCATCCGCGCTGTCCAAACACCCTGCACAGCTGGCGGAGGGAGGGGCAGCCAGAACTGGCTTTCAGGAACCCTGGGGCTGTTGTTTTCATGGAAATGGGGGAGCCCTCACTCTGAGGACCAGCACTGGCTGACCTGAGGAAGTTCACAGGGTCAAGTGGACCAAGGAAGGGCCCACCTGCACACATGTTTTTGGGGCTTACCCAGGGCCCCTCTGCTGAGCGCCCAGCCCTGCAGGGGAAAAATCCAGTTGCTTCAAAGTCTGCCCAGCCAGGTGTGCGTGGCTGCCTTGAGCCTGCCAGCTGGGAGGTGTCTGCACCACAGGCAGGCGGATGGTGGCCTTGTGAGCCTCCCCTCGTGACTGAGCTCTATGCAGAGGCAGGGGAAGGGCAGGCAGGAATGACGCTGAGATAGCAAGAAGGGGAGGCGACTTCAGGCAGCGGCTTTTACTGACAAGACGTCCCAGACCTGGCTGCTTCTTGCTGTGACTCACAAGTGACCCTGGATGAGTCTCTGAGCCTCAGTTTCCTCATCTGCAAGAAGAGACAATCGGGCCTTTTCTGGCTCTGCCTTTTTTCTAAGAAGTTACAACCAAAGACAAGATCCTCAAAGCTTCCCATCCAGTCCAAGCTGTGTCTAAATGTCCAGAAACATAACAGGTTTTTCCATAAAGTCTCCAGCAACTCTGACTCAGTTTCCCCTCTCCCGCCCCCGGCCAAGAGGCTGGTGGGGTCTTGGCAGGGAGGGACCAACTCCCACATATGATGCCACCAGCCAGGCCAAGCCCTTTCCCCTCTTGCCATGTTGGGGTGATGGGGAGACCCCCACCCTTCACATATCCTGTTTTCCATTAATTGTTTCCAGGTAAGCCCAGAGGTTGCCCAGCAGAGGAAGGTGGGGGCACAGGAGAATTGAGCAGGGGGATCAGAGAGGAGCAAAAACAGGAAGCGGGTGGGAGCAGGCCATGGAAAATTCATTGCCAGGAAAGGGAGGACAGCATCTGGTTTGCATTAGGCTGAGAGAGCTTCGCAGCCCAAAGCCCAAGTGGGAGATACTGTTATCCGCTGGGCGGGGCGGGGCAGGGTGGGGTGTGAGGAACTGGCAGCTTCTCCCCAGCAGGGACTCAGAGGCTAACCAGAAAGAAGAGGGAAGTACAGGCAGGAGGACGGGGCAGGAAACACTGAAGGAAGGAAACACTTCTTTCAGTCTACACTGTGGCAGACACTTCACAAATGTTATCTTCTTCTTCTTTTTTTTTTTTCCAAGACGGAGTTTGGCTCTTGTTGCCCAGGCTGGAGTGCAATGGTGGGATCTCAGCTCACCGCAACCTCTGCCTCCTGGGTTCAAGCGATTCTCCTGCCTCAGCCTCCCAAGTAGCTGGGATTACAGGCATGCGCCACCACCCCCGGCTAATTTTGTATTTTTAGTAGAGATGGGGTTTCTCCATGTTGGTCAGGCTGGTCTCAAACTCCCAACCTCAGAGATGATCCACTCGCCTCGGCCTCCTAAAGTGCTGGGATTACAGGCGTGAGCCAACGCCCCCAGCTGTCTTCTTTTTTTAAACTTTTTTTTTTTTTGAGACGGAGTCTCGCTTTGCCACCCAGGCTGGAATGCAGTGGCGTGATCTCGGCTCACTGCAAGCTCTGCCTCCCAGATTCACGCCATTCTCCTGCCTCAGCCTCCCGAGTAGCTGGGACTACAGGCGCCCGCCACCACGCCTGGCTAATTTTTTGTATTTTTAGTAGAGACGGGTTTTTTTTTAAATAATAGAGATGAGGTCTCGGTTTGTTGCCTAGGGTGGTCTCCTGGGCTCAAGCGATCCTCCCACCTCGGCCTCCCAAAGTGCTGGGATTACAGGCATGAGCCACCGCACCTGGCCACAAATGTTATCTGCTTTAATACTCACTATTTCACAGGGGAGAACTTCCCATTTTATATAGATGAGGAAACTGAGTCCCAGAGAGGTTAAGTGACTTGCCTAAGGCCACACAGTCAGCGAGTGGCAGAACTAGGATGAGAATTTGGGCCAAATGAAGACAGGGTGGCACATTCACACCATCCCACAGGTGGATGGAGTCTGTGTACCAGGCAAGGTGACACTGAGAAGGGTGACGAGGATGGCCCAGCCTCTGCCCAGAGGGCCACTCAGTTCTTGTGGGAGTGTCCAACAGTTCCAGGGGGTGTTTGTCATGACGCAGGGCTAACCATGTGTCTAAGGGCTCTGGTGCCTGCAGAGGAAAAAAGTAACCCACAGGGGAGGGCTTCCTAGAGGAGGGGGTATGAACAAAAGAGAAACTTACTAGCAGAGGCAGGATGCAGTGGAGATAGCAGTCAGGGGGGATAGTATGTGGAAAGAAGAGGAATGGGCACATCTGGGCAATGGCAACTGGCCTGGTGTGCTTTGGAGGGTGAGAATCCATTTCATAGTTGGAGAAACTGAGGCACGGAGAGGCTAACGTGCTCAAAGGCACACCGTCTGAAAGTGGGGTTGAATCCAGCCCGTCTGACCCCGGGCCTGTGTTCCCAGCTGCTACCGCTGAGTTGTTCCTGGGCGGTGGTGGTGAGAAGTTTTAAGGGTAGTGAGACCCCATCTCTCCAAAAAATAAAAAAAATTTAAAAATTAGCCAAGCATGGTGACACATGCCTGGAGTCCCAGCTGCTCAGGAGGCTGAGGTGGGAGGATGGCTTGAGCTGGGCAGTTTGAGGCTGCCCTCCAGCCTGGGTGACGGAGCGAGACCCTGCCTTGAAAAATTAAAAACAAACAAAAAACAAAACTGGGAATCTCAAATCTAAGAAAAAGAATTTAAAAATAAAGAAAAAAAATAAAAAATAACAGTTTTTTGTTTGTTTGTTTTGTTTTTTGAGACGGAGTTTTGCTCTTGTTGCCCAGGCTGGAGTGCAATGGCCCAGTCTCAGCTCACCGCAACCTCCGCCTCCCGGGTTCAAGCAATTCTCCTGCCTCAGGCTCCCGAGTAGCTGAGATTACAGGCATGCGCCACCATGCCCGGCTAATTTTGTATTTTTAGTAGAGACAGGGTTTCACCATGTTGGTCAGGCTGGTCTTGAACTGCTGACTTCAGGTCATCCGCCCGCCTCAGCCTCCCAAAGTGCTGGGATTACAGGCGTGAGCCTCCGCGCCCCACCAATAACAAAGTTTTAAGGGGATATTCAGGTTTGTGGTCACAGGCAGGAGGGCCTGTCTAGGGCTACACAGCCAGCTATGACAGCTATGACAGGATCAAGGCTGGACGGGCTCTTTCCAACACCCCAGCCTGCGTGGTGAGGGGACAAGCGGACCATCTGGGAGCCTGGCTGAAACACGGGGCCTCCCCTAGAGGTGTCTCACCTCCCCTGGCCCAGAGCCCAGGAAGGAGGGCCCAGTGTCTTCTGCTGCCTGAGGAGCCACAGGAGTTAATAATTACGGGGTTGAAGGAGATAGCGGCTGTCCTGGGAGGTGGTGCCTCCCTCCCAGGCTGCTGCTCTGGGGAGATAGCAAAGGTTAGTGTGAGGCTCAGCCTGGTGGGGGGAAGAAGGCTCCTGCTACCTCCCTTCCCGGCACCCTCCAGAGGGACCCTCAGTCTGGCCTTGCAAGCATGGACTCTTCTGAGGAGCACGCTGGGTGCCCCGCCCGAGGGACATGTCCCGTGTTCCTGGCCATGAGTGCAGGGACTGTCCGCTACGCCCCATCAGGCCTGTGCCCTGTACTTGAGGGGAACTTGAGAGAAGAGCCCTGGGGCACAGACAGGTGAGCTCAGGACCTGGGGCATGGAGGGGAGGGGGAGTCTTGGCAAGCTTCAGGGCAGCCAGTGTGAGAAGCTGGGCTCAGAGAGTCCTAGGCAATGGCTCTGATTGTCTTGTCCAATTTGGTGGCTGTACAGAGGTGGAGACTGAAGCTCAGAGAGGGCAAGACACTCATCCTGGGTCACACAGTGAGCTGAGGACACACCTGTAAGTCCAGAATCAGGGCCTGGGTTGTCCAGGCTGACTGTCTCCTGCTCCTCAGCTGCCTTCAGCCAAGGGTCTGTGGTCAAGGCTGCCAGGCTTGGGATGGAGCAGGCAGAGGGAGATAGAGGGAGGGAGGCTGAGGAGGGCAGTGGCTTGTAGGCAGAGGACACAACTTTTATTTATCCCTTCCCTGCCACTGGCCAGACACCTAGCATGTGCTCAGGAACCTCTTGCTGCCTGGCTGCACACAGCTGCAGCTGCCAGTGAGCCTCTAGTTTCTGGGTGGTCTTTTTGGAAAACGGGTGTAAGAGGACTCAGCCCCACTGCCCCTGGCTGGTGTGATATCAGGCAGGTTCCTTAACTTCTCCGAGCCCATCCTTTTCAACTGAGGAGCAAGTTCAGCTGAGCAGGAGGGTCCTCCCTACTGGGGGAGGCAGTGAGCCCTAGGAGTCCATGGTAGCAGGAAGCATGGATGACAGGCTATTTTTGGTTAGAAATTGAGTGTGGATGCTTCCAGAGTGGTGACCACAGACTTGTCCTTCAAGACCTCGCTCAAGGGCCTCCCCGGTCCACCAGACCTCCCAGGCTGAGGACTCTTCCTCCAGGGACATAGCCCTGAGCTGACGCCTCCTCCACCCTTTATCTCCCACTGGTCTGGGTTGCCATGACTTATCTCCTGCCGGGGCTTGTGAAGACTTGGAGGGCAAGGGCCCTGTGCTGGGTTCCTTTTGTGTCATTTTCTCCTCCTTCTCTAAATAGTGAACAAAATAAGGGCCAGGAAGACAACAGTTGCTCAAGACCAACTGATGAGGGATTCAAGCCAGCAAACACATGTGGACATCTGCTTTGGGTGGGCCAGACCCTGAGCTGGGCTGGGGGTGGGGTAGGGGAACATAGCTCCAAGAAAGAGAGAATCCCTGCCCTCTGGAAGCCGTGGCCATGGAAACAACTGCCCTGCTGAGTGATGGCTATGGGACGCCTGGGCTGAATGATTCTAGAAAGTTGGAAGGGATGCTATGGAGAACTGCCTAGGTTGTTCACTGCACAAAGTGCTGGCCAAGGGAGCAAGCAAGGCATAGAATCCAGCCTCGCCTCCACTCTCCAGATTCCATACCTTGCTGTGCGCTGTGCCCAGCGGGGAAAGAGCATTGTCTATTTGTGCCCTGGACGTGGAGGTCTTAGAGAATACGTCCCCCATCCTCCATCCTCCACCAACGTGGAGCCCCAGGAGGGCAGAACCTATGTCTGTACAGTTTCCTGCTGGGTCCCCAGCCCCTTGCATGCCCCATAGTCTATGCTCAGATGGAGTGGCTGAATGTATGAATGAGTAGAATGAATGAATAAAATGTATCCTCAAACGAAGATCTGACTAACTTGAGCCTGCGGCCTGAGTCAGTGGGCCTGGAGGGGTAGCACTGGGACCTCTGGTAGCACCTAGAAGGGGAAGTACCTCCCACCACGCTCCCAGTCCTCCCCTAGACAGGGAAGGTGGGAGCCATGGTACCTGGCGGGAGAGAAGACGGGTTCTGCTCTTACTGGTCCAGTCCCAGGCTGAAGTTGAGACGAATGATCAGGACTCAGAATGGGTGGGACAGAGGAACTGAGGGACAGGTAGACCAGTCGTCTGGGATTCAGGGAAGGTTTCACGGAGGATGTGGGACCAGACAGGTGTGTGTATGTGTGTGTGTCGGTGGGGGTGGGGTGGGGAATACTATCCAGAGGGCAGATGGTGAGTAAAGGCAGGGATGGGCAGAGCGTGTTAAGTGGCAGGAGGCTGAGTGAGGAGAGTTGGACCAGAAGTGGAAACTCCTTCGGGATAAAACTCAGAGAGTAGGACTCAGAAAACTTGTTTCGGGTTTGTCCCCTCCCCTTCCCAGCAGGCAGGATGTTGCACAGGGACAGGCACTAAGCAGACAGCCTAGGGAAGGAGGGCCGGGTGAGGAGGGGGGAGGGTGTCTGCTGGCCTTAAGTGACAATCTGTGTGAGAATCGAAGAGCTGAGAGCTCGGGAGCCATTGTAGGTTCTTGAGCAGGGGTGGCCCAAAGTGGGTGGTGCGGAGGGCGACTGGAGAGGAGGAGTCAGCTGGGGAGTCTGAGCGCGGCGCGGCCCGCGGGATGTTGGGGGCCGGGTTCCCTCCGAGCGCCGTGGTCTCCCTGTCCCGGCGCGGCGGGCCGGGTGGGGCCAGGCCTTGGGAGCGCGCGCCGGATCCCAGCGCCGGGCCGGCGGAGGGGCGGGGCCGGGCACGTGTCCTCGGGCCGCTCCCCCCTCCGCCACGTGACCCGCCCAGGGCAGGGTCGGGGCTGGGCTGGGGGCCGCGAGCCCAGGCGTCTGAGACCTACTGACCGGCCGCGGGCAGGGCTGACAGGCGGTGGGGCGGCTCGGCCCCTGGCGGAGTCGGCGGCGGGCGGGGACGCGGCGCTGGGAGGACGCGGCGGCGCTGGGAACGGACGCCTGGGCGCCCCGAGGCGCCGGGATGTGGAGCGGGTAGGTCCGCGCGCGCTCGCGGTCCCGCGCTGGGTCTGGGCCGCGGTCGCCTCCCGGGACGGGAGGATTTCGGGGGTCCCCGCCGGGTCTGCGCCGCCACCCGGAGGTGCTGTGCGCCCCCGCCCTGCCTGCAGGCGAGCCGACTTGCAGCCAGGAGACTCCGGGGGAGGGGTCGGGGGTGTCTCTCGGGGTGCAGGGTGCGAAGGGTGGGCAGCCGACCGTCCCGGGGTGACAGCGTCAACTCCTCTTAGCTCATCAGGAGCGCAAGTGAGAAGAGTTGGGGTGTGGGGAAGAGTGTGCACGACTCTGGGGCATGCACCTAGAGGAAGGACCCCCAGCCCACCCTCCCAACCTGTCCCTCAACCCCTTCGCTGGATGAACTCTTGGAAAGCAGTGTAGCTGGGAAAGAGGGGCTGGGTCTTTGCCAGGGTGGCTCCCAAGTTGAGGGCAGAACCTCCTTGTGGGGCTCTGGAAGTACGGAGGCTCTCAGAGGTGTGGAGTGGGAACCCCCCCCGCCCCGGCCCCGCAGCCTGGAGTGGGGTAGCAGAGACTCTGGGTCCTGGATTAGTGGCCCCAGTGGCTGTGTCTGTTCAGGCCACTGGTTCTCAGGGGCAGTTGCAGTTCCTGGCCCATCTGATGTGGGACCCCTGCCCTGTATGTGCAGAAAGGTTGTGGTGTTTTTGTGGAGTTGGGCAAACACTTCCTCTTCCCCGTGGCCGGGAAAGACCAGGTCGTGGAGGAAATGTGGCCAGAATGGGGGACAGGTTGTACTCCTGTGCCCCCTGGGCCAGATGAGTGGTCCCAGGAGAGGGCTACTGCCCAGCTACAGCTGGGGAGTGAGGGAAGCCCCCCGGAAAGGCAGGCAGGATCCACTTCACTCCATGGCACCTAGCAAAGGTTGAGCTGCGATGCTAGGGGAGGGATGGCCTTTCATCCCCAGCAGGGGGTGTGGAGAGAGTGGGCTCCTGTTAGGGGTGAGGTGTGGAGAGGCTTGGGACTTTTTTTTTTTTTGAGACGGAGTCTTGCTCTGTCACCCAGGCTGGAGTGCAGTGGCGAGATCTCAGCTCACTGCAACCTCCGCTGCCTGAGTACAAGCAATTCGCCTGACTCAGCCTCCTGAGTAGCTGCGACTACAGGCACACACCACCACACCCGGCTAATTTTTGTATTTTTAGTAGAGACGGGGTTTCACAATATTGATCAGGCTGGTCTCGAACTCCTGACCTCAGGTGATCCACCAGCCTCAGCCTCCCAAAGTGCTAGGATTACAGGCTTTTACCACCACGCCCTGCCCTAAGACTTGAGACTCTTTTTTTTTTTTTTTTGAGACAGAGTGTCACTCTGTCGCCCAGGCTGGAGTGCAGTGGCGCGGCTCAGTGCAAGCTCCACCTCCCAGGTTCACACCAGTCTCCTGCCTTAGCTTCCCGAGTAGCTGGGACTACAGGCGCCCGCCACCACGCCCAGCTAATTTTTTTGTGTTTTTAGTAGAGACAGGGTTTCACCATGTTAGCAAGGATGGTCTCGATCTCCTGACCTTGTGATCCGCCCGCCTCAGCCTCCCAAAGTGCTGGGATTACAGGTGTGAGCCACTGCACCCGGCCTGGGCTTGAGACTCTTAAAGGGAGAGAGTTGAAGGCCACTAGTGTATTTGTTGGCATTGTGCTTGGAGGAAGGAGGCTGGCTTAGGAGAAAGTGCTTGAGGTGGGTTTGTGGTACCTGGAGAGGTTAGGGCAGTCCTGCCCGGGGTGAATTGTGTTTGGGGAGCAGCCTCGTCTGCCGGAAGCCTGTGTCTTGTGCCGGCTGGGTGGACTCAGGCAACACAGCCCCTGAGTTAGTTGCTGTGTGACCTTGAGAGTGTGGACTTCCTTCTCTGGGCCTCTAGGTAAAATAAATGGTTTCTGGGGTGGGAGTGATCGCAGGTCAGAGAATGTCCTTCCCTGGAGGCACCCAGGCCAAGGCCAGACACAGCTGAGAGCCACCAGTAGATGGATGGTTGCTTCAAGGAGAGTCAGAGAGCCTTATATCCTGGGCAGGGACCCCTCCCCACCATCCAGCCCCCCTGCCATATTCCCAGCAACACTCTGGATGAGCCAGCTGCCAGGCTGACCCCCACAGAATCCTCAGTATGGCTCACTTCCTGCATGCACCCCTGCACCCCCAGGGGCCTAGCTGGGTGCTGAGCTCATATCATAATGGGTGCTTCATAAATGCAGATGGAAAGGATGAGGGGCAGTGAGAAGCTGGCGGAAGGGGTGAGGCAGAGCTTGGGGGTTACCTTGAGCTCTGTATTTTTATGGCCCCCCATTTGGGTGAGGAAACAGGGATTTAGAGTCAGGGGCCAAGCTGCTAGCCCCCACTGGGTGCCTGGTGTCCTAGGAGCTCACCCAGACCCCAGCAGCAGTTGGGAGGTGTCCTGTTCAGAGTCATACTTGCCAGGTTACTCTGACCAAGTCTGATGACAGCTCTGGCAGGTGTATATTTGGGACTGTTGATCCTAGAACAGGAGGAGCTGGGATTAGGAGTTGGTGACCCCAGCGGGGCCAGTGATGTTTCTGGGCTTCGTTTCCTCACCTGTGAAATGAACTGAGATCTTTCTCTTGGTGGCTGTGCTTTGTTAATGGCCAGGTCCTGGTCATGGCTCCAGCCCTGGGCTACTCTTCTGGGGTGGGCGGCAGTGGCTGGACTCTGCCACAGCCTGGGTGGGTCCTCTTCTTTGGGACTCCTGAGCATGGGCCCTGAACTCCAAACCCAGAGGCAGCTCCAGTCTGACTTTAGGTGCCCCTCCAAACTGGGTTGTCCCCCTTCCGATTCCCCACAGTTTCACACATTCATAGTTTTGGGTGCCAAGCCTGCTCCAAGGTGACGAGGTGAGGACAGCGTCTTGAGTACTTCTGTATCTAACATGGTGCTGGACACTTGGGACTTGGTCAGCAGAAGCCAGCGTTCAAGTTTCTGCATGACACTGTTCCAGCCCCCTGGTCTCAGTTTCCCCAGAGACGGGGCTCATCATACCTATGGCTAGAGAGGGCCAGGCATTGATGGATGGCCCAGGAATGAGATGAGACCACTCCAACCTCCCAGGGGTTGGGGAGCATGTTTTTGCGGCAGGCAGGGCTGTAGGGGCCATCAACTGGCTGTGTGATCCTGAGCAAGTCACTTCACTGCCCTGGGCCTTGGCTATTCTAAGGGCATGGATCTGTGGGCTCCTGCCTGTAAGGCCCAAGTCACAGGGGACTAGAGGCCGTGAGACAAGAGTCTGAAGTATGGCCCGAGGGCTCCAGGTCAGGCACACAGGCCTCTTCATTGGGAAGGGGTTGTATAACCCTCACTGTTGCTGCTCCCTGGAAGCCCTCCGTGATCTAACTGCCTACTCTACCCCTCAACAGGTGGAGATCTTTCCTGCTGTTCCTTAATCAGGACATGGGTGTTGGGGGCAGACATCCTCATTAGAATCCTGCTTGTCCTAGACCCTCCGAGCTCTGCACATGATTTATGCCCAATAGGTCTTTGGAAATGAGGTAGCGGGAGGGAGATGCAAATCAAAATAGGATATGGTAAGAAGGGGGCTGCCTGGTCGTGCAGATTGGATGGATCATGGCTGGTGGGGTGCCTGGCACATAATGGGTGCTCAGTATACACACTAGCTATTGGAGGTCTTCGGTGTCAATTCTTGGACTGAATGGGCAGGGTCGCCACAGGCGCATTTGAGGATGTACTGCGTGCCCAGCCCTGTAGAAGAGTAGTGAGATGCGCCCCCTCCTAGGCCCTGTGCTGGCTCCCATGGAGAGACAGGGCTGGATTCCCCCGCCAGGGGTGGGCTGGACTGGCCTGGTGGCCTGGGGCTATGGCCGGCGGAGGCGTGGCCTGACTCACCTGCTTTAGGTGTTCTGATCTGCTTCCCATCCCCAGCTGTTCCTGACCTTCTCCCCCACTCCTCCTCCATGGTCTCTACTAGGACATGCTGTTGTGCCCTTCTCCCTACTCTGGCTCCCCTTCCCCTGTGGCCCAGGCCCACCTTGGTTCCCACCTGTCCCTTTGTCCCCTCCTTGACTTGAGCTCATTGGTTCCTGGCCCAATTCAGTGAGACTCATGACGATCTCTTTCATCCCCGGGTCCCAGACACTCTTCGGCTCTGGTGTCCAACACTCTCGTCCTTTCTGGCTCTCAAGCCCTTGTCCTCCCTGACAGCCCCTCATCCAGGCTCAGGCTGCAGCTGCTCCCCGAAACCAGTGCCACTCGACAGCGTCACCCCATCCTGCCTATTCCCCCTCAGCTGCCTACGGGACGTGCCACTTCCCAGATGCCTCAGCCACCCACTTTCCTGTCCCTGAAAGACCCCCTCCCAGTTCCTCACTCCCAGCATGGGTACCGCTGTTCTCAGCTTTCACCTTTTCCTTAGTTTTGAATTATCTTAATTATTGTTATTGCTTTTTCCTGCCCCCCCATCCAGCCCCTGTTCCTCCCACAATTCCCCCTTCCCATCTTTGTTTCTGTGTGTCCCCTCTGCTGTCCCCTCTTAGCCCAGGTCCTGCCTGGCTGTACAGCATTCTTGGGTGGCACCTCCAGTACTTGGGCGCTGTCTCAGACTTCCTCAAACCCCATCTGCCTCTTGCCTCACTTCTCCAAAACCGCCATTCATCCCCTTTCCTCTGGGTGACAGGCCACGTGATACGCTATGCCTGTACTCTGCATTCAGTTCCCATCCTGCCACTTCCTTGCTGTGCATTCTGGCCAGGTCACCATCCCTCTCTGAACCTCAGGGGCCTCATCTGGAAACCAGGTGGAGGAGCGCATCTCCCTGCAATTGTCCCGAGCTTCCAGGCCATGACACCTGTGGAGTGGTGGGCTGGCGTGGATGTGGCCTAGCGCTTGGGAACCTGACATGCTTGTGGGTTTGGGGCTGAAGACTTGGCCGCTCTCTAGGGGAGCCAAGCTTTGCTGGGCTTGCAGGCTGGCCTGAGAGCTGGCCCACCAACCCTTTCCTGGGACTCCCTTGGTCCCTGGATGTTAATCACATGGCTGTGAGCCTCCGTCCCCTCAGTGTCACCGCAAAGGCTGAGCGTGAATCTGAACAGGCCCCTGTGCCAAGGCACCGCCCCGGGGAGCCAGGCCCTGGGTCGGGGTTTCTGCAGCCTCCCTAGAGGCCTGGGCCCTGGCAGCCCGCTGAGTGGTCCCAGTGTGCCCTCCCAGCCGTCTCCTTCGTCCAGTTTCAGAACCACCCTTGCTGTCCCCTCCCCTGCTTATTGAATGAATCCATTGTGCCCATGACCAACAGGGGTCTTTAGTTCCAGGAGGTAACTGGACAGGGTCATCTTGGGCACTGGTTGAGGAATAGGCTGGTCTGGCCACTGGCCAGGCCCTGCTGGCTTGGGGACACTGAGAGACCGAGGGCCACGGAGTCTAGGTCTCCTTCTTATTTTGTGGGTCGGGGCAAGAGCCCTGCTGGCCCTCCTAGGGTGGGCCTGGTGGGGTGAGGATTGTGGTTACTGCATTTTCTTTTGGTTGTGTGTTTCCTGGGGAAGTGACCCGTGGGGCCTTTCCTGTATGAACTGCCTGGGCCTCTCGGCAGTGGGAGCTGGCTTTGGGATGGGGGATGTTGGCTGGGTGCCCCATCTACCTCTGACCTTGACTCCTACCCTCTGAACAGGCTCCTTTCCAGAGGCATCTGTGGCTCATCTCAGATGCTGGGCTCTGTTTCTGCAGGGAACGGGGACTGAGGAGGTTTGTACAGAGAGCGGTGGACCCGGACTGAGGAGGGTAGGGACGCTGGGCAGCAGAACATTAAGTGGTCCCTGCTTGCCCCACGACTGAGTTCACCACTGACTTGGGTGTTCACAGCCAGGTTTTCAGGCCTCTGGTCTGGGAGGCTAAAGTGTGTGTGAGATTGGAGATTCTGGCTTGGGCTGGACCCGAGGAGCCCAGGGTCCCTTCTTTGAAATTTCTGAGTCTCAGGAGTTGGCCTTGCAGCCTGGAAATGAGGAGGAAGAGGGTCTGCAGATTCTGGCTACCCTCCAAGGGCAGGTCAGGCCCTTCTTCCCTCCTGCTCCTGCCACCTTTGGCGTTGGGGAGTTGGTGGCTACTGGGTGGTCCCACTGTTCCCATGTTCCCACACTTCTTGCCATTGGGATTTGGCCTTGGGCTCTTCTACTGGGGGTGATGGGAAGGATGTCACAGACTCTGTCACAGGCCTCCTGGACCACTGTTTCCTCTGGCTACAAAATTGGGCCCTGTCCCCACTCTGCCCCACAAGGCAAAAATGAGAGCCTGTTGGGAAAATGGTGAGGTCAGCCAGCCACACCTCCAGCCTATGTGCTTGGGACCAGCAGGAGAGAGAGTTAGTCTTTCACTGTGGCCAGAGGCCCAGACCACACTGGTGGATGAAGCTCGGCCCCCATGGGAGGGCCGGCAGCCTGGTTCTCCTCGGTCAGGGCATAGGCAATTGCAAGAGTCCTCTGTCCTGTCCTGTGCTGTCACCTCTTGCCCTTGGCCTGCAGTGAGCAGCCCCCAGCCCAGCCTGAGTGACTATGGCCATCCTGTCCTACCTGAGGACTTGGGCCATGATGATTAAGGTGGGGACACATATCCATCACTCCATCAACAGTGTCTGTGCCAGACAGGGCTCTCAATACCCTTGTTCGGGGAAGTCTTCTTGGCAAGGGTCCACAGGCCTCCAGTTTAAGCTGTGGGACCCAGAGCCCAGGCAGGCTTCGTGAGTGTCTCAGCCAAACATGGCTGTGGATTGAACATGATTCACCCAGCACCAGGTCAGGACTGCTCTTAGAGCTCTTGATTCTTAGAGCACCTCCTGCAGGATTTCAGCTCCTATCCCTCAGGTGCAGAAGCAGGTTCAGAAAATTTCAGTAGCATTCTCAGGGGCTCATGTGTACCCCAGGTCAGAGGCTGACATGGACCCCAGGCTTGCCCCATCTGGCCTGTTCTCTCTGCCACAGCTCCCCCTGCCCAGGCCCTGCCTTCTGGAAAGGGGGTTTCTGGGCCTGCGCAGAGTCTGAGAAGCCAGTTCGGGCCAGAATTGGGTCAGATTTCCCTACTGCAGCCAAAGAGGAGCCTCCGAGTCTCCCTGGGCCCAGCAGCGCTTTATCTTGAAGCAGATGCGCCGATTCCAACACTCACACTCCGCACCCACCTGCCCTTCCCCTGCAGCGGGGAAGCTTTGGGCCTGGGCTTGAAGACCTGGCCACCTGTCCCAGCACTGTCACTGACCAGCTGCGTGACCCCTGACAAGTCCCTTCACTCTGTGAGCCTCCGTCCCCTCATCTGTAGAATGGGACAATACCACGAGTGCTGTTGAGAGAGTTTTATGTTTGTTTGTTTGTTTTGAGACAGAGTTTCGCTCTGTCACCCAGGCTGGAGTGCAGTGGCACAATCTTGGCCCGGCTAATTTTTGTATTTTTAGCAGAGATGGGGTTTCACCATGTTGACCAGGCTGGTCTCGAACTCTTGACCTCAGGTGATCCACCTGCCTCAGCCTCCCAAAGTGCTGGGATTACAGGCGTGAGCCACTGCACCCAGCTGCTGTTGAGAGAATTTTAAAGGAGACAGCGTGGTCAGAGACCTGTGGAAGAGTCTGGCAGAGTGAGTCCCCAGGGCACAGACCCCAGCCCAGGGCTCCGCCATAGCTCTCAGGCTGCGGGGAACCCTTGCCAACAAGACTTCCCCAAACAGGAGTATTAGGAGAGAGCCCTGTCTGGCATAGACACTGTTGATGGAGTGATGGATATGTGTCCCCACCTTAATCCTCAAGACCCACATCCCTGCCAGGCAGGACCCAGCTTGAGGAGCCTTGAGGCCACACTCTGGGCCGGTTCCAGAGCAGAGGGCAGGTGGGGCTGGGCAGCTGGACCGGGCTGTGTGAAGGGACTCATTGCTGGAAGTGGGCTCCTTGCAGGAGTCTCTGGGGGCCCATTTTCTGTGTGTTAACCAAGGGAGAAACTGAGGCTCAGGGGCTGCTTGGTGACCTTCCCAAGGTCCTGAGGACAGGGAGGGGAGACTGGTCCACAGACTTGCCTCTCACTCCTCCCTCTGCCTCAGCCGTCCTGAGTCCCACTTTCTCCTTGGCCTTGCCTTCCCCCTCTGGTGCAGCCTCCCTGAGCCCCTCCCCCCAACTTCCCTCACTGATATCAGTGGCCCGCCCAGCCCCCCATCCCCAGCCCTGGTTGCTGCGGCTCAGAAGCTGCTGGCTCAGGAGCCTCCAGCTTTTGCTGAGTGAGCGAGTCCAGAGGTGCTGTCTTGGCACAAAACACCGCTGGCCGGGCCCTCGCCCTCCCTTCCCTCTCCAGGGTCCACTTTGGAGTGGAGAGTGTGGGTGGGGGCGGAATGAGGCCTCACACCACCTCCAGGGTCTTCAGCTTCAGGGAAGGGAGGGTCCTGAGGCCCAGAGAAGGGGGTGTTTGCCTGAGGTCACAAGGCAGGCCAGGGGAGAGCTGGGACTGCTCCCCACCAAGTCCAGGGGGACAGGAAGTGGGTCTGTCTTGTCCAAGCTGTTTGCAGAATCTTCCTGCCTCAGCCCTGCCTGCCCTGGCCTCATCCTTCCTCTCTGGTCCACCCTGAAAGGGGCAGAATTCGCATTAACTGTATCAGTGAAGGCAGCTCCTGCTTGAGTGCATCCGAGGTGTCAAGGTTTTACCCACACCTCCTCTGATCATTCAGTGACCTTTGAGGTAGGGCCATTGGAATAGGCTTCACTTAATACAAGTGGGACTCAACCCTGATGCATTTACAGTCACCTGTTAGACAAAGACGCTGACCACCTACTGTGTGCTGAGCACCTACTGCATGTGCCAAACACAGCCCTCAGCCCTGGGCTGGAAGGGGTGGTTGACAAAGAGTAATAAGCCTCTTGCCCCAAGAGACTTTGTGCTTGGACATTTGCCCTTGTAACAACACTGATGATAGCTGGTAGGGTCCCAGTTTTCAGATGGAAAGGCTGAGGCTCAAGTGGCAGGCACATTGCCCCGGGGCGGTTTCTGGACTCAGCTCTCCAGGCCTCAGGACCCCACCCTGAACCTGCTGATACCCTTGTTTGTCTCCAGCCCACCCCAGCCAGACCAGGGCCTCCCGCCGCCCCTTGCAGCTGTCCCGGTCCCCTGGAAGAGCACGGACCCCTGCCAAGGCCACAGGGAGTCCCCAGGAGCCCTGGTGGAGACCTCTGCAGGGGAGGAGGCCCAAGGCCAGGAGGGCCCCGCAGCCGCCCAGCTGGACGTGTTGCGCCTGCGCAGCTCTTCCATGGAGATCCGAGAGAAGGGCTCCGAGTTCCTGAAGGAGGAGCTGCACAGAGCGCAGAAGGTGGGTGCCTGCAGTAGGCTGGGGGGTCTTCGGTGGGGAGAAGTCAGGTTGGGAGAGCTGTGGGCTCTCATCAGGTGCCCAGAGATGTGCCCAAGGGAGAGGGATGTGCCCTCACCGAGGCCAGCTGCTGGCCAGGCCTGTACTGGGCGCACCGATGGTCACCCGTCTTGACTGCAAACGTGCCCTGAGCTCTGATGAACTGGCAGGCAGGGCTTCAGCTTCATGCTGTGGCTAAACGGAAAAAGCATCACAAACTGTCAGGCACCAGAGGAAATAAACTCTGAGCCCCACATAAAATGACGAGGGGATGGAACCTGGTCCGGTGGGCCTGGTCCCTCCCGTGCCAGGCCTGGGGATGCTGAGGTGCTCAAGTGCCTGCCTCTTTTCCTCCAGGAGCTGAAGCTAAAGGACGAGGAATGTGAGCGGCTGTCCAAGGTGCGGGAGCAGCTAGAACAGGAGCTGGAAGAGCTGACGGCCAGCCTGTTTGAGGTACACCGGCTGGGCGCGGGAACAACTTGGGGAATGGGTCATCTGGGCGTCCGTTGGCTCCTCACCACTCACGCAGGGACTGCCTTCTTCCTAGGAAGCTCACAAGATGGTTCGAGAAGCCAACATGAAGCAGGCGGCATCAGAAAAGCAGCTGAAGGAGGCTCGGGGCAAGGTGAGGCCCATCCCCGCCTGCCCAGGCCAGCCCAGGCACCCCCCCTGCCTCCCGGCTCAGCGAGCACTGAGCTTTGCTGCCCGAGTGGACGCTCACCTGGCCCGGTGGGGCCAGCAGGAATGGGTGAACCTAGGCCCAGGGAGGGAAGGGAAGGGTGGGGGTCTGAGATCACAGGGCCCAGTGTCCCGGGGCTCCATCAGTGATTCTGCTGCATGGCAGAGCCTTTTCTGGGATAGTGCTGGGGCTGGGAGGACCCTGTGATTATTGTACCTTCTTCCCTCTCCTCCCAGCCCCACTTTACAAAGCAGAAACCTCACTCAGTATGGCTGTCTGAGCCTGGGCAAGTCGCTTCCTCTCTCCAAGCCTGGTTGCCCATCTGCAAAATGTGAGGCCTGGGCCTTTCCTGGCTCCTGGGGGCGGTCCCAGAACTCTCATGGGAGGCCCAGCCAGCTCCCAGACACTTGTTCCTAACAGAATCCTGCTCACAGAGTGACCTTGGGCAGGCCATGTCGCCTCTGTGAGCCTCAGTTTCCCTATGTGTAAAACGAGTGTCTGGGTCTCTGCCTCGAAGGCTGTTCTGAGGGCGTCGGGTGGGACTAAGTGCCTGTCACTGCAGGGGTGCATTGTCCTGAGTTAGGCTGATAGGCGGTGGCAGCCAGGATGGCATCCAGTCTGGGTGAGGGTTGACAGCCATCCCATCCCATGCAGATCGACATGCTGCAGGCAGAGGTGACAGCCTTGAAGACGCTGGTCATCACGTCCACACCAGCCTCTCCCAACCGCGAGCTTCACCCCCAGCTGCTGAGCCCCACCAAGGCCGGGCCCCGAAAGGGCCACTCTCGCCACAAGAGCACCAGCAGCACCCTCTGCCCCGCCGTGTGTCCCGCTGCGGGACACACCCTCACCCCAGACAGAGAGGGCAAGGAGGTGAGGGTGGGAAGCGGGCTCTGGGCACGGGGAAGGGTGGCAGTGCCTGCGGTAGGCAGGGTCCGAGCCCAGTGAGGACCAGCCTGCCCCATGCTGTGTGACCTGGAGCCTGTCCTGCGCCTCTCTGGGATGTGAGGGCTGGGCAGGTCCTTTCTCTCCAACCTCCTGTGATCTGAGGCACTTGGCCTGCAGCCTCCAGGGTATACCATCTGGGGACCTGAGGCCCCCTCCCTGCCCCACTGACTCCAAGCAGTAGGTAGTGGTCTCTGCACCTGAGGCTGGCTTTGGCCCTGAGGATCTGGGGCCTCCACTGAGACACACACTTCCTTGGCCTTAAGAGGCCAAGCAGCAGCCACTGGGCCTCAGGGGAGAGGCTGCCTGGACCCCGTGTGGCCACAGCCTCGAGCCCCAGGACCACCTGGTGACAGCCCTGTGCTCAAGGGGTTTCTGGCACCCTCTGACTGTGGGGCTGAGACAAGCGTGGCCTTTGGAGAGGTGTCTCCGTCCCACCTCAGCTGGCCACACCAGTTGCTGGGCCCAGGCTGGGCTGACACTCATGGTCATGGGTCTGTAGGCAAATGAGGCCACCTGTCAGCACCTCAGCTTTCTCACCTGATAAATGGGGCCTCCCGGGGCTGCTGGAGGAACCAGAGACAGGGACATCAAGAGCTGAGTTCAAGGCTGCACCCAGGTAGTGCCTCAGAGGGCTGTGGTGCCTTCAGCTTCCTGGGTCCCTGGCGCCAGCCCACTCGACTCCATCCTGGCTTCCACCTCTGTCTCCAGGGCCTCCAGGGAAGACGAGCAGGCCCTCATCCACCTCCTGAGCTCTGAGCTTCTGAATGTACATTAACTTCTCCCCTTCCTCCTGTTCTGTCTCTGTGCACCTGTCTACCTGTCTGTCTGTCTGTCTGTCTGTCCATCCGGCCCAGCCCGGGCTGGCCCCGCTGCTCTCCCTGCTCCTCTGCGTGGTCCCCAGCAAGGCGGTTCACCTCACCTACGAGCCGGCCTGGCCGCTCCCACCTGGGGAGCCCCCAGCCCCTGCCTCCACTCCCTCTCCCTCCTTTTCCCGACAGGTAAATGGCTCCAAAGAGGGGCCTCCCACTTTGCCCCCTCCCAGCCTCCCTCATTCTGCATGTGGCCTGGAGCAGGCCAGCAGTCACCTCTGAGGTGTGGGCCCAGGGCAGCCTGTGTGTGTCCCCTCCTGTGTGCACGTGCTTGTGTGTGCTTGTGTACCTGCTGGTACCTGTGGCCTCCTGCTAGTTGCTCTTTGACTTTTCCTCCTCAAGGAGGCACTGAGGGTCTTCAGGACAAAGCCCTGCACCCCACTCTAAAATCCAGTAGCGCCAAGAAATTTAACACCGGCCTGGAAACAAAACTTTTAGTTCTAAATTCTTTGGTGCAAAGGGCAGAAGGGAGCTCTGCTGCTGCTGGACTTGGCTTCCCTGCACGGCTGCTGGGGATCGACCTGCTGGCTTGCTGGGCCTGCCCCACGTCCTCCCTCGCTCCCCTTCAGCTCAGCCTGCATCTTCTATGCTGGCCCCAGTACCCTGACCGCCCCCACCCTCGCTTGCCCTCCCCCACAGGTGGACACAATCCTGTTTGCAGAGTTCCAGGCCTGGAGGGAATCCCCCACCCTGGACAAGACCTGCCCCTTCCTGGAAAGGGTGTACCGAGAGGACGTGGGCCCCTGCCTGGACTTCACAATGCAGGAGGTGAGGCATGGCAGGGGCGGGGCCAGCTGGGGGACACACCCCTCCGCCAGGGCCCAGCCCCTTACCACCCTGCCTGCCTCCCTGGTCTGCCACAGCTCTCGGTGCTGGTACGGGCCGCCGTGGAGGACAACACGCTCACCATTGAGCCGGTGGCTTCGCAGACGCTGCCCACAGTGAAGGTGGCCGAGGTTGACTGTAGCAGCACCAAGTAAGCTGAGGGTCTTAGCTCCTTCCTGCCCATGTGGGAAAGCCCCGCCAAGCCGTGTGTTTACTGTGCCGAGGGGTGGTCAGGATGCAGCAGCGCCGACAGGACAGGGACAGTTGCTGCCCCCACAGGGCAAGGAGGCAGTTTGGCAGGTTTCCTGTGGACCCCCAGGCTTTCCAGAGAGGCCGGGAGCTAGGGTCTGCCTCTTCCTGACTGGTCTGCTCTGTGCCCTCCCCTTCTTTTCTTGAACCATGATTATCAGTTGCTGGCTGTGCCCCTGCCAATAAATAACGACGCAGTAGCCCTGGCATTTGTCCTCCAGCTACTCACCTGGCATTGAGCAGGGGAGCAGCAGAACAAAATAGCCAGGGTGGAGCAAGGGGCAGAAATTGGGGAGGATTTCACCTTGGCAGCCAAGAGCCTGGCTGGGGATGGCTGGTGCCCTGGTGGGAGGCTCATCACGGAGAGGGAGCATTTGAGCCAGGTTTTGAAGGATGAATAGAAGTTTGCCAAGCAGGGAAGGGCATTTCAGGCAGAGGGAACGGAATGTGCAAAGGTGTGAGAAGCTGGAGTATTAACGGAAGCACCACTGGGGCATCTGGCTAAGCAGTGGGGGGACAGGGAATTGGGGTGGAGGCTGCAGAGGCTGTTGGGGCCAGAGTATAAAGAGCCTTCACAGGTTTGGGCTTTAACCCACCAGCCAGTGCGGCAAAAGTCATCAATAGGCCGGGTGCAGTGGCTCACACCTGTAATCCCAGCACTCTGGGAGGTTGAGGCGGGTGGATCACTTGAGGTCAGGAGTTTGAGACCAACCTGGCCAACATGGAGAAAACCCCATCTCTACTAAAGATATAAAAGTTAGCCGGGTGTGGTGGCACACGCCTGTAATCTCAGCTGCTCGGGAGGCTGAGTCAGGAGAATTGCTTGAGCCTGGGAGACGGAGGTTGTGGTGAGCTGAGATTGCACCACTGCACTCCAGTCTGGGTGACAGAGTGAGACCCTGTCTCAAAAAAAAAAAAAAGTCATCAATAGCTGCCACCTGAAAAGAGGCTCTCTGGTCCATCAGAGAGTCCCAGTGAACCAGGAGGCAACAAATGCTCTGATAAGTCCGCAGCCAAGGAGCTTTTTAAACCTTCATTTATTTGGGATTCTCCCCATTTCTTGGGAATTAGGAAAGCAAGAGAGAAAGATGATGGGTTAGATGTGGGTTTTTGGAGGAGCCCTGGCTCTGATGTGGAGAAGAAAGAGAGCGATGAGGCAGAGAGCTGGCCAGAAGGAGCCAAGGGGATGCAGGCCAAAAGTACTGCTGCTGTGCCCTGGCCTGGGGACTTGGTGACCAAGCAGAGGGTGAGGAGGAGAGAGCCGAGCAGATGATGGCCAGTGAAGAGCAGGTTTGGGGAGTGGGGCCCAGATGGGGGTTGCTCAGGGCCTGTGGAGACCCTTCATGTGGGTGGCTGAAGATGCTGAGCGACGTCATGCAGGACTGGGGGGAGGAGAGAAGAGGGCATGGGAGAAGGCTCTTAGACGGGGTTGGTTGGCATGCGGCTGAGAACCATGGGGGTTAGTGGGGTCAGAAGGCCTGCATGGATGAAGCAGGGGAGCTGCTGGATGTTGGGAAGCGGGAGGCAGCCAGACCTCAACTCTGGCCTAGTTGGGGGAGGAGTGCCTGGTCTGAGTCCCCAGAAGTAGAGGGAGAGGCATATGCAGAGCCTGCAGAGGGTGGGACTTTGTACACCTGGCATGAGATTAACCAAGCTCTCTTGCCCAGTAGGGGCAAAACAAGGGTTCTAGGGGTACAGCTCAGCTTAGTTCGAGGTCTGTCCCAGGGATGGCTGGGGCCAGCTCCCTTCTCTGCCTGGCTCTGGGTTCCTTTGGAAGCCGGGTGGGGGAAGGGAGGCCTGCCCCTCCCCATGCATCCTCTCAGCTGCTGCATCTTCCCTGTATGCAGGGGTGAGGGAGAGGGGCAAGCCCCAGCCAGCCCCCGTGACCCATTTTGCTTTCCCCTAGCACATGTGCCCTGAGCGGGCTGACCCGCACCTGCCGCCACCGAATCCGGCTCGGGGACTCCAAAAGCCATTACTACATCTCGCCATCTTCCCGGGCCAGGGTGAGTCAGCCTTTGCAAGCGTTACTTGACTCCTTTGGGGCCACCTGGGTGCTGGGACACTGGGCCCTGGGCCTGGGAGTATGAATAGCACTACACCTTGATTTACTTATTTTATTTATTTATTTTTTGAGACAGAGTCTTTGTCACCCAGGCTGGAGTGCAGTGGCACAATCTCAGTTCACTGCAATGTCTGCCTCCCAGGCAGACATTAGCAATTCTCCTGCCTCAGCTTCCCAAGTAGCTGGGATTACAGGCATGTGCCACCACGCCCAGCTAATTTTGTATTTTTAGTAGAGATGGGGTTTCACCACGTTGGCCAGGCTGAACTCGAACTCCTGGCCTTAAGTGATCTGCCTGCCTCGGCCTCCCAAAGTGCTGGGATTATAGGTGTGAGCCACCACGCCCAGCCTTACATCTTGATTTACAGAGCAGGGTACAGGCTCAGAGAGGCGCAGAGACTGACTCGGGCCACACAGCCAAGCCAAGGGCAGTGGTTTGCTATTACGGTGTAACAAATTACTATCAACCTGGTAGCTTAAAATAGCGCAGTTCCCCATGTTGGAGTCTAAGCACTACTTACTTACTGGATTCTCTGCTCAGGGACTTGCAAGGTCGCAGTAAGCTGTCAGCAGACTGTGTTCCTTTCTGGAAGTCAGGGTCCTCCTCAAAACTCACATTGTTGGCAGCATTCAGTTCCTTGTGTTTGAAGGACTGAGGCCCCTATTTTCTTGCTGGCTGCTGGCAAGGGGACACCCTCAGCTTCTAGAGGACACCCGCAGTCCCCTGCCACAGGGCCTTGTTGCACAGGGCAGCTGACTTCAGAGCCATCAGGAGGGCCACTCTCCAGTCGGCTGAGATGCAGCCTTATGTATGAAATGTCATGGGATGACATCGCCCCCCTCTGTCATTCAATGTCACCTAATCCAGGAGTGATGCTAGAGTTCCAGTTAGAGTGCGGGGCTCCTGACGCCCAGACTCAGGTGCTGGCCGAAGCTTTGGAAAAGGTTCAGCGGTGCGTCTGGTGCACCAGCCTTAAGTCGGCCGTGAGTGCCAAGGGGCCTCTAGGAATCCCAGCTCCCACCCTCCCCTGCCGAGTGACCCAGACCAGGACAGGGGTTCTCACCAAGCTGGGGATTGAGGACAGGGATTCCTCTTCCTCTGTCCCTCTGTTGACTCTTAAGAGGATTGAGGGGAACAAGAGAACATGTTTGGAAACACGTTTCCAGTGACACAGCTTGAGGAACCATCTCAGGCCTGCTAGAGGCTCCTCGCAGGGGAGCAGGTCTAAAGGGGACAAATGGTCCCTTTGCTGGCAGCAGACTATACTGTCCTTGATGAACTCCACAAGGCATCCGAGCGTGAGTCCTCCCAGCGGTGTGCTGAGCACCCATTTACCAAAAGGGAGGCTGAGCCTTGGCAGAGGAAAGGGGTGTGTTCAGGGCCACACACCGAGACCTGGGATCCTGGCTCTGAGTCCACTGCAGCCCCTACCCTGTGGATTTGTGCCCACTGAGCCTTGTTCAGTGGCCACTTATCTCCATCACCGCTTTCCAGGCCCAACCATGGCTCAACAGCAGGCCCCACAAAAGATGTTCCCGTGCTCAACAATGTCACCTCTAGCACTTTAAGTCCCTGGCCTGGGTGTCCTGCTGCACTGGATGAAGCTGGGGGTGGGAGATGAGGTGAGGAGGGTCTGAAGTTTTAGGATGTGGTCCCTGCCCTGAAAGACCAAGACATGTGGGGTCCACAGGGAGAAGTGTTTTCTCCCTAGCACACTCCCTGGAGAGGGAAAGCCCCCTCCCTGCTACTCCCTGCTCATGAGCCTCTGTGGGCATCCACTGTCCCTGCTCCTGTCCTGAGCTCTGCCCTGCCCCACCCTCCTGCCGCAGCCTCTCCTCAACCCTCCCTGTGCAGCGGTGTCCCTGCCACGACGGGCTGGTCCCCCGACCTCGCCCCGCTCTCTCGCACCTCCCTATCTTTGCCAGGCCACCACCGTCCCGCCCCTCCCCGAAGCTTCTCCACTCCCCAGCCTGCGGGTGCCCCTCTCACTTGATGTCCCTCCCCAGGAGTGTTGGACATTCAGTAGGGGCTGTTGCGGGCGGGCACAGCCGCCGGCTACCTTCCACCCTGTCTTAGGCTGGGTTCCGAAGAGGCAGAGCCTCACCTGGAGATTGTGTGCAGCTCCCAGGAGAATGAGGGAAGGGACGGGGGAGTCCAGCCAGGATGTGGCCTTAGCTACAGCCCAGCTTCAGCCCCATCCACCGGGCTCTTAGCAGAGTTGATTCCACCCTGAGGCAAGGGGACTGTCCTTTCTATCTCCACACAAGTCAGTCATCGGCTGAGGTCTACAGGAGGAGTGAGTACAGAGGGGGGCACCTCTGAGCCATTAGTGCCCCCACTCTCAGCAGCTGGGAGATGGGGCCCGGGCCTGGGAAGGGGCCCTGGGCCAGGCACCAACAGTACCCTCTCCGTGGTGTGAGTCCTCATAGCAGTGTCTGAGCCAACACAGGGTCCCCGGGGCCTGGCATGGAGCAGGCCTGAGGCCCCAGGGGCCCCGGGCAGCCCAGGTGAGCGGCTTCTGACCCCCTTTCCTTTCCCAGTGTTATCAGTAGCACTGGACTGAGGCCTGGCTGGCCCAAAACTCCAGCATCTGGAGCAAGCCGGCCTGTGAGAGGGCGAGTGTAGACTCCGGGACAGCCTGCCCGGTTCATCTCACAGCTCTGCTGCATGCTGGTTCATTAGCTCCGCCATCTCCGTGATGGATGTCAGCGGCTTTCCCCGGGTGGCTCCGCTTTCCCCCATGTAAGATGGAATAATAAGCGCGTCTGCTCCGTTCGCTGCAGGCGCTTGATGAAATGGCTGCTGCTGCTGCTGCTGCTATTACAGCAGGGCTAGTCATGCTGTTGTTGATTACTACTTGAAAGCCCAGTCCCAGCTGAGTCAGGGAGCACTGCCTGGCTCTGCAGGGACCTGGGGCCTCCTGCTCTGGACTCAGATCCGCCTGTCAGGGGACCCCCAGCGTGGGGCTGGCAGGTCACACCGTCCCCACCTCTGCCCACAGATCACCGCAGTGTGCAACTTCTTCACCTACATCCGCTACATCCAGCAAGGCCTGGTGCGGCAGGACGGTGAGCGCCCCCTGGTGGCCGGTGCAGGGATCGCACACGGGAGTGGGGCTGGATGGGGAAGTGCCCTCTGGGCCCACCTGCCCCTAGTGGAGGCAAGACTCAGCTAGGAGGCTGGGGAGCGGGGAGGGTTGTGGTTTAGTAAAGCGTTCACAAACTTCCTGGGTGCTGAGCTCTGTACCTGAGTCCGTCCGGCTGGTCTTTCTCCTGTCCCCAAACCTCTCCCGGCCCCGCACAAGGGGGCCACCCCTGTGAATCTCTCCCTGGCCCTGGAGGTGGTGGCCCCTCCTCCTGGTCACCTGAACACAGGGTCACCCACCTCCAGCCTTTGCTCCCACTCCACTCCATGCTGGACAGGGCCTCCCTCCACCCCCTCCCCCCACAGCCCATTCTGCAAGGCCTGGCTCCCCGCTCCTCCACCAACCTTTGCTCGCTGCTGAGTCTTCTCCTGAACCAGTCTGGCCCGACCCTCTGAGTAAGGAGCTATCTCCTCTCCATCCTGGGGGTCAAGTCCTCTTGGAGGCCAAGGCCAAGGCATGCTGGGTGTTGACACCTGCTAGGTCCCTGGATGGCCGCTGTGGTCCCCGCCTCACTGCGCAGGGTCCTTGTGAGACCCCAGGGAGGCATCTGTGCCTTGTCTAATGTAGTTCCCAGGTCTGGACCACCGCTGTGGCATGTGACAGCGTGTACCTGCTTGTCTGCGTCGGGCTGTGGGGGTGGCCGTCAGTGTAGTGCAAACAGATCCCTCGGGTGTGGTCGGCACTCAGCAGTTTCCAAGGCTCAAGAGTGGAGCCTCAGAGAGGTCCAGCCACTCACTGAGGTCATCTGTTTTGGGGGCCGGGGACCCTAGGGTGCTGTGCCAGCTGCTCTGTCCAAAGCCACAGGAGGGGACCTGGCCATCTGCCCGAGGTGACCCTGAGCTGTCCCCGACCTGTTCACCCTCTCTCTGCCTGCAGCAGAGCCCATGTTCTGGGAGATCATGAGGTTGCGGAAGGAGATGTCACTGGCCAAGCTCGGCTTCTTCCCCCAGGAGGCTTAGGGCGCGGCCCAGGCCTGAAGGGGAGCTCTGAGACAGAGCAAACACCCACCCCAGAACAAGCCGACACACAGGGAGACGGGGGCCTGGAGCCAGCCCTGAGCCAGAGGCAGAATGGATGGACAGACAGGCCATGGAGGCAGCACTGAGCCAGCACCACACGTCCATCCTGGGACAGACGGGCCTGGACTTCACGGCAAGACCCCCCTCTCTTCCCCACTGGGTTCTGCCACCACCAGGAGGATTTCAAGAAAGCACCAAAGACCAGGGAGCTCGGATCCATACTCGGGGGGCCTCAGCCCTTGGGAGGGGACACCTGAGGCAGCCAGCGCCCCCTCCCCAGTCCCCAGAACTGCCTGCAGGTGCCTTGTTGCTGGCTTGTCTTCAGAAAGGGACTGTTCTGGGTGGCTGGATCTCCAGGGTACCCTCCACCCCAGCTGCCAAGCCCTGGGCCAGCAGCACCCCCTTGTGGCCATCCTGTGCCTTGTTCCCGGTGGCCTCCCTATTGGACTACTAGGAGGGGCTGGCAGGGCCTCCATAGCACAGAATTGCCCCAAAGCCTTGTTAAGATGAGTCAAGACCCCTCCCCCGCTTCCTCCCTTCCTTTCCCCCTTCCTCCCTCCCCCTTCATAAAGGCCTCCCTTGTCACCTTCCCTCCCACCCCGTCTCAGCCCTGTGCTCCTGGAGGCCCTGCTCCCAAAACCGCTGGAAGGACTGGGGCACTTTCTGCCACAGTAGAACACAGACAGGGCTTCAGATCACCCACGCCTGTTTTCAGCTGTGGGTGGCCATGCAGACACGCGCCCTGGCATGTGGGGCCTGGGTGGGCAGGCAGGACCTGGGCCCTCCCACCCATCAGAGCCCACTCAGGACCAGCGTTCGGAGCTCCCACCTGGACGCATCCCTCACCACGTCCGGATTTCCTTCTTTGGATGGAATGTAACGCGATCTCTATTTAATAAAGGCAGGCTTTGTTGGTACAGGCTGGGTGGCCACGCGCCCTCACTCCTGCACCCTGGGGCTCTGGCCAAGGCTTGGGCATCTGAAGGAATGAAACCAAATCCTTTCCCTGCCCGCCCTCGTGCTTGGGATTAAACCCAAATCCTGAAGCCACCCCACCTCCGCCATCACCACTTACTTGCTGTGGGGAGGACTATTTGAGTCCTCCCTTAGTATTCAGAGGGCTGTGGGTTACTGGGGGATGAGCCAGGCCTCCCTCTCCCCGTGGCTGGTGGCCTGCTGTTGGGAAGAACGGCACCAAGGCTGGCTCTCCCACTGCCTCACTGTGGCACCTTGGCCAGGTCCTCCCCTGGGTCTCCTTGCATCCAGCAATGGTTACCTCCAGTCTCACAGAAGCCTGCAGCTCAGAGGCAAAGCATCGAGGCTGCCTGTTGCTCAGTGGGACAGTGGCAGGATTGATTGGTGATGTCTGCTGGAAGCACAGGCGGGGACCATGGAAGCCCAGGTCTTAGACGAGCTCTCAGCAAGGGGCAGCAGTCACAGTTGGAAGAGGTGGGGGTGGCCAGGACCTCTGAGGACCCAGAGTGGGGCTGGGAAGGTGTCTTGTGGTGGCTGAGCCCCTCCCCACCTGTAGGGATGTGGGCCCAGGCCAATAGATGCCTTCTTGGGGTGGTGGAGAGCATAGCAGCTTCTGAGTCGGGTCAGTATCTACTGGGCTGGTGACACCTTGTGGGGACTTCCGTATTGGCCTGAGGCCTTGGTGCCACTCAGCTGGTAGGTCAGGCTAGCTGTGGACTGGCCAGGACCACAGGAAGCCCTCCACCCATGCTGGGGACACCTGTGCTTGAGCTGAGAATGTCCAGGGGGAAGACTGGCAATCAAAAACATACCAGGAACACGCACAGGGCATCAGATGGAAGAGAGGAAAGCAGGCAGGCAAAGGAGGATGTCAGAAAAGGGCGCAAGAGGCTGTGTTCACTGCTGTGATCCCCACAGCCTCTCTTGCGTGGCAGTCGCTTTCTCTCCTCTCTGTCAGTCCTGGGTCAGCTGGGGGGCCAAAGGAAGTTGGAGGTCTGGGCCCTGGAGCTGTCCACCCTACCCCCAGCTTCTGTGCTCCTGGCCCAGCAACACTGAAGACCTAGGAGACACCAGACCACACTCCAGGGGCCAGGCAGAGGGTCCCATACCCCAGACCCGCGCTGCCTGCCCCTGCAATGGCATAGCCTGCTGTCAGACCCCAAGTGGGGTCATAAACAGAGAACTGAAATGCCTGGAGGATGGACATACACTCTCAGTATCTCCCAACGAGAGATAATAGCTGAGCACTGACTGTGCCAGGCATGATTCTAAACCCTTTAAATGATCTAATTCATTTCATCCTCACAGCAACCTTATAGAGTACTATTCTCCCATTTTGCAGATGAGTAGAATGAGGCACACAGAAGTGCCACAGAGGAAATGATGGCCCCGGGATAGGAATCATGAGGCCAGCCCTGGAGCCCACAGTATGAACCAGCATCCTGGATTCCCTTTCCTAGACACCTGCAATGTGCTTAAAGGTGGCTGGGGAGGGTTAGCCGACATCAGCCACGAGGGAGTTGTTCCTCTTAAATGGATTTTCTAGATAACCCACTTGGGCCTCTCTGAGTACCCCTGGCACATGTGAACATTTTAACCCTCTTTGGCCCCCTCTTCAAACCTAGCAACGACTCTGGCCTCTGAGGGTGGAGGCGCTGAGCCGAGACCAGCTGCGCACTGGCGTGCTTCACTCCTGCAGGATGCTTTCCAGTCTGCCAAGACTGTCCTGATGGAACTCCTGCCGGGGCTGTGCACCTGGGCAAAGTCGCTCCTCTCTGGGCTTCAGTTTCCTCATCTGTGAGTTGGAAATATAGGACTAAATGGCTTTCGCAGCCTCCTTGCCTTTTTCATTTTATTACGGTAAAAAACCCATAACTTGTACTACCTTAACTCTTTTTTTTTAATTGTTGTTTTTGTTTTGTTTTGTTTTGAGACGGAGTCTCACTCTGTCACCCAGGCTGGAGTGCGGTGGCGCAATCTAGGCTTACTGCAATCTCCGCCTCCCGGGTTGAAGCAATTCTCCTGCCCCAGCCTCTCAAGTAGCTGGGTCTACAGGCATGAGCCCCTATGCCCAGCTAATTTTTTGTGTGTGAATTTTTTTTTTTTTTTCAGTAGAGACGGGGTTTTACCATGTTGGCCAGGCTGGTCTTGAACTCCTGACCTCAAGTGATCCGCCCGCCTCAGCCTCCCACAGTGCTGGGATTACAGGTGTGAGCCACTGTGCCTGGCCCTCCCTTAACCATTTTTAAGTGTATAGTTCAGTAGTGCTAAGTCCATTTACAGTGTTCCGAAACATCTCCAGAACATTTTCATTTCACAAAACTGAGACTCTGTACCCATTAATCAACCCTCTATTTCCACCTCCTCCCAGCCCCAGGCAACCCCCATTCTACTTTCTATGAATTTCACTGCACGAGGGCCCTCATTTAAGTGGATGATGCAGTATTTGTCCTCTCATTACTGGCTTCTTTCACTTCATGTCCTCAGTGTCCATCTGTTGTAGCATGTGACAGGATTTCCTTCCTTTTTAAGACTGAATAATATTCCATTGTATGCATAGACCACGTTTTATTTTTTATTTTTAATTTTATTATATTATAATTAATTATTACTCCAGGCTGGAGTGCAATGGTGCGATCTCGGCTCACCGCAACCTCCACCTCCTGGGTTCAAGCCTTTCTCCTGCCTCAGCCTCCTGAGTAGCTGGGATTACAGGCATGCGCCACCATGCCTGGCTAATTTTTGTATTTTTAGTAGAGACAGGGTTTCTCCATGTTGGCCATGATGGTCTCAAACTCCTGATCTCAGGTGATCCGCCCGCCTCAGCCTCCCAAAGTGCTGGGATTACAGGTGTGAGCCACCGCGCCTGGCCTGACCACGTTTTGTTTATCCAGTGTCTGTGGATGGACAGTTGTGCTGCCTCACAATGACCTCTTGGCCATTGTGAATAATGCTGCTAAGAAAATAGATGTACAAATATCTCCTCAAGACTCTGCTTTCGGTTCTTTTGGGTATATGCCCAGAAATGGAATTGCTGAATCATAGGCATTTTAAAGCCATTTTCATACTCTTTTCTATAGTTGGCTATAGCACTTCACATTCTTACCCACAATGCACAAGGGTTCTGCATCATTGCCAACACGTGTGATTTGATTTTTTGAGACCAGGTCTCCCTCTGTAGCCCAGGCTGGAGTACAATGGCATGATCTTGGGGCACTACAACCTCTGCTTCCCAGGCTCAAGCGATCCTCCTACCTCAGCCTCCTAAGTAGCTGGGACTACAGGCGCACGCACCACCATGCCCTGCTAGTTTTTTTTTTTTTTTTTTTGTAGAAATAGGGTTTTGTCATGTTGCCCAGGCTGGTCTCGAACCCCTAGGCTCAAGAGATCCTCCCAAAGTGCTGGGATTACAGGCGTGAACCACCATGCCTGGCATGATTTTTTCATTTATGTATTTATTTATTAAAGACGGGGTTCCTGCTATGTTGCCGAGGCTGGTCTTGAACTCCAGGGCTCAAGCAATCCTCCTGCCTCGGCCTCCCAAAGTGGTGGGATTCCAGGCCTTTTTCTTTTTTATAGGAGCCCTCCTAACAAGTGTGAGACAGTATTTCATTGTGGTTTCATTTGCAGCTCTCTGATGATTAGCAATGCTGAGCACCTTTTCGTGTGTGTGTTGCCCATTTGTGTGCAGCCCCTCTTTCCTGAGGAGCATTCTGAGGAGCTCCGCCTGGCCTCCACAGTGATCCCTTCGAGGAGGACTTGGCCAATAGGGCTGTGATCCCTGCCCTCACTCACGGCTCTTGCATGATTCTGTGGCCCCCCCTTCATCTTCCCCATCTCTTCTGGGGGCAGCTGGGGAAAGTGGAGGTTCTAACCTATCACAACCCCCAACCACCTCACACACAGGGGCTGAGACCAGGCCAGGGCTGGCTCCAAGGAAGAAGCCCCTAGGATGGCCACATCTGACCACTCAGGGCTGCTGAAGGTGGGGCCAGGGCCAGGTCCATGCCTTCAGTGGATTTTGGTGCAGGGGATGCATTCCTTCAAGAATCTGCCTTCTCCATTCCTGTGCTGTGTGAACATGGTACGGGGTAGGGGTGCCTGCAGCCCCCTTGGGCCAGGGCCACCAGCCATGCTCTTGCACCCCCACACACATGTGCCAGGTTGGGGTTCCAGGATATGGTCAGTGGGTGCCTCAGTGGAGAGGGCCCAGGCAGCCCCGGTGCCTGATGACATCATGGGCCTTGCTGGATGTCCTGACAAGCAAAGGCAGGAGCTCCTGGTACCAGGGAGAACTCGCCCCCTCTGCCCTTCTGGGGATACTGGTCCTCTTTAGACCAAGACAAAATATTAGCATATCAGAGAAATATACTTAGGGTTTTCTAAGTGCATTTCCCCAACCAGCCGGTCAGCATCACCTGTGAACTGGCCATGTAAGTCTCTGCCTCCACACCAGACCCACCGAATAACCCTCCTGGGTGGTTCTGATGGAAGCCTTTCAGGTGGTTCTGATGGAAGATTGACGACCAGCGCTCTGGAAGTAACTTTAGCCTGATTTGAATTCCTTGCTGCTGTGAACGCTTAACTTTTAGGAACAGGTATATTTATCACAAAGAAATCCGAAGCAATTAGGGGAGCTACCTACACTTTCAAAAGGACTTGAATGTATTTAAATTAAAAAAAGCGGATGGGGCCCGGGTGCAGTGGCTCATGCCTGTAATCCCAGCATTTTGGGAGGCGGGAGGGTCACTTGAGTCCAGGAGTTCAAGACCAGCCTGGGCAACATGGCAAGACCCATTTCTACAAAAATAAAATAACACCAAAAATTAGCCGGGTATGATGGGGCGCGCCTGTAGTCCCAGCTGGGGACTCCCGAGACTGAGGTGGGGGTATCTCCTGAGCTTAGGATGTTGAGGCTGCAGTGAGCCGACATCATGCCACTACACTGCAGCCTGGGCGACAGAGTGAGACTCCTGTCTCAAAACAAAAAAGAGGGGCGGGGAAGCAGTAACAAGCACAGGTGTCCTCAGCCCATGGATGGCAGCGCCCGCCTCCACGCGCCAGTGCCCTCCTGCTCCCCTACCTCCCCCTTGGCCACCCCTGGGCATCCCCAGCCCTGCAGCGCCGAGGGCGGAGGGGAGGCCACCCGCCCCCAGCAGAGGGCTCCGAGAGAGCTGCAGCGGCGGTGGGGGCCCCGCAGAGATTGGGGCCCATGGTTTGAAGGCTGTTCACAGGCACCCCGAGACAGCGTCCCCCCTCTGGGCGCACTGGATTTGACGTTGCAGGACGCGCGGCTGGAAGCCCCCCAGGCCCCGCTGCTCACAGACCGGGACTCCGCCTCCGGTTCCCGAGGGCGTGGCGAGGCGCTGCGGGACGCCCAACAGGTGCGTGTTGTGTCCCCAGGCCCCGCGCTCCGGGTGGAGTCAAGAACCTGGAAGCCGGCAGCCCGGGAAAAGGGGGCGGGACGGTGCCCCGGGGCAGGGCTGGGTGGCGGCCGCTGTCCTCCCGGGAGGGGCGGGCCGCCTCGACGCCGCCCTCCCTGGCGGCCAATGGAGACCGAGGCCCCGCGCCTGGATTGGAGCGGACGCGGGGGGTCAGCCAGCCTTGGGGGCCGGGGCCTGGCCGGGGGCGGGGGGGCAGGCGAGGCGAGGCGGGCGCCGTCCGCGCGGTTATAAGGCGGGGAGTTCCCTGCGCCGCGAGCCGGGAGGCGCACGCTCGCTCGTACGGCGGCCGCGGCGGCAGGGCGGGGCCGGAGCAGCGGGCGGCGGCGGAGGCGGCGCCCGGGAGCGCTCTTCGCTTCCCTCGGGGTCTTGCTCGGACCTCGGCCACCGCCTGGGATCCCCAGGACTCGTGCGTGCAGCATGGGCGGCGTCGGGGAGCCGGGACCGCGGGAGGGACCCGCGCAGCCGGGGGCGCCGCTGCCCACCTTCTGCTGGGAGCAGATCCGCGCGCACGACCAGCCCGGCGACAAGTGGCTGGTCATCGAGCGCCGCGTCTACGACATCAGCCGCTGGGCACAGCGGCACCCAGGGGGCAGCCGCCTCATCGGCCACCACGGCGCTGAGGACGCCACGGTAAGGAAGCCATAAGGAAGCCACCCACCGGCGGGTGGAGCCTGGAGCTCGGTCGTGGGCGTGATGTCCCGCTCCACCTGTGGGGCCTTAGCATCCTCCCTCCCCTCGCTGACCTTTGACCTCCACGCCGGGACCCAGAGTTGGGGTGGACTAGCCAGGGCCAGATGTGGGGTAGGGAGGGCAGTTCCCTGCGTGGAGGACCCGCAGCTGTCCACGGAGCAGGTCTGCGGGGGAGGAGGGGGCCTCAGAGGTGGGTGTGTCATGCTGCAGAGCCTGCCCTGGGTGAGGGGCTGCCCTGTTGCTCCCAGGTCCCTGTTTCAGTTCTGGGTCCCCATGCTGGGTGCTTGCTGAGTGCTAGGGGTAGGGCAGGGCAGGGTCCCCAGGGGCCGGTAAGGACATGCCATTAGAGGCTGGGGGCTGGGCCGGCCTGAGGTCTGTGGCTTTCCCAAGAGCTTCTGTAAAGGGCTCAGGGACAGTGACTCACCTCTCCGGGCTAGCAGCTGCACGTGGGAGGGCTTTGCCAGCCAGGCTGGGTGGGCCTCTCCTGGAAGCACAGTCACCCCAGGAACAGGCTGGCCCCTGGGGACCCCAACTTCCCAATCCCAGCCCCTGTCTAGACAGGCAGGGATGTAGCCTGGCCCCAGGGTACTGTCTGGCTGGAGTCCAGTGGTGGAGCAGCCCGACCAGCCCCTTTTCCTTAGTTACCCACCTGCATAATAGGGGTTGGGGCCACGATGCCCTGTCCTTGACCCTCCAAATTTCTAGGTTGGCCACACTGGGTATCAGGAAGGTCTTCAAGACCCGAGGACATGAATCCTGAATGCTGGCTTTTTGGGCAGCAGCGGAGGTTCTGTCCAGTCCCAGGACTGTCGGCGTCCCTCTTGACAGGGCCACCTGCTCTCTGCCGATTGCCATCTCCAGCATGTTGGACAATCTTCACTGGACTCTTTGAGGAAGAAAGCCCCTCTTTTCCCCTTCCACCCCATGAAGCTGAGGAGTGAGAATAAGAATCCTCCTGAAATTCTAAAAAAAGAAAAAAAAAAAAAAGAGAACGCCTTGTCCGTGGCTGTTCAGGCGCCAGACGCTGGCCCGAGGGGACAGCACAGCCGTGGGATGAAGCAGCCTGGGGGCAGTATTTGAGCGTGCAGGTGTTTGCATGTCTGGGTGAGTGTGGTGTGTGTGCCTGCCTTTCTGCCAGGGCGTGGCGAGGTGAGGGGCACGGCTTCTCCCCAAAGGCCTTGCTGAGCCCTGGCCTCCCTTCAAGGAGTCTTGTGGATGCCTGCTCTGGTCTTTTTCTAAAAAAGTATCTATTTTATTTATTATTATTTGTTTAAAAATAGAGACAGGGTCTCACTATGTTGCTCGGGCTGGTCTCAAAGTCCTGGGTTCAAGCATTCCTCCTGCCTCAGCCTCCGAAAGTTCTGGGATTACAGGCATGAGCCACCACTCCCGGCCTGCTCTAGTCTTTTGTAACCTAGAGGACAGTATGGATACAGAAAACTTTACTCCCCACCAACCGCCGGAGACAGAGTCTTGCTCTGCCACCCAGACTGGAGTGCAATGGCGCCATCTTGGCTCACTGCAACCTCCGCCTCCCAGGTTCAAGCGATTCTCCTGCCTCAGCCTCCCGAGTAGCTGGGATTACGGGCACGCGCCACCACGCCCAGCATATTGTATTTTTAGTAGAGACGGGGTTTCACCATGTTGGCCAAGCTGGTCTCGAACTCCTGACCTCGTGATCCACCCACCTCGGCCTCCCAAAGCGCTGGGATTACAGGCGTGAGCCACCACGCCCGGCTGGGATACAGAAAGCTTTTATTTCATCACTGTTTCCTGCCTGGTGCCAGGCCCATGCTGGGGTTCCTCCCAAGTGGAATTACTGACTTAACATTTAGCTTGGGATCCTGAGACTTCCATCACACAGTTTTCTCATTGATTCGCAGCCAATAATATCTGTTTTAAAAACATCTCAGGCCGAGCGCTGTGGCTCACACCTGTAATCCCAGCACTTTGGGAGGCTGAGGTGGGCAGATCACCTGAGGTCGGGAGTTTGAGACCAGCCTGACCAACATGGAGAAACCCTGTCTCTTCTAAAAAAATACAAAATTAGCCAGGCGTGGTGGCGCATGCCTGTAATCCCAGCACTTTGGGAGGCTGAGGCAGGAGAATCGCTTGAACCCAGGAGACGGAGGTTCCGGTGAGCCGAGATCGCGCCATTGCACTCCAGCCTGGGCAACAAGAGCAAAACTCCGTCTCAAACAAACAAACAAAAAACATCTCTCTGCTCCTTGGGGCCGGGTGCCAGCTCTGCTATTGGAGGCACTGAGCGACCTTGAAGCAGGCATGTCACTCCTCTGTGCCCCAGTTTACTCATCTGTAAAGTGGGAGAGCTGGGGCAGACAGTGAGCTGGCTGAGGGCAGGACTGTGTCTCCTCAAGCCCATGGCCCAGGGCTGCCAGGTAGTAGTTTGTATTCGGTAAATGCTGCTGGCCCCTAAGTGTGAGCGTGCCCTGCAAACTGCAGCGTATGGTGGGACAGCCCTGCACGGCTACCCCTTTCCTGGGTGACCTTATTTGGTTACGGTCCTATCTGAAGTAGGAAAGGGACACTTTAGGCTGTCTCTTAGCTCCCTCAAGGCCCCACAGCCTGGACTAGAGTTGCCAGAAATACTTGGTCCATTCAGGCCAAAGGGACTGTGAGGTTGCTGGGATGGTGCAATCAGTCTTTGTCCATGATGAACCCACAGGGTAGACCAGGGGTTGGGCCAGCCCAGTGCCCTGTGTAGTTGAGCCCAGGCCCCAGGCATCCCATCCCGGGCGGTGGCCTCAGGTGGAGGTGGGGCAGCCAGTTGCCAGGGATGTGTTCCAGCGGTCACCTCTCACCAGCCCCGGCTGCCCATCAGCTGTTCTCAAGTCCAGGCAATGAAGCCTTCCTGCCAGGAAATTCCCAGAGTTTCTGTGCCATGAAGTCAGCCTGTGGCCATCTTGGGACACAAGGCCGGGTGCCCTGGGGAGAGTACTCTGGGCCCTTGGCCAGGTTTGTCTGAGAGTCATAGGCAGCCTGATACTAGTGGAGCCAGCCAGGGAGGGATGAGGCCCAGCCGCTGCTGGCCATAAGTATATAAGGGCCATGTGCTGAGTGCCTACTATGTGCCAGGTTTTGAAATCAGTACTTGATTTATTGAAACCCTCTCTTTTAATCCTCAAGGTGCCCCTATGAGGCACGTACCATTTATTGTTATTGCCACTTGACAGATGAGAAAACAGAGGCTCAGAGAGGCAAAGTGGCTTGAAATTCAGTGATTGGTCTGGGATTTGAATCCACAGCCATGTTCTTAAGGGCATGCTATGCTGCCACCTATCCTGTTTATTTCCGGCACTCATTGATTCTTCAATGTTTGACTCATTAAATCCATCAGTGAGCATCTTCTCTGTGTCATGCATGGTTCTCACCTCTGAAGATGTAGCTGTGAGCAAAACTTCTACAGGGAATGAGTTCACAGCAGAGGGATCAGCTAGAGCAAAGGCTCAGAGGTGGGACCGTGCGTCCTGTGTTCCAGGAATACAGTATGGCTGCAGCAGAGAGCAGTGGAGAGAGGGCCTGGCAGTGAGGTCTAGAGGCGGCCGGGCTGGCTCATGCTGGATGTTTGTGTCCTCGGAAGGACTTTGGCTTTATTTTAAAGAGGATGGGGAGCCCCAGAGAGCACAGCAGGGAAGCCTGGGGAGTCTGATGGACATTTAAAAGGATCCTTAATGGAGAGAGTGAAGGCAGAGCCTTCCAGAAGGGTAAGAGAAGGGAGGATGGAGACCTGCCCTCCCCCAAGGGAGGCCACTCAGAAGAGGTAGAGTGTGGCCAGGGCAGAGAGCAAGAGAGGCTGTGGACACAGGCACACTGGTCCAGTGAGAGCCATTAGACACATTAGATTTAGCTTCATGTTGTCTTTAGAGAGGGAGCCAGCCTGGCCTCGCTCTATGATCTTGGACACATCCTTTCACTTCTGGGTCTCAGTTTCCCCATTAGTGTGATGAGGATGAGAATGCTTTTGTCCTGGGCACACTATGAGGGTGGTGCTGGGCACCTGGGTGCCTGGTTACCATGGGCAACAAAGCTCTATTCATGGGTGTGGTGAATGCATTGCCCACAGCAACTCAGGGCGGATGAGGAGTTTCCCAGCAGCCCCTGGTGCCCTTTCGGCTGAAGCCCTAACAACTGTGGGAAAATCCAAGTTCCAGCAGACCCCCTGAGCCCTCTGCCTTAGGACCCTCCTTCTAGGTGGTTCTCTGAGCCTGGCCTGAGCTGGAGGAGGGAGTGGCCAGTGCTGCAGCAGAGGCTGCTTCATAGTAATTGCAGCCAACAGTTATTGACTAGGCACTGTTCTGAGGGGTTTAGATGTGGTAACTGATTGAATTCGCCTAACAACTTTATGAGGTAAGTCCTATTGTTAGCCCATTTTGTAGATGAGGAGACTGAGTTTGAAACTGGGGGGTGTAATGGAACCTTCTCAGGACCCTTGAAGGGTAGGGCCTTTGTACTCGGGCCACGAGGGTGGGGTTTGTGTCTGGGTGGGAGCTGGGGAGGGACAGGACTAGGATTAGGCAGATCTGAGGCCACAGGAGTTGGTTGGGGGGTGGCTCCAGAGCCACTCCACTCCCTCCTACCACATTGACTGCCTTGAAAGTCCCCTAATGGCCACTCCCATGAAGTGTGACTGCTCTGGGCTCCCCGCAGGCGTTTTCTGCAAGGCCACCGCCCACCCAGGCCCCTTCCCCAGAGGGGCTGCAGTGCCTTGCTCCTTCCTTGTGGGAAGAGTTGGGATTGTCTGGCGTCAGCAGGATACTGCCCCTGGGCATCCCTCCCGGTCTCTTCCTGCGGGTTTCTGATGAAACAGCCAGGCTCCAGTAGTGGAGCCAGAGGTCAGTGGTGGAGAGAGGACCAGGAGCCAGAGGGTATAGCTGCTTTGGGGCTACTGTGGGGTCAGGGACACTTGTGAGGCCAAGCGTCCTGGCTGCAGGAGCCCTCACATATATGCCCACCCTTCACCAGGACATTGAGGGGTGCTGGGGGACAGGGGTAGCTTTTTGGGGGTGTCTGCCTTCGACTTGGGCTCCGCTACACAGGCCAAATTTGGATGTCCCATGTTTAGAGCTGTGTTTCTTTGGGACCTCTTGGGGCCTCAGTTTCCTCATCTGTAAAATGGGATACTGATAGTGCTTCCCCACTGGCCTCCTCTGACGGGCGCCAGGGAGAGGATGGGACGGAGCATGGTGTGCTGGGCACGCTCCTGCTGTACCCACCCACCTGGGAGAGGGGAGAGGCAGGAATGTCCTGGGGGTGTCCTTTGAGGCATAGCCCTGTCACCCCAACATCCTACAAAGGCATGAGAAGGCAGCGAGGACAGACCCCGACCACCTGAGCCCTCAGCAGCCCTGCCACACTCCCTGCTTCACCCCCTTCCTGACTGATCTGGCACATTCTTGATTCTCCTAGGGAGTGACCCAAAATCCCTCCCTGCCCTGCTGTGTCTCTGGGGTGGAAGGAGGCTGCCAGCCCCTCCTCTCTCCCAGCCTCAGGCTTGGCCAGGACTTAACAGGCAGGCAGAGAAGCAGCTTCTCCACTCTCTTCCCTGACACCTGTAGGCCCCTCCTGCAGGCACTTACCTCTAAGTGGACTCTCAGGAGGAGGCTCATCAGGGCTGCAGGGCTCAGAAAGAGCTGGGCTGTGGAGCTCTTGCCAACCGCCAGGCCCCTTCTAAGTGCTTTAGCGCCACCGACTGCATCCTCCCAGCAGCCTTGTGAGATGGGGATTTGTGGTTCCCAGTTTACTGATGAGAAATACTGATGAGAGATGGGTGTGGTCTTGTCTGGGGCTCCCTGGCTCCTGGATAGCAGCTCAGGTTCCATCCTGGGCAGGCTGGCTCTGGGACACCCCCCCGACCAGCTGCTGTGTGGGATTCACGGTGGGGCTTGGGCAGGGCGTGGGATCTTGGGGCCAACTGAGCCACTCTAGGCTTCCAGGGACCAAGGCCAGGCTGAGCTGTCTCTGTATCCTGAGAGAGCATGAACATCACAGAAGATGGGCCCGGGTTCGAATCCCAGCTCTGCCACTACTAACTGGGACCTGGGCAGGTGTCCCTTCCCGCTGAGCCTTCATTTCCTCACCAGCAAAATGGTTCGTGCCCCTGCTTTGGGGGCTGTGGAGGGTTGGCTCTTGTCTACTTGTTCATACCTGCTGTTGAGCAGCTGCTCTGTGCCGGCCTCTGAGGATGCCACTGTGAACAGAGCCTGTCGCTACCTCCA
Source organism: Homo sapiens (assembly GCF_000001405.40). Classification (NCBI taxonomy): domain Eukaryota; kingdom Metazoa; phylum Chordata; class Mammalia; order Primates; family Hominidae; genus Homo; species Homo sapiens. Next base: position 61,884,872 of record NC_000011.10, on the reverse strand, counting down.
GGAGCTTGTGTTTAGGGGTGCCGTTTTGATTCCAGCACTTTCACCCAGCTCTGCTCCGGTACCCGATGAGAGACGTCGAGTGCCGCTTTCCACTCGCTTGGGTGCGTGTGGGGGTTGGGGGGACAGGGCTTTGTGCACGTACCCCTGGGTGGATGTTCCTGGGTGCACTTAGGGTGTGTGAGGGTGGGACCTCCCACAGTTCCCTGAGGCTCCACTGATGAGGTCCAAGAACCGCCTTCCTGCCCCCCAGCCCAGGCTCCCAGCAGCTGGGCCCTTGGCTTCTTGAGATAGTGACTGGCCTCACGGCAAGGACCCCCGCACACCACCTAGGAGAACTGCTGCTTCCCCTCTGTTCCAGGAGTGGCGACAAGCACAGTTTTTCGCTTTTGTTTTTGTTTTCTTCACTTTAAGTTCCGGGAAACGTGCAGAATGTGCAGGTTTGTTACATAGGTATACATGTGCCATGGTGGTTTGCTGCACCCGTCAACCCCTCATCTAGGTTTTAAGCTCCATATACATTAGGCATTTGTCCTAATGCTCTCCCTCCCCTTGCCCCTCACCCGCCCAGTAAGCCCCGGTGTGTGATGTTCCCTTCCCTGTGTCCATGTGTTCTCATTGTTCAACTCTCACTTATGAGTGAGAAGAGACCTGGACTCTGATCTAACCTCGGTCAAATGGAACTGTGTGACCTTGAAGAAGTAGCTTAACCTCTCTGAGTCTTAGCTTCTGCCTGGCACCCCCATCCTTAAGGAGAGGCCCACAGAGGACCAGGTCACATGACCTCAGCCAGTTCCAGAGAAGGCTGTTTGCTTCCAGGTTTCGGCCTGAGTCCAGGCCCCTGCCCTACTCGCACTCCCTGATAGCATGAGAAGCACAGCCCCAGGGTGCCCACCCAGCTCTGAGAGCCCAGCCTGCTTCCCAGGGAACTGTCACAGCCCCACCTGTCCCTTCCCCAGCTGGAGCCCTGTCAATGGCTTTGGGGTTCTCTGACACAGCCCTGAGGGGGCTCACACTTCCCCTTATCATTGCAAGGGGTAGATCTGGCTTGAAGGCCCTGGGGCAGGCTTGGTTCTGTCCTCCCCTGTCAGTGCCTCGACAGGGCTGGCCTGGGTGAATCAGGACCAACGGGAAAGGAGGCGAGGAGACCAATCTGGACCCAAGATCCTCAGCTCAATAAGGTGGCCCCAGAACTGACATGGGGTGATAGAGGGAAGGGCTGGGAGGGAGGAGATTCTGGGGCCGCAGCCACAGCTTGCACGTTGCGCCGGGTGTGTCTGTGCGTGCCAGCTGCATCTTTGCGTACCATGTGTGCAAGGCTGTGTTTGGCTGAGTGTTCATGTGGGCCGTGATTGTGGGCATGTTTCTGAGTGTCTGAGTGATGCCTGCTGGTGTGGGCTGGTGGGTGTGTCTGCATGTGCGTGTGTGTCTGGGGAGTTTCAAAGGAGAAAGAGGGACTCACCATCACGCTGGCTCAGCCTTAAAAAGGTAGGACATCCTGACACGTGCTGCAACATGGATGGACCTTAAGGACATTGTGCTGAGTGAAACAAGCCAGAGGCAAAGGAACAAACATGTGATTTCTCCCAGATGAGGTTTCCGGAGGAGGCAGATCTGTATGGACAGAAGGTAGCATGGTGGTTGCCGGGGCAGGGGGAGGAGAGAATGGAGAATTAGTGTTTAATGGGGACAGAGTTTCAGTTGGGGAAGGTGAAAAGGTTCTGGAGCTGGATGATGGTGATGGTTGGACAACACTGTGCATGCACTTAATACCACTGAGCTGGACACCTAAAAATGCTTACAATGGTAAATTTCATGTATATTTTACTACAATTTTTAAAAAATTGGCTGGGCGTGGTGGCTTATGCCTGTAATCCCAACACTTTGGGAGGCCAAGGCGGGAGGATTGCTTGAGCTCAGGAGTTCAACACCAGCCTGGGCAATATGGTGAAACCCCGACTCTACGAAATATACAAAAATTAGCCTGGTGTGGTGGCTTGCACCTCTAATCCCACCTACTCAGTAGGCTAAGGCACAAGAATCTCTTGAACCTGGGAGGTGGAGGTTGCAGTAAGCCGAGATCATGCCACTGCAACCCAGTCTGGGCGACAGAGCAAGACTCTGTCTCAAAAAATAAAAGATAAATAAAAAAATTAGAGGCCAGGTGTGGCTCACACCTGTACTCTCAACACTTTGGGAGGCTGAGGTGGGAGGATCGCTTGAAGTCAGGCATTTAAGACATGCCTAGGCAACATAGTGAGACCTTGACTCTACAAAAAAATTCAAAAGTTAATGAGACATGGTGGCATGTGCCTGTAGTCCTAGCTGCTGGGGAGGCTGAGGTGGGAGGATCACTTACGACCAGGATTTCAAGGCTGCAGTGAGCTGTGATTGCATCACTGCACTCCAGCCTGGTGACAGAGTGAGGCCCTGTCTCAAAAAAATTTTTCAGTGTTTTTCTGGGCTGGGCGTGGTGGCTCATTCCTGTAATTCCAGCACTTTGGGAGGCTGAGGTGGGTGGATTGCTTGAGCCCAGGAGTTTAAGACCAGCTGGGCAACATGGCAAACCTCATCTCTACAAAAAATAAAAATAAAAAATTAGCTGGGCATGGTGGTGCACACCTGTACTAACAGCTACGAGAGAGGCTAAGGTGGGAGGATCACCTGAGCCCGGGAGGTTGAGGCTGCAGTGAGCCATGATTGCACCACTGCACTCTAGCCTGGGCGATACAGCAAGACCCTATCTCAAAAAAAAAAAAAAAAAAAAAAAAAAAAAACACCCAGTGGGGTCAGTAGAACCCCAAGAGTCTTCTTCCCTCCCAGCTCCCCTGTACACCAGCCCCAGCTCTGCAGGTAGCTGGGGGCCCAGACAGCTTCCTGGGGACCCCCAGCCTTCCCTCTGCCCTTTTTTCTACCAGTTTTGCTGCCCCTCCTTCAAGACTCATGTCCAGAGGGGGTGAGATCTGCACTTATACAGCCCCCTCCTCTGTAATGAGTGAGCCAAGTCAGCCCAGGTTATTCCAGAAGGGGCACCCTACCAGCCCCCCAGTCCCCAAGCTGCCCTGGGCCTATAAAAGCAGGCAAGGGGACCCCTAGTAGATCATGTAGGTGTTACCTCTTAGTGGGTGCTGGAGGGGCCTGAAGTGCTTTCTTCCCCCAGGGTGGTAGGAGAATGTCCTGGCAGTGACTTCAGGGCCCGCTGTCACTTCCGTTTTAAGACTCACCAGCTGGTAGGCTCATTAGCAAGAGGACAATAGGAGGCCCCTGTCCTCAGTCAGCTTTCTTCAAAGGTGTTTCCTTTAGCAACTGGGAGGCCTCCCTTCTCCAGACCCATGGGGACAACACCACCCAGCTACTGGTTCTATAAGCTGCTGTATGGCTCTGGCTAGCCCATTCAGAGAAAGCCTCTGAAAGTACAAGGAAAAAAATCAGTCCAAGAGCTGTGAACAATTAGTGAGCCGATTACAATACCAAGACCACAGGCAGACCTGGAAGGCTAAGTGAGCCCAGGTGTGAAGTTCAAGCTTACTTTACTTCTGGGCCACTTCCTGGCTGGTCTCTTTCCCTGGCCCTTATCTTTCTCCTGGTCTGTCTTCTCTTCTCACCCCCTTTCTTTACTCTTTCTTCCTTCTCCTGCATCGTACTCCACCCCCACTCCAGCTATTACACAGAATCGCGAGAATGTTGGATTATTCATTTTATTTATGATGTTTTCTTTTTTGTAAAAATAGAGACAAGGTCTCACTATGTGGCCCAGGCTGGTCTTGAACTCCTGGCCTCAAGCAATCCTCGTGCCTTGGCCTCTTACAGTGCTGGGATTACAGATGTGAGCCACCATGCCTGGCCCATTTTATTTACTTTAAAAAAAAAATTAGGCTGGGCGCGGTGGCTCACACCTATAATTCCAGCACTTTGGGAGGCCAAGGTGGGCAGATCAACTGAGGTCAGGAGTTAAAGACCAGCTTGGCCACCTGGGGTCAGGAGTTTGAGACCAGCTACTCCGGAGGCTGAGACCGGAGAATTGCTTGAACCCAGGAGGTAGAGGTTGCAATGAACTGAGATCATGCCATTGCATGCCAGCCTGGGCAACAGAGCAAGACTGTCTCAAAAAAAAAAAAAATTATGTTTTGTGCTCCTGCTTCCTGCTTTGTAAGTCAAATCAGTTTAACTGTTCAAGTGTCTTCCTTGCAAACCCCCAAGGACTCAATGTGTGTCGCCCTTGACTGATCCCCCCGCCCCGTGACCCAGTGGTCCTCAGTTCCAGGTTTTCCCACCTACCCTTCACCCACTGCTTATGTTTATAAAAACGGGGTAAATCAAATGTTCGTGACCCAGATCTTATTCTACATGCAGTGGAAACTTGTATGACTTAAGCTTTTTGGAAAAGCAGAACCTTTTTTCGTGGTTCAAGAAATCAAAGTCTTCCCGGGAGGTCTTTCTGTAAATCCAGAGCTGCAGATGTTTGACCGTGTTCAGAGAGGGGCCCTTGTGCTGGGTGAAGTGGATGGGGCACAGCAGGCAATGGGTGAAAAGCAGGACAACCTGGGGCCCTGGGAGGACCAGGGAGGGCCCATGTCTTTGACTGTTCATCAGCCGGCTGACTTCCTGTCCGCCTGTCGTCTGCTCTGCCCATCCATCCGTAGTCCTTCCGCCTGTCTCTGCTGGTTGCCGCTGTGCTACTCAGCTGTGTCTGTCTGTCCGCCTGACTGTCTGCTCTCCTTCAGGATGCCTTCCGTGCCTTCCATCAAGATCTCAATTTTGTGCGCAAGTTCCTACAGCCCCTGTTGATTGGAGAGCTGGCTCCGGAAGAACCCAGCCAGGATGGACCCCTGAATGTGAGCCAGAGCCCTAGGAGAGGCTCAGCCCCTGAGGGAGGGGGATGGCTGGAGGGCTGGGAGACATTGCCACATGGCCAGGAGCAGCTCCCTCGGCATTCGCCCAAGGGGATGCAGAGCCAGGGCTGAGCCTGCCCTCCCCTCCCAGGGGGCAGGCAGTTGAAAGTGAAGCTGTAGGGATGCCCTGAGAAGTCCAGGGCTCCAGATCTGGTTTAGCCAGGCACCCGTTTGGATCCCGAGGCAAGCTCCCTCCCTGTTGTCGCCCAGTGTCCCCATCAAAAGGAGGATTTTGATGAACTGATTTCTCTCCTGGCTGTAGCGTCTTACCCACCCCATACCTTTTGGGAGGGAGAGGAGGCTTCACCACCAGCCAGTGCTCCAGCTCACACCCCGGGCTGGGTACTCTTGTCACTTCATTCCTCTTTGCCCACACCCCTTGGGCCTGGCGATGGGAGGAGCGGCTGGGGCTCCAGGAGAATGGGGGTGGGGAGGAATTTCTTCCTTGGCTGATCGGCCCCTCTGCTATGGCAGGCGCAGCTGGTCGAGGACTTCCGAGCCCTGCACCAGGCAGCCGAGGACATGAAGCTGTTTGATGCCAGTCCCACCTTCTTTGCTTTCCTACTGGGCCACATCCTGGCCATGGAGGTGCTGGCCTGGCTCCTTATCTACCTCCTGGGTCCTGGCTGGGTGCCCAGTGCCCTGGCCGCCTTCATCCTGGCCATCTCTCAGGTGACCCCAGTTCTGTGTTGCAGCCACCTTAACTGCCCAACAGACGTGGGCCCCCATGCATCTGGGCATTGTGAACATATTTGCTAAATGAATGAATGGACCTATGAAAGGATGAATGGATGAATAAACAGATGAATGAGTGAACAGTCTGAAGGCCCATCAGGCATGTCTGTGGGTCAAGCTGCATTCCAGATGAGCCAAGAAGTTCCTTCTTGAACAGATTCCGATCAAGCACAGGGCCACTGAGCCAGAGGCTGCTGCCCTGCAGCTTCATGACACTTACGAGCCCCTCCACCTCCCTGGGACTCAGTTCTCATCTGTAAAAAGAGGACACTGGCCCACAAGGGTCTTGAAATGGAGCATTAGCACGGGGGTACCCTGCAAGCTGAAAGGATTCACTGGGGCCCCAGGCCCTGGCGGGCTCCGTCCTTCCCAACAGCTTCTGACCCTGCCTCTCTCCCCAGGCTCAGTCCTGGTGTCTGCAGCATGACCTGGGCCATGCCTCCATCTTCAAGAAGTCCTGGTGGAACCACGTGGCCCAGAAGTTCGTGATGGGGCAGCTAAAGGTGAGGGTGGGGTGGGTGGTCAGCCAGGTGCTGGGTGGCGCTGGGTCTGCCCAAGTGTGTGGGCACAGTCGGGGGCACAGCCTGCCCTGAGAGCCCCCTCCTCCTCCACAGGGCTTCTCCGCCCACTGGTGGAACTTCCGCCACTTCCAGCACCACGCCAAGCCCAACATCTTCCACAAAGACCCAGACGTGACGGTGGCGCCCGTCTTCCTCCTGGGGGAGTCATCCGTCGAGGTGGGTGGGGAGGGACGTGGACAACCTCTGGCTGGGCCTGCAGCTGAGGGGGAGCTAATGCACTGGGTCCCCACTCTGCCCCTGACCTAGCCCCTGATCTGGCCTCCACTCTGGCTGGGCCAAGCTCTGCCCCCGTGTCTTTCCTTCCCACCTCCCAACCTGCTGGGGACGACCAGCCCGCTTGCTAGAATCTAGAGTTGCCTTTGACCCTTGGCCCCAGCCAGCCCCGTGACCTTGCCCGGGAGAAGGAGGTGGCCTGGAGAGCTGCTGTCTCCAGCCGCCGCCTGTCTCCACAGTATGGCAAGAAGAAACGCAGATACCTACCCTACAACCAGCAGCACCTGTACTTCTTCCTGAGTGAGTGTCCATCTGTCCTTCTGGGGTGGGGGAGTGCCTGGGCCTGCACTGTCCTCCCTGCTGTCCTGGACCACTCCCAGCCACTTCCTGGGGCGGGGCACGTCTGTCAGGTCTCCCTGGTCATGGCATCCTCCCAGCCTCTGCAGTCTGTACACACTCTCCCAGCAGCATGCCTTTGCCCCAGCTGTCTCCCGTGCCTGGGACACCTTGCAGCCACGGGCCATCACAGCCCTGCTGGGAGCTTCCCCAAGCCCCACGTAGAATTTCTTCTTGCCCTCACTAGAGTGGTCCGGAGCCCTAGAGTCTTTGGGCAGTTGTTGGGGCGGACAGAGTGAGGACTCAAGTCTGGCCCTGACTTGCGGTGAAGGGTGGTGGGAGGTGGTGGGGTAAGGGCAGCCTGGGGAGGCTTGGACACAGAATTGGGGGTGATATGGGGTCATTCAGCTGGATGTGACCAGCACCAACGTCCCAGGGGCATTCCTGGAGTAACAGAGCCCCTCACTCTGGCGCCCACTCACCTTGGCAGCCCAGCCCCACTCCTGAACACTCTCATGCCCCTTCTTGCAGTCGGCCCGCCGCTGCTCACCCTGGTGAACTTTGAAGTGGAAAATCTGGCGTACATGCTGGTGTGCATGCAGTGGGCGGTGAGTGGGGTTGCCCAGGACCCCGGGCATACGGCTGCCGTGGCAGGAGGTGGTGCCTCGGGGGACAGTACCTGCCCATGAAGGCAAACAGGGTGCACATGTGCGTGCAACAGTGTGGCTCACATGTATGCGTGCAACAGTGTGGCTCACATGTGTGCGCGCAGCAGGAGAGCGAGTGTGCCCGTGACTGTACGTGTGGTGGGGGGGGGTTGAGGAACAGGGGGGGTGTGGGTCTCTCTCGGTGAGGGTGTCTTCCCAGGAGGAGTTGCTGGGCTGACTCTGCCAGGCATCTGTGTCCCTGGCAGGGTCTTCCCCAACACACCCTGCATGACACCTTCGTCACTAAAATCAGCCTCGTGAGCTGGCAGGGCAAGGACCCTGTTCCTTTACTCAGCTGAGAAAACCAGAGAGGGTGGTGGCCTGTCCTGGGCTCTGAGGCAAATCAGGCAGAAGGGTTGGATGCCTGAGGTCCTCCTCCCACCCACCAGGCCTCCAGACCTCCGGGCACCTGGAGACCTCTCGGTATCGCCTCTGCCCTCCTCTGCAGGATTTGCTCTGGGCCGCCAGCTTCTATGCCCGCTTCTTCTTATCCTACCTCCCCTTCTACGGCGTCCCTGGGGTGCTGCTCTTCTTTGTTGCTGTCAGGTATGGCAGGGAGTGGCGAGGTCACACACAGGCGACAGGTGACCCCCACTGCAGCCCCCCACCAGAGCTTCCCTTTTCCCGTCTGCAGAATGGGGCCAGTGGTACTGCCTCCCTGGCTTGCTGGTGGAATCACATAAACACAAGCGTGGCAGGAGCCCAGGGTCGGTGGGTTTAGGGAGCGTGGCCTGGCTTGTAAGTGGCCCGGTGGGTGTCGGAGCTGCTCTGGACTCAGCCTCACAGTGGACACTGCTCCATTCAGATTCTTTAAACACTGGCAAGGGGGCGATGGCCACAATCCTATTGTACAGATAAGGAAGTCAAGGCCACTTGGGGACAGCTGCTCTCCAGCCTCCACTCAGGGTGCCTAAGTGGTGAGCTGGACCTAGGGCAGTGCCCGAGCCTCCCCACAGGGTCCTGGAAAGCCACTGGTTCGTGTGGATCACACAGATGAACCACATCCCCAAGGAGATCGGCCACGAGAAGCACCGGGACTGGGTCAGCTCTCAGGTGGGCAGCAGGGGTGGGGCCCATCCTGGGTGGGGTGGGGGGTCCCAGCTAGGAGCCAGATGGCAAAGCAGGGATGAGGCCCTGACGGGGCTGCCAGGTGGGGGATGGTGCCGTGGGGTCAGGGATCTGCAACGGCCTCCTCACATGTGCCCCGCCGGCTTCCGGCAGCTGGCAGCCACCTGCAACGTGGAGCCCTCACTTTTCACCAACTGGTTCAGCGGGCACCTCAACTTCCAGATCGAGCACCAGTGAGTGTGGGTGCTGGGGGCCAGTGGGAGGTGGGGAGGGGGTCCTGGGAGGGGATCCTGGGAGGGGACCCGTGGGTGGGGCCTCTCTCTGGAATCTCCCACTTCAGGTGCCAGCATACGCTCCCCACCCCCAGCCTCTTCCCCAGGATGCCGAGACACAACTACAGCCGGGTGGCCCCGCTGGTCAAGTCGCTGTGTGCCAAGCACGGCCTCAGCTACGAAGTGAAGCCCTTCCTCACCGCGCTGGTGGACATCGTCAGGTGAGGCTGCAGCCCGGCCCCTCTGTTCTGGTGGCTTCCCCAGGGCCTATGCCTACCCTTGTCCAGGTCAGCCTCATGCTGAGCCCCCAGGGTCCCTGAGCCTTTCTGTCCACGTCCCATGCCCTTCCTCCCTTCCCCAGCCTTCACGCACACAGTGAGAATTTCTGGAGCACCTACTGCAGACTCACAAACAGCAGTGCCTGCGGTGAGCAGGTCTATGCAAACCTACCCCCAAAGGCTGAGGGAAAGAAGCTAACAGATCCAGTTTCTCAGAAGGAAACACTTAACAGGGACTCATAAACAGAAGCCATGTCTCAGGGCCGGGTGCGGTGGCTCACGCCTGTAATTCCAGCACTTGGGGAGGCTGAGGTGGGCGGATCACTTGAGGTCAGGAGTTCGAGACCAGCCTGGCCAACATGGTGAAACCCCGTCTCTACTAAAAAAAAAAAAAAAAAAAAAAAAAAAAAAAAACAAAAATTAGCTGGGTGTGGTGGCAGGTGCCCATAATCCCAGCTACTTGGGAGGCTGAGGGAGGAGAATCACTTGAACTCGCAGGGGCGGAGGTTGCAGTGAGCTGAGATTGTGCCTTTGCAGTCCAGCCTGGGCAACAGAGCAAGACTCTCTCAAAAACAAACAAAAAAACCATGTCTCAGGCAGCCAAGAGTTGGGACATCCCCTCACACGCCCTCTAGAAAGAACCCTCTATATAGCAAGCTTTTAGGGTGAACCCCATGCAGGTGGTTCTTATGAACCTGGTGACCACTGGAGGTTAGATAAGCGTCTACAAGAGGAGGTTATCTATGCCATGAGCTTGGCATTCAGGGTCAAGCATCGGTCATCAGACAGTTTTGCTTGAAGATGGCATTGCCCTTGTAGCAATGCAGGCTCTAGAGAGCTTCCTGCCCTCTTGGAGCTGATGTTCCTTCCAGCAAAGGAAACAGCAAGCAATTAAAATAACAAATAAGTACATTACAGAAGATGGGCAAAAGAACAATGAAAAGCCCCTCAGGGTGGGGACAGGGGAGGGGAGGGGGGCGGCCAGGCAGGGGCGGCAGTTTCTAAATAGGTGGTAGGGTGGGCAGTATTGACAGGCTGACGTGTGAGCAGGGACAGGGAGGAGGGGAGAGGTCTCGCCACAGGGACATCTGGCAAAGAGCGTTCAGGCAGAGGGCACTTGACCCTGAATGCCAAGCTCATGGCATAGATAGCCGAGGCAGGCATGCAGGCACTCAGAGAAGGGACACGCCCGGCTTGCATCTTGGAAAGCTGCCCCTACTGGGAATGACTGGCGGGCAGGAGTCGAAGTGGAAAAGGAGAGCAGAGGACACTGCAGCCATCCAGGCGAGGGGTGATGGGGCTCAGCCCTTGTGGTCACCTTGGAGGTGGAGAACAGAGGCCAGATTCCAGGTCTTATACCTCTGCGCCTTTGTACACGCTGTTCCCCTTACTTGGTTGCCCTTCCTTCCTGTGCTGGTGTTCAGATGCCCACTTCTCCTTCATGATCTCTCCCAGCCTGATGCTCTGAGCCCCTGCCATTTGGCACAGCCCTTTAGAGCGCCTGGCACAGGGCTTCCTAGCAGATTGTTGACATTTCTGGCTCCACTGACCAATATCAGGCCCAAGATCGGGTGGGCAGGTTCCACGTCCTCTCTGTCCTTGGGTTGCAGCGCCCAGCAGGAGGCAGCAATGGAGAACTGGGTGCAGGAGGGACAGGCCCACCCAGGCTCATGCCTGGACTTGGCCTTGGCTGCCCTCCAGCTCCCCTACCCGACACCCGTCACCCCGGTCTAGATTCCATTCCAGAGAATGAGCATTCAGCTGTTCTCCCAACCCACCCTCCAGCCCGCATCGCTGCCTGCCCCCAGGGAAGGGAACCCACAGGGAATGGGGATCTCCGCTCACACTTACCATGGGGGATACAGGGGTGTTAGGATCTTGCAACTGAGCTCCTAACACCCACCCCCACTGCCACCCCCACCTCCCAGGTCCCTGAAGAAGTCTGGTGACATCTGGCTGGACGCCTACCTCCATCAGTGAAGGCAACACCCAGGCGGGCAGAGAAGGGCTCAGGGCACCAGCAACCAAGCCAGCCCCCGGCGGGATCGATACCCTCACCCCTCCACTGGCCAGCCTGGGGGTGCCCTGCCTGCCCTCCTGGTACTGTTGTCTTCCCCTCGGCCCCCTCACATGTGTATTCAGCAGCCCTATGGCCTTGGCTCTGGGCCTGATGGGACAGGGGTAGAGGGAAGGTGAGCATAGCACATTTTCCTAGAGCGAGAATTGGGGGAAAGCTGTTATTTTTATATTAAAATACATTCAGATGTATTATGGAGTGGAGTGGTGAATTTGCATGAGTTTTGAAGCTGGGGTCTGCCCAGACTCCCCAACAGCATTCAGGCCCTCGGCCATCAATGTGTGTGTTGGGGCCGGCGGCGGGGTTGAGGGGGAGCGCTAAGGAGCTCCCTTTAGCTCTAGATGCCCTGGGCCTGGGAGCCCAGGGATGCCTGGACTCGGACCTGCCCGAGGGCCTATTCACTTCCTATTCATGCTGGGCTTCAAGTCACTTGACGCTTCTGCATGGTGGGATGAGCGGGCCCAGCAGATGAGGACCCAGGGCTGGGGGCCATGTCTGCGGACGCTTCTGGACATGGACTGGGAAAGACGGTTGTGCCTCTTGACCTGCACTGGCCTCCCACAGCCCTCCATGATGGGGGGCCTGAAAGGGCCCCGCGCAGCGGGCCACCTGCTGATCTTAGCGCCACATCTGGCATCACACCAGTGGTGGTGGTGCAGCCTGTGCCCGGTGGCCCAAGGAGGCAACGTCGATCTCCCTCAAGCCCACCTGGGACCAGGTGCTTGTCTGTAGTTACTGCAGTGAATAGGCTGGACCCCCGAGGCATGGCCATTCCTGTCCCTGAGTCCCTGGAGTCAGGTCTTAGGCTCCTTGTCTGGCAGTGGGCTGGACTGTGCCTGTGGGTTTCGGACAGTTCTGGGGAGGGCTTTGAGTTGCCTCTTGGGGCACCCAGAATTGGGAAGAAGATCTGGCTGGACCAATCAGTCCCCAGCATCCACACAGCCTGACAGCTCCAAGCTGAGCTGAGGGTTTCATCTGAAGTGTCGGCAGCTTGAAAAAGAAAGCTGAGTGAGGATTTCTATGAGGCCTTTCTGGAGTGGGAGCTGGGGTCGCCCTACCAGCTGCAGGGGTTGCCCCCTACTTTTTGGGCTTCCATTGGCCTGGACTGGGTTCTCTTTGGGAGGTGGAAAAGGCGCAAATTCTGCCAATTTTTGTTCAGCCCCTCCAAGGCCCATCCTCCGTGGGACGGAGCTGGAGGGGAAGCCCCACTGCCCCATCAACCCGCCCCCTACTCCACACACATACAAGGTGGCGCTGAGTGTTGCTGCCCATGAACTTCTCTTCCGAGACAGCCAGAAAGCTCCTCAGTGCTAAAGCTGATCACCGTAGTCTCACACCTGCTTCCTCTCTGTGAGGAGGGGCCGTCTGCACATTCCCATGGACTCTTGCGGCTCTTCCCAGGGGCTCCCCTTCTAGAAAGTTCTCTCTGACCCGCAGGGCTCCTCCCCTTCCCTGCCCAGCCTGTGACTAGGGTCTCTGTGACGGCACCTGGAATACTGACATCATTTGCTGCTGGAGGCTGGTGGCAGCCCAGAGCCTGGCCCGGGAGACCCTGGGGTGTGTTTTCTGAGAGGATGACAGACAGGGTGTTTGGGTCCTGCTTCCCTCACCCTGACTTCTGGGGCAGGAGAGCACTGGGGGAGGTCCTGTTCGGCTCACATAATCTCCCAGACCCAGGAGCAGACAGCCCAAAGCTCCCTATGGCCTCCCGGCCCAGGGCAGTGCCAGCAGAGGCCTCCTGGTAGGGCCAGGGAAGCAGAGGGTGGCAGCCCCTTCAGCTTGGTTGTGAGTGAGATGCCTGCCCTCCTCCGGGTGCCACCCAGCCCCACCGGATCCACTCAAGTCAGACAGACTTGGGGGTGGGGTGGGGTGGGGGCAAGTCCTGTTTCTGCCAGGACGCAGGCTGTGTGACCTTGGGGGAGTTCCTTGACCCCGAGCAGCAGTACCTAGGGTGATGGAAGAAAGGCTCTTAGCAAAGGGCACAGCAGCAGGCTCAGTTTATTCACAAATTTTGTGCACACAACCCAATTCCCCAGGATGACCATTTGCTCTGTCACCTAGGGCAAGTTCTTTTTTGCCTTCCCTGAGCCTCAGTTTTCAGCCGAGGGTAAGATTGGATGCTCCTTGAAAGGTACTTCCTGCCTCAGACACACGCTTCTCATGGCCAGGGCGTGCCTTGCATTCAGGGTCTCTGCACAGGCTGGTCCCTCTGCAGGGACTCCCCCTTCCTGTCACCGCCTGTTTAAATCCTGTTGGCTCCTAGTGCCACGCGGGCGCCCTGAGCCAGCGCAGGCTCCGAATGGCATTCCCTCCGTCCACACCCTGGTAGAGATCGCTGTGCGCTGGCTCCGAGGCGCTCGCCAGGGAGATGCTAACACCGAGGATCCACGACAGCTGAGCCTGCAGCGCCACCCAGGGGCGCCCGGAGCATCTGCGCCAGTGTGGGGCGGGCCGTGCTCCCTACTGTCCCTGGTAACTTGCTTTGCGGACCCCTGGGAGGCCCCGCCTTCAGCAGCCACTCCTAGATTTCTCCAGACCACCTGGGACCCATCACTGGCAGGGGAATCTTTGCTCTTGTCCCACTGTCCCCCATGCTAGATCCCCTGGGAACAGGTCACCCTCAGTCCTGAGCTGAGCTCCCCCTTCTCCATCTGTAGGTCTCCTAGTCTCAGAACAAAGGCTTAGGGCACAGGGGCCAGGTTTGTAAAAGGAAAGAGGCTTTGGTGGAACCTCTGAACCTCTGAGAAACCGTGTTCCTTTTTTATTGTCTGTACAAGAGGCGTGGGCCCGGAGGAAAAACAGCTCCCGAGGGAAACCATAACCGCAGTGTTGGTTTGTTCCTTTGATCATCAACATTTGCTACGGGTCTCCCAGCCCAGGCAGATGTTGGAAATGATGATGCCCAAGAGCCAGCCCCTGCCTGGTGTGTTGGGAGTAGCTGGAGGGGAGCAGGGCGTCAACAAACTCTTTTGTGACGGGACAGGCCATGGGTTTCTCAAGGTTCCTCCCCCCACCACACTATGTCCTCAGGCAATGAGCCACCACAACTACTGGGAGCTTGGCCTATTCCAAGCTCTTGGCTGCTGTCACTCTTTCTCTTGGACACTTGCTCTTGAATGGGACGATTTAGAAGAAAGACCTGAACGCCTTTAAAATCCAAAGCAAAGTGTTTGTGATGGTGGAGGACGATGGGGACGTGATCCTGAAATCTCAGCACGCTGGGGGGCTGCTTGTTCCGTGTATGCACTGGCCACATGAAGCCAGTCTGCTGAGAAAAGGAAAACCAGTCCCGAGGGCAGTGGCGTTTCAGCCTGGGGCAAGCCATCCCCACGGCGCCCCATTTCCCTCTCAGATGTTGGAACAGGGACTCTTTGAGAGGCAGCTTCTTTGGCCAGAGGGGCACACCTCTCGGGGGAGGGTGCAGCCTGGCTCGCTGAGGAGTCCCGATGGGCCCAAGGCACTGTGTCACATAAGCAATGGCCAGCCACTCCTGATGGCAGCCCAAGCCCAGCCCCAGTGGCTGCCAGCTCTGCCCTGGTCCAGCTTGGTAAAGGCTTCCTCTCCCCTCCGAGTAGGCACGAGGGCTTCGGAGTGTCCAGCCAGACACCCCGAGGATCCGCCTGTGGTGCCACAGCACCCTCCCCCGCCCCACACACACACAGCTTAGACTTGGGGCGCTGCAGATGTCCCCGCTACCCACAAAGCTGATACCCTTTTATCTGCGTAGCTACACTGCCCTTATCTCCTCCTCAGAGACTAACTGCCCTCCACTGCCCCCACTCCTCCAGCCAGCCGCTGGGCCTCCTGGGAGCTGTCTGACATTTGACGTGATGGGGGCAGGGTCTGGGAACCAGCCCTTTCTGTGCAGGAGAGGTGGCCAGGAGCCTGCGGGTTAGGAGCAGGGTCCTGCTGCTGTGTGGCCTGCGCAGTCCTGTCCTCTCTCTGGGCTCAGCCTCTTCGCCCATGATGGTGGTGTTGGGGTTTGATTGCTCAGGGCCTTGAATATTGGGGCACCATGACTTTGGCAGGGGATAGGGATTAGAAACTCACAATTCTGGGTGTGTTGGCAAGGGGGTCAGCTGAGTACAGGGACAGGAGGGGGCGGTTAAGCAGAGAGCAGATATGAATGTCCTCAGCTTCTTGACCCAGGGAAGTATTCAAGGGCAAGGCGGGGCTGGGTGGGGCTGGGGAAGTCAGAGAAGCTCCAAGTGCCCGGTGAGGCTAGGCCAAGATTTATCTGGTGCCCTCATAGCCCCAGCGTCCATCTGGCCTCCAGTATCCCCAATTCCAAGCCCCCTGGTTGTTATGGGTGATGGACCCATGGATTTCCAACTGGTAGGGTTGGGAGGCCTGGGCTGGTCGCCATCCTGGAGGCGGGTCACAGGCACAGGGCAGAGGGTGGGAGCCGTGCCTGCCAGGGTCTTGTAACCTTGAAGGCCACTGCCAGCGGGTCCACCAGGAGGGCAAGGCCTAGGGTAAGCGGGTGTTGAGATAATGGCATCCTTGGGGCCCCTCTAGCCTGCCCCTGTGGACTATGGCCCACAGGGCCAGGGAGGGCAAAGGACTCCCCAGAGCCACTTGGTGAATCTGGGGTGAGTCGGCCACCTCGCTCAGGGCTTCTGTAATGCCAGGCCCTACTCAGGACACCCTGTGGCCACTGGGGAGCCATACGTACCCCAGCCAGTCTGCTGGCTGTCCCTACCTGGCTGGATTTCGGCCAGGCAAAGCGGGGGTCAGGGGAAGCAGGCGGGGGCTGAGGTCTACTCAGGAGCCCTCCCCAGCCCTGCTGGGAGCAGCTACAAAGCCAAGGGGAGGCCCCAAGGTGTTAACTAGCCAGTGCCTCTTGGCCCTTCCTTGGCACTTTCCCAGGATCAGCCCTGCCAGGAAAGCCAGCCCAGAGATGATGACGGAGCAGCATGGGGGTCCATGGGAGGCCGACTGTACAAGTGCCCCTGGCATGTTGCTTTAGACTCTTCCCAGCCTCTGGGGTCAGACAGACCTAGGATCCAATCTCTGTGCCTATGAACTGGTGACCCTGGGCTAGGATGATATCAGCCCCCCCCACAGCCTGTGGGTTCTGAATGAGCCATTGCATATATGGGCACGGGAGCCACAAAAAGAATCATCAGCCTCCAGAGCCTTCTTCAGCCCCCTTTTAATTTAATTTAATTTATTTATTTATTTATTTATTTGAGACGGAGTCTCACTCTGTCGCTAGGCTGGAGTGAGCGATCTTGGCTCACTGCAACCTCTGCCTCCCAGGTTCAAGCGATTCTCCCGTCTCAGCCTCCTGAGTAGCTGGGACTGCAGGCACGCACCACCATGCCCAGCTAATTTTTTTTTTTTTTTTTTTTTTGAGACGGAGTCTCGCTGTTGCCCAGGCTGGAGTACAGTGGTGTGATCTCAGCTCTCTGCAGGCTCTGCCCCGCCGGGGTTCACGCCATTCTCTTGCCTCAGCCTCCCACGTAGCTGGGACTACAGGCACCCGCCACCTCGCCCGGCTAATTTTTTGTATTTTTAGTAGAGACGGGGTTTCACCGTGTTAGCCAGGATGGTCTTGATCTCCTGACCTCGTGATCTGCCCGCCTCGGCCTCCCAAAGTGCTGGGATTACAGGCGTGAGCCACCGCACCCGGCCTAATTTTTGTATTTTTAGTAGAGACGGGGTTTCACCGTGTTAGCCAGGATGGTCTTGATCTCCTGACCTCGTGATCTGCCCGCCTCGGCCTCCCAAAGTGCTGGGATTACAGGCGTGAGCCACCGCACCCGGCCTAATTTTTGTATTTTTAGTAGAGACGGGGTTTCACCATGTTGGCCAGGATGGTCTCAATCTCTTGACTTTGTGATCTGCCCGCCTCAGCCTCCCAAAGTGCTGGGATTACAGGCATGAGCCACCGCTCCCGGCCTTCTCCAGCCCCTTCCAAGGAGGCCAGGAATTCTGTTTGGCCTGGCGCTCTGTGGAAGCTGGCTGGCCCAGGGATGGGAGGGCAGATTGCACTTGGGGAGACAGCTGGGGGGGGAGGATGTTAGGAAGAGTCTCTGCAAGCCCCTCCATGCCACCCTCCTTGGGTAGGGGTCAGCTGCTGAGAGGTGGCTCTCAGCCCTGTTTTAGAATTGGGCTGGGGTCGGCTGCTGAGAGGAGGAAGATGGGCCAATGTTTTTGGGTCATTTCCACCAAGTTCCGGGCCCCAGAATGAATTTCAGAGGCAGCAGGGAGAGGCGGGTGGGATGGCCACAGGGGAGGGAGGGGATACAGAGAGATGCAAGCATGGGGACCCCTCCTGGTGCCCAGGCCCAGCTAGAAGGGCCTCATCTATCACCCAATACCATGGCCTGGCATTGGCGTGCAGGAAACACAGGAAGTGAGAATAAAATTCCTTATTTTATTTCAAAAAATGTAGGGGTGGGGAAGTAACATGATAAACATTACGATCAGCTCCCTATGGGTTCATTCTGCCTCTGCGGGGGTCGGGGGCATACAGTAGCTGGGGGGCATGCCATTGCCATGGCAACCCAGATGCTTAGATGCAGGTCCCTCCTGGCTGCTTAGAGCTGGGGGGACTAGGCGCCCTCCCCGAAAGCCCCCATTCTGAGTTGTTGGTGCCTGCCCTTCCCCTGAATCTAAGAACTGATTAGTGGGTTAGACTGCAACAGCAGCTCAGGATCCTCCCAGGACTTCCCTCCCTCCCCTCTCACTTGCCCGTCCCCTCAGCTACCAGCACCTCCAGCCCCCACCTCCTCCTCTTCTCAGCTCCACCCTGGTCCTCATGAGGTACCCCCTCCCCAGCCCCTCAGGGCAGCCTCCTCCTGAGACTCCCTCCCGCTCTGCCTCCCTGGCCCTCCCTGACAGTCAGGGCCACCGAGGCAAGGCCATGTGGTGAAAGGCAGATTGTCACAAGGCCCAGCCCTGCCGCCCCCTCCTATCAGAATGCATCCTGGAGCAACAGGTTAAACACAGTAAGGGCAGGTTCAGACAGGAGAGTGCCTGAGGCAGCGCCGTCCACACAGCAGCCCCGAGATGGGGAGGGCTGGGACGAGACCTCCCAGCTCCAGTGCCCTCCTGCAGCCTGCAGGGCCCACGTCCCCTGGGGCCAAATGGCCAGGGATTGGCTGGCACTGCCCAGCTGATAACAGAGCCTTTGGAGAAGGGTCAGATTGCTCCAGAATCTTGGACCTCAGGACACCCTGAGGAAAAGCTGGAGGGTGGGCTGAGCCTCCAGGCCAGCCGGCCCCTCCCTGAACGTGGCCACTGCCTCTGCTGAGTCACAAGAGACGAGGGACTCCCCCTTTGGTCCCAAGGTCACAGGCTCAAGTTGGGGAGGCGGTGGAATGGGGCCCGTGAAAGCCCAGGGTCAGAGCACTCTAGTGATGGGGTGGAGGACTCTTCCAGGGCCCAAGGTTTGGGCTGGCTGTGCCCGCGGGCCTGGGGCCCTGGACATCTTAAGAGAGGCCTCGGGTACTTAACCGAGCTGCAGGAGGGAGACCCGAGCTTTGTAACAAAGCAGGCCTCTCTATGAAAGGGTGGACCAATGGCAGCCGTCAGGGAGAGTGAAGCCAGGCCGGGAGGGTCAGGGGCCCTGCCCGACTAGGACCTGCCCCTATGAACCCCAAGAGCATCTGAAGAACCAAAGCGGGGGTGATGCCTAGTGACCAGGCTGCAAGGGGAGACTCACAGGCCAGACCCATGGACCGCTGGTCTCCTCCCATCTTTAGGGGCAGAGAGTGGAGGTAGGACAGAGCCACCCCCGGTGGCCACCTCTCTGCTCCTTGGAAGAAGGGGCTAGGAGGCACTGGGAGGGCCATGGCTGATGGCTGACGGCTGAGGGAGGGCAGGTCCCATGAGGGCAGGGTGCTATGGGGGAGATGTGAAGAGAAAAAGGAGAGGAGAAAGGGAGAAAGATCCAACATGGGGTCCGTGAGCAGTGCATACACCAGCCTCTCGGACACCCCTCAGAACAAAAGCCCATCATTCCTCTGGCCATCACCCCACCTGCACCCCTTCCCCACGGTGTCCCGGGGGCTGTGGCTTCATTTGTGAAGGTAGGCGTCCAGCCACAGCTTCCCAGACTTCTTCAGGGACCTGCAAAGTTGGGGATGGACCAGGGTCAGGGACCAGGACGGGAGTGGCCCCAGGGAGTGCAAGGGCTGAGGAGGCCATCATTAAGGTGGCATGTATGTCCCCTTGGCCCTAACCAGGGCTTACCACTGCCACTGGGCCTGTGGGGCTGTCAGCTCAGAGCCCACCAGGAACCCCACACAGAAAGGGATGGTCTTCTCGCAGCCCAGGGAGAAAAGCCCAACAGCTCCTAACACAGGCTCGGGAGTAAGGCAGGTGCCCTGGTGGGTGACTGTGCCAGGAGGGCCCAGCCCCTCTTGTGATCCCACTGTCTGCACCACGGGTGATCCCAGGGCCCAGCGCCTGTGGACCTCCACCCCTCACCTGATGATGTCCAGCAGGGCCCTCAGTAGCGGCTTCTCCTGGTATTCAATGCCATGCTTGGCACATAGAGACTTCACCAGCGGGGCGATCTTGTGTAAGTTGTGCCGGGGCATGGTGGGGAAGAGGCTGAGGAGTGTGTAGGGTGGGCAGAGCGTGAGGACTCAGAGGGCCATGCTGCTCCCGCTTCCTCCCACCACCTGGGCAGAGGCTGGCTGGGGCCCTCAGAGACCCTGTCCACAGCCAGGACCAGTCTCAAAGTGTGGCTCCTCGTGTGTGCCCAGTGGGGTGCCACGTGTGTGGAGGGGAGGGTGCAGCCCTCCGTGAGCAGGAGGGCGTTTGTGCTCTATGGAGCTGGGAAGATATTGGGTGGCCAGAGACAAAGTGTCATGTTTTTCAAAAAAGAAATGAAATAGCTGGGGAATGCTAGGAAAAGAGGCAGTGAGGTGAGGCACGGTGGCTCACGCCTGTAATCCCAGCATTTTGGGAGGCCGAGGCAGGCAGATCACTTGAGGCCAGAAGTTTGAGATCAGCCTGGGCGACACGGCAAGACCTCTTCTCTACAAAAAATAAAAATAAAAAATTAGGCCAGGTGCAGTGGCTCACACCTGTAATCCCAGCACTTTGGGAGGCCAACGCAGGTGGATCACTTGAGGCTAGGAGTTTGAGACCAGCCTGGCCAACATGGTGAAACCCCGTCTCCACTAAAAAATACAAAAATTAGCTGGGCGTGGTGGCACACGCCTGTAATCCCAGCTACGTGGGAGGCTGAGGCCTGAGAATTGCTTGAACCTGGTAGGTGGAGGATGCAGTGAGCCGAGATTGCGCCACTGCCCTCCAGTCTGGGCAACAGAGTGAGATTCTGTCTCAAAATAAATAAATAAATAAAAGTAAAAAAAAAAAGAAAAAATTAGTTGGGCATGGTGGCACGCACCTGCAGTCCCAGCTACTCAGGAGGCTGAGGTGGGAGGATGACTTTAGCTCAGGCGTTCGAGGCTGCAGTGAGCCAAGAAAGCACCACTGCACTCCAGCCCAGGAAACAGGGTGAGACTCTGTCTCTACATTTTTTATTTTTTAATAAAAAAAAAAAAAAACAGTGACAAGAGGTGAAGCAAGGACAAGGGGCAGCAGGGCAGTCCCTCGGCCGATGTTCCAGGCAAGCTACGTAGCCCTGCCCTGCTAGCCTCACAGGGTCATGAGGTGCGTGTGCAGGCTCCATAACTACAAAGTCCCAGGCCCACATGGAGGGAGGTGGTAACCACTATGACCAAGTGGCACAGCATGAGGGGCACAGGATGACCCTCAGGGAGATGGAATAGGGGAGCCCCTCTCCTGACCTCAGCGGGGCTGGCTGGGAGCCTTGCTCTATATTGGGCAGAGACCTTGTCAGAGAGACAAAGAGGTGGCCCCCACATTCTGCATTCTGCCCAGTGGGATAGCGGCCACTTCCCTCCCGCTGTGGGTCTCCCCGCCTCCCCGCAGCCCCGCGCTCACTGGTGCTCAATCTGGAAGTTAAGGTGTCCACTGAACCAGTCGTTGAAGAAGGACTGCTCCACGTTGCAGGTGGCTGTCAGCTGTCAGTGGAGGGGATGAGTGTCAGGGAACAAAGGAAGGCCCAAGGGCCCGGCCTCATTCCCAGGGGGCCCAGCCTTACCCAGGGTCTCCAGGCCACCCGTCCACATCATACCGTCCTGCCTGATGGCCTCAGCCCACCCAGATGCCCCACCTGTCCCTCTGGGGGATTCCTGCTGCCCTTTCTTGCTCAGCCCTGAAGCTCCCAGCAAAAGGACACAGGCAGCCCCGGGAGGCCCAGCACAGCCCTGTGTTAGCAGGTGCAGATCATCTGGGGCCAGGACATGGACATTGGGACCAGGCTCTGGTGACCGGCCCTGACTTCCCTACCTGGCTACTGAACCAGTCACGGTAGGCCTCCTGGTCAATCTCCATGACGATGTGATTCATCTGTGTGACCCACACAAACCAGTGGCTCTCCAGGAACCTGCAAGAGAACACAGCTCAGCGCAGGGGCCTCCGGGGGCCCAGCCACAGTGGGAACAGATCCACTCTCCCAACCAGCCCAGGACAGCCCCTGCCAAGGGGCCAGGATGGGAGGTCCCCAGGCAAAGTGGAGCCGTCCGAGCCTCTTCTCATGCCAAAGCCATCATCAGTGCCAGTGGAGGGCCCAGGGATGAATCAGCAAAGCCCAGGCACCTGATGAAGTTGAGGAAAAGGAGGGCTCCCAGGATGCCGTAGAAAGGGATGTAGGTGATGAAGAACCGGATGTAGTAGCTGACGGCCCAGGCCAGGTCCTGCGGGGAAAGATGAAGTTAGGTGCAACCTGCCCTCTCCTCTGCCCTGGCACCAAGTGCGTGCCCCAGATGTGCACACACCTCACACTCAGGCCTCTAGAAGCTGGACCGCAGCCCACTGAAATGCAATGGGCAACTACACGCCACCTGCTTGCTCGGGGTTTGCATGGCTGCCTTTGTTTCTAGGGAAATGCTGAGTGTTTTAGCATCAGGAAGTGACTGTGCCCTGTTTTTCGGGAGAGAAACGGACCCTCCTGCTGAGGGGCAGCCATGGGGTAGGGGTGGGGGTCAGCAGCCCTCTCGTGGGGCAAGGGCGATTCTGAAGGTGCGCCCCCAACCCGGGGCCAGGTCCCCAACCGTCCCCCAGTCCTGTCCCTCCTCCTCAGCACCTGGGTCTCCTCCTGGCATCTCCTTCCAGCAGGACAGAGGGCTTGGAGGGGTAGGGAAGGTCAGAGGTACCATCGTCCCTATCTCAGAGCTCTCACAGCAGAGGCTGGCCTCCCCACGCCCCACTGTCATCCTGTGTCCCTCCACTCTGCTCTCCTCCCTGCCTCTGGCTGGACTGGTGTCAGGGACTGGGCTTGGACGTCTTCTCTCATGTACTGGGAGGGTGACTTCACGGCTCCACCCTGTCCACTGTCTCTCTGCCACCCAAGTCTTGTCTCAACTGGACCACAGCATCAGCTTCCCACAGTCTCCTGCTTGTCCTCGTGGCCATGGCAACCAGAGTGGCCTTCGCTCCAAGCAGGTCCCAACTCTCCCCTGCTAAAGCCCCCATCCCACCCAGTCACCCACGGAGCCTCATGGGGTTAAGAACCTGTCTTTACTCAGCCCCCTGACCTAGCTTACTCCCTCCCCGGGGCCTCTGCATGGCCTGTTCCCACTGCCAGGGCGCTCATCCTGCCATGAGTTTAGGTATGGTGACATGCCACAGGCTCAGCACAGGTGTCCGAGGTGGAAGGTGAGGCCAAGGGACTGCCCTGTCTCACTTCAAACGACTGAAGAACAAGGTCACATTTGTGTCTTAAAATAGATCCCCACCCACTGGAGAGGGGGAGACTAGGAAGTTATTCCAGCGGCTCAGACATGAAATGACAGAGGCCTAAACCAGAACCCACGGCACTGACAAGGAGGTGACAGATTCCAGAACTGTCAGAGGCAACGGTGGCTGCATTTGTGCCTGCTTGGCTGTGGGGAATCTAGGCTGGTCCTAGGTGATCAGGGGTCGGGTGCCAGCAGCTGAACAGGAAAGGAGGAAGGGAGCGCTCAGGAGAGGCTGGAGATGGCCTTGGGGCCAACATTGGCCGAGGGCAGGACCTCACGTTCCAATAAGGTGGCCTTCAAGGTGAGGAGGGAGGCAGATGTAGCCAGTTCTGCTCCCACTTTCCATCACATTCCTTCTATTCTGTGTGTGTGGTGCAATAGTGTGCAGTGTATCTACACATATATGGAAACAAAATGAGGATGGGGTTACGGATTATTTTTTTTTGGAGATGGGATCTTGCTTTATTGCCCAGGCTGGAGTGCAATGGTGTGATCATGACTCTGTCCCAGGCTCAAGCCATACTTCTACCTCAGCCTCCCGAGTAGCTAATTTCTGTTTTTTTTTTTTTTTTTTGAGAGGGAGTCTCGCTCTGTCGCCCAGGCTAGAGTGCAGTGGTGTGATCTTGGCTCACTGCAAGCTCCACCTCCTGGGTTCATACCATTCTCCTGCCTCAGCCTCCCAAGTAGCTGGGTCTACAGGTGCCCGCCACCACGCCCGGATAATTTTTTGTATTTTTAGTGGAGATGGGGTTTCACCGTGTTCGCCAGGATGGTCTCGATCTCCTGACCTTGTGATCCGCCTGCCTCAGGCTCCCAAAGTGCTGGTATTACAGGCATGAGCCACTGTGTCTGGCCTTACCTGGATAATTTTTTTTAAGTTTTTATAGAGATGGGGGGGTCTCACTTACTTGCCCAGGCTGGTCTCGAATGCCTGTGCTCAAGTGATCCTCCAGCCTTGGCCTCCCAAAGTACTAGGATTACAGGTGTGAACCATTGCCCTGGCCCAACTTTTATTTTTAAGAGACAGGGTCTCACTCTGTTGCCCAGGCTTGAGTGCAGTGGTGTGATCACAGCTCACTGCAGCCTCAAACTCCTGGGCTCAAGCCATCCTCCTACCTCAGCCTCCAAAGTAGGTAGATTACAGGCGCGCATCACCACGCCCAGCTTTTTGTAGAGACAGGGTTTCGCCCATGTTGCTCAGGCTGGTCTCAAAACTCCTGGCTTCAGGTGATCCCTCCCACCTCAGCCTCCCAAAGTGCTGAGATCACAGGCGTGAGCCACCATGCCTGGCCTGGACTTCTTTTGAGTGTAGAGAGCAACACATACACAGAGATCGCTGGTTTCAGGGGCAGAGAGCCCAAGAGATCAGAAGCAGCCAAAGAGGCGGAGCGAGGGGGTTGGGAAGAAGCCAGCAGAGGTGGGGACCTGGAAGCCAACAGGAAGAACTGCAAGAGGGAGTGGCCAGTGGTGTCAGATACAGCAAAATTCCAGGAGGGTGAAGCGTGGGAGCATCTCAGGATCCAGGACGTGGCCCCGGGAACAGGGAACCTTGCCAGAGCATGTAAATCTCCCCGGGAAGCCTCCTTCAAAGATCTTAGGGTTTGTCACCTCTTTCCTCTAAGCCAGGGTCCCCCAACCTCCACACTATTGGCACCTGGGACAGGCTGCTTGTTGTCATGGGCGGTTCTCCAGGGCATGGCAGGGTGCTAAGCACCATCCTGGCTAGACGCCCACCAGATGCCAGTAGCACCCTCCTCTCCTGAAGTTGTGACAATTAAAAGTGTCTCCGGATACTGCCAAAGGGCAGAACAGCTCCCCTGAGAACCAGTGCCCCAGGTCATAGGTGCGCTCCTGGCTCTGAAAGCCCCATGGGCTCATCACATTGTCCCCACTCTGCCATCCCCTTTTAGGAACATAGGGTGATTTCTTTTCCTGTTTAATACTTTGTTCCTTAGGGAACAAGCACAGTCAAAAACAAACAAAAAAAAGAAGTTGCTCACTGCAAGCTCCGCCTCCCGGGTTCAAGCAATTCTCCTGCCTCAGCCTCCTGAGTAGCTGGGACTACAGGTGCACACCACCATGCCAGGCTAATTTTTTGTATTTTTAGTAGAGACGGGGTTTCACCATGCTGGCCAGGCTGGTCTCGAACTCCTGACCTCATGATCTGCCCGCCTCGGCCTCTCAAAGTGCTGGGATAACAAGCATGAGTGACTGCGCCCGGCAATAGGCCACTTATGAGTTAGAACGGGATTGGATGCTAGAGGCAAGGAGAGGGTGTAACATGTATAAGGAGGGAAAAAACATAATGGTGCTAGTCTCTAACTTGAGCCACTGGGTGGATGATGGAGCCATTCATTAACATGGAGACCATCAGGATTAGGTTGTGGGAGAAGAGGAGAGGACTTACATTGAATATGTTGGATTTGCAATGGCTGGGACACCTCCAAATGGAGTTAGATTGGATATATGGGTCCAAGACTTGGAGATAAAATTTGACTTGGCTGCTCTTAAATTCACAGTCAGGGTGAAAAGGACAACTTCAGTTAGCAAGCGATAAAACAGTAATCAACAGGCCGGGCGCGGTGGCTCACGCCTGTAATCCCAGCACTTTGGGAGGCTGAGGTGGGCAGATCACCTCAGGTTGGGAGTTTGAGACCAGCCTGACCAACATGGTGAAACCCTGTCTCTGCTAAAAATACAAAATTAGCTGGGCATGGTGGCGCATGCCTGTAATCCCAGCTACTTCGGAGGCTGAGGCAGGAGAATTACTCGAACCCAGGAGGCAGAGGTTTCGGTGAGCCGAGATCACGCCATTGTACTCCAGCCTGGGCAACAAGAGCGAAACTCCACCTCAAAAACAAACAAACAAACAAAAAACAGTAATCAATAAACAAGTCCACATTTGGTTAAGAGAGGAAAAACTTCCCCATGGCTATTGGTTGGAGCATGAGGGACAAATAGACTGCTGAGAAAGACTGGATTTTAAGCAAGCATTTCAGAAAGTGACAATTTAGTCTTTGATAATTTTCAGATAAACAATTTATCTGCCGGGTGCAGTGGCTCACGCCTGTAATCCCAGCACTTTGGGAGGCCAAGGCGGGTGGATCACGAGTCAAGAGTTCGAGACCAGCCTGGCCAACATGGTGAAACCCCATCACTACTAAAAATACAAAAATTAGCCAGGCATGGTGGCCGGCGCCTGTACTCCCAGCTACTCAGGAGGTTGAGGCAGGAGAATCGCTTGAACCCAGGAGGCGGAGGTTGCAGTGAGCCGAGATCGCACCACTGCACTCCAGCCTGGGCGACAGAGCGAAACACCATCTCAAAAAAAAAAGATGACGTAATTACAATGGGCCCTAATGCAATATGACCAATGTCCCTATTTTAAAAAAAAGGAAAAATTTTCAAGAATCCACTTTTGGTGAAGAAAAAAAGAAAATTAAAAAATAGGCCAGGCGTGGTGGCTCATGCCTGTAATCTCAGCACTTTGTGAGGCTGAGGCGGGCAGATCACTTGAGGCCAGGAGTTCGAGACCAGCCTCGCCAACATGGAAAAACCCCATCTCTACTAAAAATACAAAAATTAGCTGGGCATGGTGGCCGGTGCCTGTAATCCCAGGTACTTGGGAGGCTGAGTCACAAGAATTGCTTGCACCCAGGAGGTAGAGGTTGCAGTTGAGTCGAGATCACACCACTGCACTCCAGCCTATGTGACTCTGTCTCAATAAATAAACAAATAAACAAAATAATTTTTTTAAAGAGGGATATTTGGACACAGATACAGATACAAATATGCAGAGAGATGATGTACCGAGAGGGAGGACGAAAGCCATCAACCAGCCGATGAGAGGCCCAGAACAGAGCCTTCCAGAGCCCTAAGGAATCCACCCTGCTAACACCTCAGTTTTGGACTTCCGGTCTCCAGAACCGGGAGAAAACACATCGCTGCTGCTTATGCCACTCAGTTCGTGGTGCTTTGTCATACGGTCTTCGCAAACGACCACACCTGTCATCTCAGCCAACGCCCAGCTGCTCCAACTTCAAACCAGGGTGTGGGGCAACCCAGTTCATGGGACTCAGGGCCCACAGGGAGCGGGGAAGGGAGATGGCCACACTTGCCTCTCATCCTGCTGCCTTTGAGAACTTTCTCGGGGGCTCTGCAAAAGCAGGGGCTGCCCCAGTGGACTCCCTATGTCTGAGGGAGAGTAGAGATCTTTAGGACTAGGTCCTGGTGGCCCCAGAGGGAGTCCTTTCCTGAGAGGCAGCTACCCCAGGGAGGAGATGCCTGGGGCCCCACAGGCTCCACTGGGGCACACGAGGAGGCAGCGTAGGACCCCCGGGTCCCCCTGTCCCAGTCACCCTCCTCCCCATGCCAAGCCAGCTGTGTCCCCAACTCACCACCCAGTTCTTATGGACGATCATGGTCATGATGATCTGGTACTGGAAATACATGGGGATGAGCAGCGGCGGCCCAACTGCAGGAGAGAGACAGGCGCTTAGAGGCATCCATTCCACCCTGCCTGTGCCGGAAGGTCAGGGGAACCCAGGCCCAGCACTGAGTGCAGGGGCCAGCCCTGCAGACGTGGGCAGAAGCAGCCAGGGACCCCGGGGCCTGCAGAGAAGGCTGGGAGCCCTTGAGGACGTGTGTCACCCCTGGGACTCTCTGAGCCTCTGTGTCCCCATCAGGCCTGTAACACAGGCTGAGGGGTCTGCACAGCAAGGCTGCTGTGGCCCCCGCTTCTAACAAGTTTAGTGTCACTTTCTGGATCTGAAAAAGATGTCAGGTAGGAGGGAGAGACACGCCACTCTGGGGGGAGGGGAGGGTCCCAGAGTGATTTCGGGGCGCCGAGCACTCACTCAGGAAGAAGTATTCGTGCTGGTGATTGTAGGGCAGGTATTTCAGCTTCTTCTTGCCGTACTGAGGAGAGAGGAGAGATCATGAGCACCCAGTAGCCTCAGCTCCCAGCCTCCCATGTTCCCCAACCCATCCTGCAGCCACCATCCCTTCTATCTGCTCAGGGCACACCACTGTCCCTTTCCTGTCAATCTGCACCCTGGGCCCACCAAGCCTGGGGCCCCTCCAGCCCTCTGGGCTCCCCATGCTACAGCCAGCAGCGGCCAACGCTTCCTCAGCCCTAGCCGAGCACTGGCCCGATGGCATCGATCCTCTACAAGGCCGGCACTTCTGAGGCTGAGGCTCAGCGTTAAGCCATGGCCCAAGGCCACAGGAAGTGGCCCTGACTGGGATCAGAACCCAAAAAGCTGACTCTGAGCCCATGTGACAGGCACTAAACAAATGTTTGTTGAATGAATGTGCAACAGAGCAACTCTCGGCGGAGCATAAGCACCCAGGGGAGTTCCTAGGTCACCATGGAGAGCTCCCGGAGCCCGCAGTGGCAGGGAGAACCTAGGTAAGGGCCCCAGAATTGCTGCCAGTCATCAGGCTGGGAGCATCTGCCTCCCTGGAGCCTCCCTGTAATTTACAAGAGTGAATCACTCCTCCCCAGCTGGAGCCTAACCTTGAGGACAGAGGAGGCCACAGCACAGACTCCTCAGGCCACATCTGGCTACCTGAGGTCCCCATGACGGCACCGGTTTCTTCCCCATCAGAGCCTGCACCTTGGGCAGCCTGATGCCCAGAGGCTCTAATGGAGGAGGGCTGGGCTGGGTCCTGGGCATCGTCATTGTCCAATGCCAGGCATAGGAACCACGGCCCCAGGGGATCCCTGGAGCCCTTAATTCCATGGTCCAGCCCCTAGGGACCAGCCCACCCTGCACTTCCAGGACTGAGACCAAAAGATGCCGCTCACTGAGTGACACCTGCTCCTCTCCCTTGCAGTGTGGGGAGGCTGGGCTTGCAGCCAGCAGATGCGCTTGAGCCGACTCTGCCTCTCACCAGTGCTGAGACTATGTGAGTCGCTTAGCCTTGCTGAGCCTTGTCTGGCATTTGAATCAGTGGTTGGTAAGAGGAGCCAATGAGAACATGGGCATAATGCCAAGTGCTGACCCCAGGACACTGCCCGTCACCCTCCCTATACCCCTGGATCCGAAGGCCAGAGATGCCTCCTCCTATAGTGTCCAGTCATACTTATTGCAGTCAGGAGGTCAAAGTGAGTTACAGAGGGAAGGGACCTTGGATGATGCCTAGGCCAGTGCCCCTCTCATCCAGGTGAGTAAAATGATTGTCCAAATCACAGGGAGAGCATGGATTCCTGAGGGAAGAGGCTGTGGGTGGGAACCAGGTCCACCCTGTCCCCAAGGCTTGCATCTTGGCGCCAATGGCCATGGTCACGGCACAACCAGCTGAAGAACCCCCAGAAACAGTCCCTTTGTTCTGTGTGGCCTCCTGAGCCTTGGCAAGGATCTCACTCATTCCCAGAAAGGACGGCCACTTGCAGGAAGACTATTATTAAGGCCAGGGCTGAGGCCGGCCATGGAGAGGTCCGAGCCAGGGAGGCCTCACAGGAGCCTTTCATGAGTCTCCAGTGGACGGAGTTGCTGGAGGAGCCAGCACTGCAGACGTTGCTCTCGAGGTGGCCAGTCTCGGGGCCTGCAGTGGCCCACAGAACAGGCCCCTGAGTCCTGCTCTAAGCTTCTCCCAGAGGCCAGGGAGCAGGCTCATAGCCCCAGCCTTGGCATGCAGTGTCTCCAGCTCTGCTCAAGAGCTCCTCCCCACCGCATCTCTGTCCCACAGAGCATCCCATCCCTCTCGGGCTGGGCCGGCTGTACTCGGAAGTGAGCACAGAGGGCAACCCAGGCAGGTCAGCAGGGGCCAGGGCATCCTATGGAGGGACTGAGGGCTGGCCACGCTGTTGTGGGGGCCTGGGAGGCACCTGGGGAGTCTGTTTGGAGCTGCATGTGCACAGTAGGCACCCTGTTCTCATGGGTGATGGTGGCCTGTGGGTGGACAACACAGGTTACAGGGGCTGCCTCTGCTGGTAAGCACTGCTGGCTTTAGTGTGCGTCCCTTCAATGCCCCAGAATGACCCTCGGGAGCCAGGGGGTCCTGCTTGCCAGGCAGCAGCAGGCCTCAGAGTGGGCCTCTGTGGGACGGTGAGCAAAATGCTCATCACAGTCACGCACGTGTATGTACATGCGTATGGTGACATACCACTACACATCTGTGCCCATCTCGATGGCCTCAGCTGCAGCGGCTCTGCTGGGGGATGGCCAATACTCCCCTCCCAAACCAGAAAGTACAACTGTGGGTTTGGGATACGAAGCCCTGCCCTGTGGCTAACTCTCTGCTCTCATCTTTCCCACGCTCAGTTCTTTGCCAGAGCTTTGCCGTTTAAGTCATGGGACCAGGGAAGGGAGGGAGAGGTATTTTAGAATGTAGCAAGCTAGGGGGGTGAGTGCCTGGCTGTTTAATTGATCAGAAAGCTGGGGCTACCCAACAAACATATTTCACAAGGGCCCCCAGGACTCCGAAGCTGTGGTTTGCAGCCAGATGGTTTGGGTTCGGACAGTGGTGTTGCCTTTTCCTTGCTGTTACCTTGAACAAGTCACTTCATGTCTCTTGGCCTTAGCTGTTCCATCCATGAAATGGGTCGATGACAGCTCCCGCCTCACGGGTTAAGCAAGGATTAAGTGACGTTGTGCACGCACACTGCCCATCACAGTGCCCGGTCCACAGACTCACTCAACAAGAGTCAGGCTTCTTCCCAACTGGGGGCTCAGAGCCCCAAGTGTGGGGAGTGGAGGACCCCACACATCTCCTCCTCCAGAGGAGTCCCCGTCACACACACAGAGAAAGCCCAAGAGGCAAGGAAGACACATGACTTTCACCTGGCTGGGCTGCGGCCAAGGGTGTGGGTGGCACACATGGACCTCCCCCTGATCAGCAACAGTGCCTTCCCAGGCTGCGGTTGACAGGCAGAGACGCAGGCCAGGGGCAAGGGAGGGAGTGCAGCCAGCCCTGGCGGCGGGGCTGACTCTCCTGTCCTCGGCCTCTCCATGCACCTCAAGGCCAGGCTTGGATGAGGGCCTGGGGGATGCCGGGCCATGTGGAGGGGACCTTTCAGCTTTGGAACAAAATGTCTGAGGAATGACAAGGGCCCTCCTTGTCCATCGAGGGTTGGGGGAGGGGAGCTGTCGCAAAGCCCAGTCTCTGCCTCTGGGAACCTGCAAACTCACACACAGAGAGAAACAGGCGGCACGACCTCCCCAGCAGGAGCAGAATGGCAAGGTCCCAGTCCAAGGTCCCCGAGAGGGCGGCATGTGTGTCCCAAGGCGGGATGGGTGGCTTAAGCCTGTTCATGAAGGTCTGCCTCAAGCAGGAAGCCCAGGAGGTTAGCTTCAGACAGTCAGAGCAGCAGAGGTGGTTTCCCGGATGGGAGGAGGAGGAGGATCTCAGGCACCGCACGGCTTCTGAGGCCCCTTTACACTGCTACCGGGATAATGGTCTCACCAGCCCCCTCAGAAAACGGGGATATGGCAAAAGAAGAACAAAACAAGGCTGCTGCCAATATCACCGCTATTAAACTCAGCTCTGAAATTTCCCGTCAATGCAATAAAACCCAAAGCAGAAAACAGAGTGGAGCTATTAGAAAGAAAGAGACTACTTCAACATCCAGATTAGAAAGAAAGAAGGAAAGGAAGGAAGGAAGGAAGGAAGGAAGGAAGGAAGGAAGGAAGGGAGGGAGGGAGGGAAGGGAGGGAGGGAGAGAAAGAAAGAGAGAGAGAAAGAAAGAAAGAGAAGAAAGAAAGAGTGACTACACTTTTTTTCTGTTTGTTTTGTTTTGTTTTGTTGTTGTTGTTGTTGTTGTTGTTTTGAGACGGAGTCTCACTCTGTCGCCCAGGCTGGAGTGCAGTGGTGCTATCTCAGCTCACTGCAACCTCCGCCTCCCAGGTTCAAGCGATTCTCTTGCCTCAGCCTCCAGAGTAGCCGAGACTACAGGCGTGTGCCACCATGCCCAGCTAATTTTTTGTATTTTTAGTAGAGACGGTGGTTTCATTGTGTTAGCCAAGATGGTCTCGATCTCCTGACCTCGTGATCCGCCAGCCTCGGCCTCCCAAAGTGCTGGGATTACAGATGTGAGCCACCACGCTGGGCCGAGAGACTACGTTTTCATTATTTTCTAGGATATGATCATCTACCCAGGAAACTCAAAAGAATCAACCGAAACACAACTAGAATTACGAAGAGACGTAAGTGGACACTAGCGGGACAAAAGATAACTATCCCATTCATTGGAAGGCCATGCAAACAAAAATTTAGAAAAAAAAGAAAATTAAGATAACTACCCCAATATCCACTGCTTTCCCGAGTACTGGAGAACCTCCAATCATAATGACAAAATATAAAACATATAAGGATTGCGTTTTAAAAGAAACATCCATGAGACATATAAAGAAGTACAGACCTTGGCCGGGCACAGTGGCTCATGCCTGTAATCCCAGCACTTTGGGAAGCTGAGGTAGGCGGATCACTTGAGGTCAGGAGTTCGAGACCAGCCTGGCCAACATGGTGAAACCCCATCTCTACTAAAAATACAAGAATTAGCCGGGCATGGTGGCGGGTGCCTGTAGTCCCAGCTACTCGGGAGGCTGAGGCAGAACGATGGCTTGAGCCCAGGAGGTTGAGGCTGCAGTGAACCGAGATTGCGCCACTACGCTCTAGCCAAGGTGACAGAGCATGACCTTGTCTCAAAAACAAAAACAAAAACAAAAAGAGAGAGAAAGAGAAGGGGAAAGGCACCCCACTACGAGCTTCCAATGAGTTAAGTGCCAAGGATGAATGAGTGTGAGTGTGGCCCCCAAGTCATCCAGACGGTGGCCTGGGAGAGGACAGACAGCCCAGCCCAGGCCAAGCCCGGGCTCAGGAGCACTCACTGCCTCATATGAAGAAGCAATGCCACCTCATGGGGGTGCCGGGAAAACTGGCCGACTCTGGAGAAAAGTGAAGGCCGAACATCATCCTACCCATATCCCATTTGGCAGAAGTTAAAGATTGAAACACAAAACCTTAAAGAACTGAAAATAATATGTATGAAGAACTTTCTAAGCACACAAGAAATGAATCTCTGGGTAAAGTGAATATACTTTGCTACATATGACAAAAAGAATCCTCCTGGACAGCATCAATAAGACCAAAATGCAGAAAACGAGGAAAAGGGCTTTACTGCGGAGCCCGCGCTATTCACAGTTCCACGTGCTGGGAGCCGCTTGGCAGGGCTGCTTTGCTTATCTGTCCCCAGAGATAGAAGCCCTGGCCGGCATCCTTGCTCTGGAGACTGGGATGGTGGCTTGAGGCCCTGGGACCTGGCCGCCCCACCTGGCCCTGCTGTGGTGTGTGGGACTGGCATGTGACAAGTCCCATCAGACCCACTGTCACTTCAGTCAAGAGACCAGGGTTCCTTCCAGGGCGGCCGGGTCCTGCGAGAGCCAGAGCACAGGTCAAAACACCAGGAACCCAGGAAGCACCAATCCTTTCCCCATGAGTGTGAGAGCGGGGATTTCCACAGAACACCGCGGCACTGGCTGGGGACTTCCAAACGCCGCTGGTAACTGAACAACCAGATCCTCACAGCCTCCCACCCCTATCTCCTGCCCCAAAGCCAGCGTTCCAGAAGTGTCGGGGGTGAGAAGATGTCGGGAAAGGAGAGGCTTCTCTGGCCACCACGCACAAGAAAGACGCCTTCTTGCCAGTGCAGCTGGTGGGACTAGACTTTCTTTGTTGGAGACACAGAGAACATCTGTCAGGACAGCCAACGGCTCTACATTACAAAGCCTCGCCGAGAAAATGAAGCCTTTGTCCCCACTTATCAGAGGGCCTCAAGTTCATCAGTTCTGTTTTCTAGACACCTCTAATTAAAGCTGGCAAACTGTTTCCTAGAAGAATAACAATAGCCTGTACTTTGGCAGAAAATGGAATCCCTGGCAGCTTAGAGAGGCTTCCAAAGTACAGAACTGTGGCTGATTTCCTGCGAATTGGCCATGTTACAGAAAAATCCACGTTCCTGCTCAGATAGTCTCACGGGTGGAAATGAAATAAGAAGAGGGTGTACAAACCAGAACTGGGGAGCCAGGCTGTCTCCTCGCCTTGTTCCAAGCCTTAGGCGCCAAGGCTGTCGGGAATACTACTTCACTCACGGTGCCACTCCTTAGTGAGGGAAAATTGGCCTCACTTGGCAGATGCTGATTGAACCCTACTCTATGCATGGCTTTGTGGCTCCTAAGATCTGCATAAAAGCAACAAGGATCTTCTAAACTTTCATTTTAATCATTAATGTATTTCCAAAAAGCAGCGCATATATTTATTTTTTTCTTCTAAATTAGGTCCCGACATAGAGGCTCTACATAAAAAAAAAGAATGTATTAAATAAGAACATTTTTTTGTGGAACGCATTGGTGGGGCTTTTATTCAAAAGAAATTATGGGCCAGGCGCGGTGGCTTACACCCGTAATCCCAGCACTTTGGGAGGGCGAGGTGGGCGGATCACGAAGTCAGGAGTTCAAGACCAGCCTGGCCAACATGGTGAAACCCCGTCTCTACTAAAAATGAGAAAATTAGCCAGGCGTGGTGGTGTGCACCTGTAATCCCATCTACTCGGGAGGCTGAGGCAGGAGAATCACTTGAACCTGGGAGGTGGAGGTTGCAGTGAGCCAAGATCGTGCCACTGCACTCTAGACTGGGCAAGAGAGTAAGACTCTGTCTCAAAAAAAAAAGAAAAGAAAAGAAAAGAAAGAAATTATGAACTACTGACACTCAATTTGTCTACCATATAAAATAATGTAGGTCCTGTTATGGTTCAGAAGTACAACAGAATACCATATGGCTAGAGGGAGACGAGACCTGTCTACATGAACTGGGGGGGAAGGGCATCCACATTCGCAGAGGTGGCAAGTTGCAGGATACAAGGTAGAATTTTTTTGTTTTTTATTTTTTTATTTTTGAGACAGAGTCTCCCTCTTCTGTCCCCGCTGGAGTGCAGTGGTGCAATCATAGCTCATTGCAGCCTTGAGGCTCCCAGGCTCAAGTGATTCCCCCACCTCAGCCTCCCCTGCACCTGGGACCACAGACGCACACCACTACACCTGGCTAATCTTTTGTATTTTTCGCAGAGATGGGGTCTCACTATGTAGCCCAGGCTGGTCTTGAACTCCTGGGCTCAAGCACTTCTCCCACTTCAGCCTCCCAAAGCGCTGGGATTACAGGTGTGAGCCACCACAGCTGGCCTAAAATTTTTGTTTGTAAAGAAACAGATATATGCATGTTTATACACATATAAAAATATCTAGAAGACTGTATAGCATCTTGTTAACAGTGGTTACCCTCAAGGGCATAAAATTTGGGGCAAAGGGGAGGTTTGAGAGACTCACTTTTTTTTTCTTTTTTGAGACATAGCTTTGCTCTGTTACCCAGGCTGGAGTGCAGTGGTGTGATCATAGCTCACTGTAGCCTCAACCTCCTGGGCTCAGCTCAAGGGATCCACCCACCTCAGCCTCCCCAATAACTGAGACTAGGCACGTGCTACCATGCCTGGCTAACTAAAAAAATATGTATTTTTTTAGAGACAGGGTCTTGCTATATTGCCCAGGCTGAGACTCGTGTTTTAATTCTGGATATTTCTGTACTGTTTAGAAGTTTATACCAAGTGTGTTCTATATTTGTAGTAATAAAATGAACTAATATGAAAATAAAATGGTATAGTAAATGGAAGGCAATGGCCTAGCAGTCCAAAGGTCTGGGGCCTCACCCTAGACTGGCCACTAAATTACGTGACTCTCTCGGCTGGGCACGTTGGCTCATGCCTGTAATACCAGCACTTTGGGAAGCCGAGGCAGGCAGATCATGAGGTCAGGAGTTTGAGACCAGCCTGGCCATGGTGAAACCCTGTCTCTACTAAAAATACAAAAATTAGTTGGCATGGTGGCACATGCCTGTAATCCCAGCTACGTGGGAGGCGGAGGCAGGAGAATTGCTTGAACCCAGGAGGCGGAGGTTGCAGTGAGCCAAGATTGTGCCACTGCACTCCAGCTCTGGGCAACAGAGCAAGACTCCGTCTCAGAAAAAAAACTAAATAAATTATGTGACCCTGAACGTGTTCCATCCTCTCGCTGACCTTCAATTTCTTATCCACTGGTGAAGCAGATTGGACCAAGCCACGTTGAGGCTCCTCCCAGTGTACAGGATGATGATTCTCCAAATAAGGTTTTCTCAACATGAGCTAGTCGGTTGGCGACCAAGCTTGAGCCCCTGAAATCTTGCCTTCCTGCTGAACTGGAACAAGATTTCCCTCTACCCTGGGAAAAAACAAGCCAGAAAATGCCCTTCCTGGCCTAAGGGTAGGAGGGAGACATCTACCATTCTAATGAGGAGCTGTGTCTGTATTTACAGGTGAGGCCATTCCACATACATTCCAGCCAGAACAATTCAGGGTACCTAGGAGAGGTATCTGTGTAGCAGGAGATGTGGACCTGCCTGGCTGAATGTCAGCTCTCTAGGCTTCCTTCCCTGCTCCCTGCTCAGGCCAAACACTTCCTAGGTCAACACCAACCCCTTAGTCGTACCTCGATGGCTGCCATTCGCCCAGGCCAAACACTTCCTAGGTCAACACCATCTCCTTAGTTGTACCTCGATGGTCTGCCATTCGCCCAGGACAAACACTTCCTAGGTCAACACCATCCTCTTAGTCGTACCTCGATGGGCTGCCATTCGCCCAGAACAAACACGTGCAGCATGTTCACATCGGGATCCTTGTGGAAGATGTTAGGCTTGGCGTGGTGCTGGAAGTGGCGATGATTCCACCAGTTGGCAGAGGCACCCTGTGGGGAGAGAGGGGTGGGGATGAGCCATGCAAGCCACCAGGGAACCGAGCTCGCTTGTAACAGGCCCTTCTTAGGAGCAGTTCCCGGAACCTTCAACCCTCGGGGATAGCACTTCAGGCCCCCACAAGGCCAGAATCCAGCCCTGCCATGACTGAGCTCAGAGCATGCGCCAGCCCCAGATGGAGTGAAGTCACTTTATCTCTCTAGGCTTCAGTTTCCCTGATCATAAGACGATGGTGGCAGATGAGGCGTGCTGCTGAGGGACCACACGGTGAGCGCTCCAGCAGGTGTGGCAGCCAGTCTCTGCCTCTCCGTCACCAGGTGTGGAACCAGAGCTGTGCAAGGTAAAGCCGAGGTTTCAGGGACAGTGAGAAGTGGTCCCTACTATGTGGCCCAGAAATCTCCCTCCTGAGCGTATATCCAAGAGAAATGAAAACATGTCCACACACCAACTCATAGAGCAGTGTTCACAGCAGCATTCTTCAAAAGAACCAGAAGAGCAAAAGCAACACAAATGTTCATCAACAGATGAGTGGGTGAATGAAATGCAGATTATCCACACAGTGGAATATCATTTGGCTGTGCCGTAAAACAGAACGAATCACTGACCCTTGCTACAACACGGATGAGCCTGGAGAACATGCTAAGGGAAGGAAGGAGCCACAAAAGACCACATATCACATGATTCCACCGACATGAAACGCCCAGAATAGGGAAATCTATAGAGACAGAAAGCTGAGCAGTTGTGTAGGGCTAGGATTGGGGTAGGGGAGGGAGTGAGGGGGTTGGGATGTGATGGCTAAGAAACGTGGGGTTTCTTTTGAGCATCATGAAGATGCTCTAAAATCGACTATGATGATGGTTGCATAAATCTGTGAATATACCAAAAGTCATTGATTTGTCTACTTTAAATGGGAAAACTGGCTGGGCGTGGTGGCTCACACCTGTAATTCCAGCACTTTGGGAGACAGAAGCGGGTGGATCACTTGAGGTCAGGAGTTTGAGACCAGCCTGGGCAACATGGTGAAACCCCGCCTCTACTAAAAATACAAAAATTAGCCGGGCGTGGTTGTGGGCGCCTGTAATCCCAGCTACTCGGGAGGCTGAGGCAGGAAAATCACTTGAACCCGGGAGGCAGAGATCACACCACTGCACTCCAGCCTGGGAGACAGAGCAAGACTCTGTTTAAAAAAAAAAAAAAGTGAGAACTGTATCTCAATAAACGATTTGGAGAGCGCAGTTGTGCTGCTATGCTGAGGGTGGGTCCTGAGATTCGTGTCACACCAGGAAGGCTGGAGGGAGGGCTCAACAAACAACTGCTAACATGAACAAGAAGAACTTTCCTGTTTCTAACACTCAAATAGGATCCCATGAGACAAGACACATAACATGGATATTTCTTTTGAGGCCACAGGTGTCCGTCTCCTCAGCTCAGAGTTATGGCCCTCGACAGTTGCCCAGCGACAGATGAAAGAAAACACACTTTCCTGACCCTTTGGCATCACGACTATCCTGGTGAACTGTTGCCGGATCAATGCTTTGGCTAAGGGTTTGCAAAAAATGCCTATTTGCTAAACAAACATTTTACTTGGGAGATGCTTTTGGCACACACAGTCTATGGACACTAATAGCCATGGGTGGGAACAGCAACGGACAGCTGTGGCCTTTGCAGTAACCTCAGGGCCCTGGAAACTGGCAGGCCTCAAAACCCATGAGAGAGAGAGAGAGAGAGAAAAAAAAAAAAAAAGTCAGAGAGTGAAAGCTCAGAGGCTTCACTTTGGGAGGCTGAAGCGTGTGGATCACTTGAGGTCAGGCGTTCAAGGCCAGCCTGGCCAACACGGAGAAACCCCGTCTCTACTAAAACTACAAAAATTATCTGGGCGTGGTGGCGGGCACCTGTAATCCCAACTACTCAGGAGTCTGAGGCAGGAGAATCCTGTGAACCCAGGAGGCCAAGATCATACCAACTTCACTTTAGCCTGAGCAACAGAGCAAGAGTCTGTCTCAAAAAAAAAAAAAAAAAAGAAAAGAAAGAAAGAAAGCTTAGAGGCTCGAGGAATCAAATGACACATTTGCGTTTGTTGTCAAAAGGAACAAAATTCCTGGGAAGAATCAAATGGAAAAATCTCTGGCACAAAGAAACTGAGGAGCAAGGCATGAAACAAGTAAGCGTGATGTTTGGAGGATACCAACCCAGAGATGTTTATTGAACAAACAGATGGAGGAAAGCAAGACGGGCTGACAACAAGGAGGCAGTGAGGTGGGCAGTCCCGGTTCTCCCTGGACTCGGGATGAGATGTAATGAAAGCATTTTTTGTTCATGCTACTTCCTCTGCTGTGATTCTCTTCCATTTTTTTTTTTTTTTTTTTTGAGACAGAGTTTTGCTCTTGTCGCCCAGGCTGGAGTGCAGTGGTGCAATCTCAGCTCA
Source organism: Homo sapiens (assembly GCF_000001405.40). Taxonomy (NCBI): domain Eukaryota; kingdom Metazoa; phylum Chordata; class Mammalia; order Primates; family Hominidae; genus Homo; species Homo sapiens. The sequence continues at coordinate 61,845,726 of NC_000011.10, read as the reverse complement.
CTGCAACCTCCGCCTCCCAGGTTCTCCTACCTCAGCCTTCCGAGTAGCTGAGATTATAGGCGCCCGCCACCATGCCCGGCTAATTTTTATATTTTCAGTAGAGATGGGGTTTCACCATGTTGGCCAGGCTGGTCTCAAACTCCTGAACCCAGGTGATCCGCCCACCTCCGCCTCCCAAAGTGCTGGGATTACAGGCATAACCCACCGCACCGGGCCTCTCTTCCATTCTTCTTTGCCAGGTGAAGCCCTGCTTGTCCTTCAAGAGCCCCTCCTTCCGGGCACCGGGAAGCCCGCCTTGCCCAGGAACAATGGCCAGCTCCGTGTTCCCAGAATGTGGTGCAGATGTTGCCTACCCTAAGCCAGCTGCCGTGCTCTGCCTGGGAGGTGAACCAAGAGACAAAGCCCTTGTCCTCACGGAGCTGCGAGGGAGGGTCTGGCCTCATCACACCAAACCCAAACTGAGCTGGGGCCAGGAAAGCTAAGTGTCCACGCAGCTGGAGAAGTTGGCCAGGCAGAGTGAGGGGTGCTTTCCTGACAGAGGCAAGAGCCTACGGGAGGCCCTGGGAGAGGAAGGGGGAGTGTAGAGTGCTCCAGAAGCCAGAGGAAAGCTCCTCGGTATAACTGTGACCAGCAGTGCTGGGTGGCGCCATATCAGAGCCTGAGGCAAAAAAAAAAAAAAAAAAAAAAAAAAAAAAAGTGCACTTCTGGCTTTAATGGAAACAAACTCATCGATAACATTTTCAAAGCCTACTTTTTGCCTCATTTCATTTTCTTTCTTTTTTCTTTTTTCTTTTTTTTTTTTGAGACGGAGTCTTCCTCTGTCGCCCAGGCTGGAGGGCAGTGATGCAGTCTCGGCTCACTGCAACCTCTACCTCCCGGGTTCAAGTGATTCTCCTGTCTCAGCCTCCCGAGCAGCTGGGACTGCAGGCGTGTGCCACCACGCCCGGCTAATTTTTTGTATTTTTAGTGGAGATGGGGTTTCACCGTGTTAGCCAGGATGGTCTCGATCTTCTGACCTTGTGATCTGCCCTCCTCAACCTCCCAAAGTGCTGGGATTACAGGCGTGAGCCACCGCGCCTGGCCTCATTTCATTTTCAATGGAAAGAATTGCTGAGTTTGATGGTTTCTGTCAACCAAGCGATTAGCTTAAATAATTTTTATGTTTATTTTTTATTTTTGAGATGGAGCCTCACTCTGTCACCCAGGCTGGAGGGCTGTGGCACGATCTCGGCTCACTGCAACCTCCACCTCCCTGGTTCAAGTGATTCTCCTGTCTTAGCCTCCCGAGCACCCTCGCCTGGCTAATTTTTGTTTTTTTAGTAGAGACAGGGTTTCACCATGTTGGCCAGGCTGGTCTTGAACTCCTGACCTTAAGTGATCTACCTGCGTCACCCTCCCAAAGTGCTGGGATTACAGGCATGAGCCACCACACCCGGCCAAGCCACCTCGCCCGGTCTTAACTAATTTCTAATTACATTCAACTGAAGCAAAAGTATAATAAGTTCTGTTTTGGTATAAATAAAGCATTTACACTTAGAATGTTATGACTTTTAATACATCAACTTCTTCATTGTTAAATATTTTTTTAACTACTTTAATCCTCTGGAAAAAAAATCAACCATTAAAAAATGACACACGAACATGTTTAGAGGGTTGCATGTTTTTCCATTTCCCTCAGTTCATCCTGATCTTTATTTAAAATTTTGATATTTTGTTCATTGTGGATTTTTTTGCATTAATTTTGATTTTTTTAAAAACATATTGCAGGCCGGGCGTGGTGGCTCATGCCTGTAATCTCAGCACTTTGGGAGGCCAAGGCAGGTGGATCACCTTAGGTCAGGAGTTCAAGACCAGCCTGGACAACATGGAGAAACCCCATCTCTACTAAAAATACAAAAAAATTAGCTGGGCATAGTGGCGCACACCTGTAATCCCAGCTACTCGGGAGGCTGAGGCAGGAGAATCGCTTGAACCCGGGAGACGGAGGTTTCAGTGAGTTGAGATCACGCCATTGCACTCCAGCCTGGGCGACAAGAGTGAAACTCCATCTCAAAAAACAAAACAAAACCACATTGCATTAAAACATCATTTATCTTGATAACTGAATTTGTCTGGTGTCCCCTTAGAATTTGTCTGGTGTCCCCTTAGATTTTATACCCTAAGCGAGTGCCTTACTTGTTTCACCCTAATCCCAGCCCTGGTGGCCTGAGATGAGGCTGCAGAAAGTCTGGTGATGTCCATTTCCAGATGCAGCGCCCAGATGGCACTGGGCCTTTCAGCTTGCATTTATTTATTTAGAGACAGTGTCTCACTCTGTCACCCATGCTGGAATGTAGTGGCACCATCACAGCTCACCGCAGCCTTCAAATCCCAGGCTCAAGCCATCCTCCGGCCTCAGCCTCCCCAGTAGCTGGGACTACAAGCATGCACCACCATCCCCGGCTAATTCTTTTATTTTTAGTAGAGACAGGGTCTTGCTATGTGGCCCAGGCTGGTCTCAAACTCTTGGCTTCAAGCAATCCTCCTGCCTTGACCTCCCAAAGCGCTGAGGTTATAGGCGTGAGCCACTGTGCCTGGCTGAAGTTTGCATTTCATCCTAAGTACAGTGCTGAACTACGAAAGAGTTTTAACCTCAGAATCGTCTTTGTAAAAGATCACACTTTGGAAGAAATGTCCACTGGGCATGACACGGGCTGAAGGCAAACAGGTCAGGATGTGAAGAACTCCCATTAAATCCCATTAGCAGTGCAGCCAACAGGAAGAAGGGGGTCCCAGCCTCTCACAGCACCTGGTAACCTACTCACAGGTCTTTCCAGCCTGTGCTAAGACATCTGAGTTGGCGAGGCCCTTGAGGACCTCCCTGTAGCCAGTCCCCTTTTTCCCAGTGATGGGAAGAGACACAGACCTACAAGATTTGTCCCCATGGCTGTGCACCTGCCGAGTGCTAGAGCCAATTTCAGGCAAGCTTGACCTCCGTGCTCTGGGGCACCCCTGAGTGAGCCACATGTCCATGTCCTTGGCCTGTCTCTGTGACACAGCACCAAGGACACAGCCAGTGGGGGCTGGTGGGCCATGAGTGGAGCCCACATCCCCAAGCCCAAGGACCCTGTTTGCTGTCATCCACGTTCTACATGGAGACCAGTCCTCTGTCCTGGCCCCGTCTCCCGCCTGACGCAACAGCCGTGCTCTGGGGCCCCTCAAAGACTGAGGGCAATTGGACAGGAACAATCCCCCCTGCCCGGCCCCTGCCCAGAATCTGGAAGCAGGACACAGCCCATCTTTGTTAAGTGTGTGGGGGCTAACATGGGTCAGGAGTTAAATGTTACTTTGCCATACTGAGGAGGGTTTGATCCAACAGAGAAGAGTATAAAATGAAACAAAGCACTCCACTATGTGCACCCTCTCCCTTTGCCCCTGAGATTCTGGACAGAGACCAGGTTCTCAGGCCGCTTCAGGCTCAGGGCCAGGCAAGCTGCTCGCTGCGAAACTGGTGACCAGCTCAGGGGTGGTTGGCCACCAGTGAGATCTGCAGCCGGCAAGCCAAGGGCCCCGTTGCGGTCTGGGTGGAAGAGGGGATAAGCTACACCCCACATGTAGCTCGTCCCTTGCCAGGGTGTGGAGGGATGGATTCTTTAGGACCCAGCTTTTCTCAGGAAGCAGGTACTGTTGGGTCAGGCTGGGATGGGGATAGTCTATTTCAGAGAGCAAGTTGGCAAAGACTCATTTTCAAAACTGAGGAGATAACGCCTGTCAGATCAGAACAAGGCAGTTGGCAATTCCAGCTTGTCTTTCTACAAACATGCTGAGACTCTGTGGTCTGCTTCCTTATCTAGGGGGAGGTGAGAGTGGAACTTCCTTAACTCCTGCACTTCTAATGACTTTTGTCCTTTGGGCCAGCTGATCATTCCGTAGTTTGGTGTCCCCTATCTGAGGCCTTATAGGATGACTTTTACTTTTTGTACCCCGCTTATTTCCAAAGAGTATTTGAAGTGGCTTGAGATAAAAGACTCATATATAACGGAAGGCTAAAATAAAGATAAAAGCATAAATGCCAGATGAGGAAGGAGAGAATGGGGGCACCAAAAACACAGACTAAAGATAGTTGCTGTTTCAAATGCTGCTTTGTACCTCTTGGCTTCTGAGGGGAAGAGAGGAGCACAATGTGTTTCTTTTTCTTTTTTTTTTTTGAGAGATGGGGGGGGGTCTCACTATGTTGCCCAGGCTGGTCTCGAACTCCTGGGCTCAAGCAATTCTCCTGCCTCAGCCTCCCAGGTGGCTGGGATTACAGGTGCATGCCACCACACCCAGCACAACGTATTAAAGAGCTCACATCCCCAGTGAAAGGAAGCATACCAACTCATCAAAAAAGATGCTACAGGCCGGATGCGGTGGCTCACACCTGTAATCCCAGCACTTTGGGAGGCCAAGGCAGGTAGATCACAAGGTCAGAAGTTTGATACCGGCCTGACCAACATAGCAAAACCCCATCTCTACTAAAAATACAAAAATTAGTCAGGCATGGTGGCGAGTGCCTGTAATCCCAGCTACTCGGGAGGCTGAGGCAGGAGAATTGCTTGAACCCGGAGGTGGAGGTTGCAGTGACCCAAGATCACACCATTGCTTCCAGCTTGGGTGACAAGAGCAGGACTCTGTCTCAAAAAAAAAAAAAAATACTGCTACTTTACTGTCCCCAAACAAAAACAGATTTGTTAGATGAGTCCTTAGCTAAGGAACATCAAAAAATACAATCCGCTGAGCCAAAAGACAAGAAAGGTGTGTGCCTGTCTTCATAATGAGTAGTACACCATGGCTTTGTGGTTCGGACCTGATCCAGAGACAGGGCTCAGGAAGTCAGCAGAATGGAGAGTCACCATGGCCCTCAGCATAGGCACACCTGCCTTGTCACCCTGTAGCCTCAGAGCACTGAGCAGAGAGGAATCCTGGTCCCTCTGTCTCAACTGCTGTCCAACAGGACAGATGCCCAGGGCTGCTGACACTTACCTTTAAGTGGCCAATGACGAATTTGTGGACAAGGTGGTTCCACTTGGGTTTTCTGTAGACAGACAGGTGGCCATAATCATGTTGCAGCCATCCAGCTTGGGCCTGGGGAGAGAGGGTCACACGTGCTGTCACAGCCTCAGCAAACAGGCACCAGGCCTCTGTCAGCTAGGGGAAGTGAGGGTGTCACGCCTCACCTGAGAGGTAGCAAGGACAAAGGCCGTGATGAGGGTAGGAATCCAGCCATTGCCAAAGTAAAAGACAGTGAACCATGCAATGCTCTCCAGGGCGATGATGTGGGCCAGGAGGAGGAGGAAGAACACGTGGTTGGTCTTGAACAGGTTCATGTCCTCAGCCGTCTTCCTCAGGGCCCGGAAGTCCTCAGTGATCTTTGACTGTTGACCAAGAGCACAGGGAAAGGAGTCAGCCACCAGCCACTCTGGAGGGAACATATGTCTCGAGCTGCCATTTCAACAGCCAATGCACAACCCAGAGAAGCTGTGGCAAGAGGGGGCCAAGCCACAAGCCTCGACCCTCCAGGAGTCCCTACAATAGCTGCTGTTACCACATGCCCCACACAGCCCTGGGGCCTGTATATTTGTCACAGCTAGGTAAGAGTGACAGAGAAAGGCTTTGACTCAAAAGCTTGCATTTTATACACCCTGTGTTCATAGCTCTATTCACATCAGGAAAAAGGTAGAAACAACACAAAGATCTCGTGATGGATGAATGGATCAGCAACACGTGGTCTATCCATGCAATGGAATATTACTCAGCCTTGAAAAGGGAGGAAATTCTGACACATGCTACAATGTGAGTGAACTTTGAAGACATCATGCTAAGGGAAACAGGCCAGTCACCAAAGGACAAATATTGTATGATTCCATATACAGGAGGTCCTTGGAGAGGCCAAATTCAGAGACAGAAAGTAGAATGGTGCCTGCCAGGGGCTGAGAGGTGGGAGAATGAGGAGTGAGTGCTTAATGGATGTGGAATTTCAATTTGGGGAAGATGAGAACTGGATGGTGGTGATGGTTACATAACAATGTAAATGTGCTTATTTGATGCCACTGAACTGTACACGTCAAATGACCAAAATGGTTGACCACACTTTTTTAAAAAAGAAAACTTTAATCCCAGCACTTTGGGTGGCCGAGGCAGGCAGATCACCTGAGGTCAGGAGTTCGAGACCAGCCTGGCCAACATAGTGAAACTCCATCTCTACTAAAAATACAAAAATTAGCCAGGCATGATGATGGGCACCTGTAATCCCAGCTACATGGGAGGCTGAGGCAGGAGAACTGCTTGAACCTGGAGGCGGAGGTTGCAGTGAGCCGAGATGGTGTCACTGCACTCCAGCCTGGGTAACAAGAGCAAAACTCCATCTCAAAAAAAAAAAGAAAGAAAGAAAAGAAAAGAAAAATAAAACTTGCATTTTCCACCACCAAACAGAGCACCACTTGCTCTGCGCACACTGTTGGGTCTTGAGGGGTTGAGTTGGGGGCGACACAAACTAGCGCAGGAGGGCGAGCTGAGGCAGGCAGGAGGGGGCTGTGAGTCCCGGGCACATGGAGCCAGGGAGGCAAAGCGGAGTCAAGGAGGGCCCTGGGAACACAATGGCATTGCGAGGAAGAAGGAACTTGGGACAAGAGGCAGGGGCAGGGCCGGACGGGGAGGAGAGTGGATACAAGGAGAGGAGCGGTACCCACAGGGCATGACCAAGGTGCTATGAAGGGTGGTTCTGGTGGTGCCTGGTGGGAGCTTGGATGCTAAATGGTGCAGGATCTGCAGCAGAAAGGGAGAGCAGTGGAGAGAGCCAAGGAGCAAGGCCATGGACAAGGGAGCTACAGGGCAGGACGAGCAGAGCTGGGGAAGCCGCAGGCCAGGAGGTGCTGGAGGTGAGAGTGGGAGATGGACCCACTTGCGAAGGAGGCAGGAGGGGACAAGCATGGGCTGGCATGGGTACAGGGCAGGTGATCTCATGTGCCATGGAGGGCAAGGTGAGAGGAGGGGCATTGGCCTTTGAAGGACCTGCAGGGTGGCCCGCAGCTCATCAGGAAAGCCAGAGGCAATGGGGGTGGTGGGGGACTGGCCAAGAGTCCAGGCCGGGAGAGACCCTGGTCCTGCCCTGGCTCTGCTAAACAGAGGGGTCTGGCCCAGGCTGGCAACAAGAGGAGGAAGAGCTTGCTGAGGCCAGGGTGGGACTTCCATGACCACCCTGGTCACAGCCTGTGGGTACCACTCCTCTCCTTGTAACAACTCTCCTCCCCGTCCTGCCCTGCCCCTGCCTCCTGTCCCAACTTTCTTCTATAAACGGCTCCGCCATTTACATGGAGACTTCATTGTTGAACAAAACAACAGCCCATGAGACCTCAGGGGTTGCTATTTTCACACATGGCTGTCCTGGAAGCCCAGCACCCAGGGGGGCGTCTGACCTGCAGACAATGAACAGATGACCAGGGAATGGTCATTCTTTCTCAAAGAGGTGCCCCGGACCACACACCCCAAAGCCACTCTTGTCATCAAATGACATTTTTCGGTGTTTCTGTCCTGTCTTTCCCCTAGATTGTCATCTGGCACCTTCCTGGAAAGGGATGGAGGAGAAGGAAAATGAAACTGGCCAGGAGAGAGGAGACGCCACTAGTTGTTGTCAAACCCCGGCTCCCAGGGAGGCTCTGAGGCCCTCCCTGAACACAGGTGAACCACAGTGGCTCCTCCAGGACAAAAGCACCCCTGCCTCAGCCCCAGTTACTGGTCATGGGGCAAGGGGAGCCTCTCTCAGACTCCCAGCCACCCCCAGCCTCGTCTCCACCCCCACCCAGGTTGCAAGCCAGACTTACGTTCTTGCCGTGGTCCTGGCTGGGCTCCTCCGGGGCCAGTTCACCAATCAGCAGGGGTTTCAAGAACTTGCCCACGAATTCCAGGTCAGGGTGGAAGGCGCGGAAGGCATCCTGGAGAGCAGAGGGCAGTGATGAGGCTAAGACCTGAACTCTGTCTGCTCTTGGGCCCCAAGGAGGACAGTGCTCACCAGCAACAGCTCCATGTGTGCACCCAGACACCAAACGGGGTCTCCTGTGATCTGGCCCCAAATGCCGTCTCCAGCATTTTTCCAGGACAGAGCCCTCAGTGCCCAACGCCAATGGCAACAGCCACCTGGGCTTCTGTGCTGGTGCAGGCATGCTACACTCCCCAGGGGTTTGTGAATAGATGCATAGGCTGCCTTTGGGCAGGTCGGGAAATGGTGACCCTCCAGGAAGGCGCACCAGGCAGACACGGGGCTCAGGGAGGACTTGAGCCTCGACTGCTCGTGAGCTGAGTGCCTTGCATGGTGCACAAACCACACCACCCACCATCTCTTACTAGTTCCTCACCTACATGTCCAGGGTGGTCAATGAAAAGGACAAGACCGAATACTACCTTGGCACTGGAAATGTGCTGTGATGAAGTAAATAAAAAAATAAACACAGAATTATGTAAAAAGCGTTCCTGAAAAAAAGCCTAGGAGGATCTAGGCTATTATTGCACATGTTAAGGTAGCTGGATTATGCCTTGCTTTATTTTCATTACTTTCCAAACTCTAACACTGCTATAATGATACACATTTTAATCTTTTTTTCCCAATTATAAAGTAAAAACGTGCTGAGTTTTGGCCAAGTTAGAAAAGGCACAGCAGAATAAAGAGGAAAATAAATATCACCCAGAAAGTGGTCATTATTGCTAATATTTTAGCATTTTTCCTTCCAGCTTTTTTCTATACATATTATGCATATTACATGAATTATCTCATAAAAAATCTAGTATTTCTATTAGAGATGAGCCAGCACCAGGCTCCCCTGAGGGGATGCAATAGAATGTCCCAGTGGTGAACACTGTGTAATCTGCATCAAATCAAGCTTCCAGACATTGGTAGGATTGGCAAACCAGTCAAACTCCACCATGAGAAACAATCAGAAAAATCAATATAGCTGGGGAAAAACATACAAGTTTGTGGAAAAAACAAAAGTACGGAAGCATGGTCTAGATTAAAAGAGACTAAAATGATATAAAAACTGCAACTCTTGACTGGTCGCAGGGGCTCATGCCTGTAATCCCAGCACTTTGGGAGGCAGAGGCAGGAGGATCACTTGAGGCCAGGAGTTCAAGACCAGCCTGAGTAACATAGCAAGACCCCTGTCTCTACTAAGAATAAACAAAATTAGCCAGGCATGGTGGCCTGCACCAATAACTCCAGTTACTCGGGAGGCTGAGGCAGGAAGATACAATAAGCAATGATGGTGCCACTGCACTCCAGCCTGGGCAAGAGAGTGAGACCCTGTCTCAAAAAACAAACAGGCCGGGCACAGTGGCTCATGCCTGTAATCCCAGCACTTTGGGAAGCCGAGGCAGGGCGATCACCTGAAGTTAGGAGTTTGAGATCGGCCTGGGCAACATGGTGAAATCCCACCTCTACTGAAAATACAAAAATTAGCCAGGTGTAGCGGCGCACGCCTGTAATCCCAGCTGCTCAGGAGGCTGAGGCATGAGAATCCTTTGAAACCAGGAGGTGGAGGTTGCAGTGAGCCAAGATTGCACCACTGCACTCCAGCCTGGGCGACAGAGTGAGACTTTGACTCAAAAAACAAACAAACAAACAAACAAAACAACATCCTGCAATTCTTTAATGTGACAGGCTCTCACTTGAAGGAAAAAAGAAGTTATACCAGGTTTTTCGGGAGTTGAATGAGAAAAAATGAATATGGACCAGATATTTGATCATATCAAGGAATTACTATTAATTTTCTTAAATGTGACAAAGGTACTGTGATGATGTTAGAGCATCTCTTCCTTTTTTCTCCGGAAATGTTGAAGACCTTAGGGATGTGATCACACAATGACGCAGCTTATTTTCAAAAGGCAACTGCACACATATAAAGAGGAAAAACGCAAATGTGGCAAAATGTTAAGACTAGTGAATCTTGGTTGAGGATACACAGGTGTTTGCTTGTTCCTTCAACATTTAAGGATGTTGGGAAAATTTCAAAATTAAAAAGAAGAGGGGGCCGGGTGCGGTAATCCCAGCACTTTGGGAGGCCGAGGCGGCGGATTGCCTGAGGCCAGAAGTTTGAGATCAGACTGGCCAACATGGTGAAACCCCGTCTCTACTAAAAATACAAAAAAAAAAAAAAAAATTAGCCAGGTGTGGTGGCACACGCCCGTAATCCCAGCTACTTGGGAGGTTGAGGCAGGGAATTGCTTTAGCCAGGGAGGTGGAAGGTTGCAGTGAGCTGAGATCGTGCCACTGCATTCCAGCCTGGCGACAGAGCGAGACTCCATCTCAAAAAAAAAAAAAAAGGGTCGGGGGAAGGTGGAGAAAGTGCTAACCACTCCTGGAAATCTTTTCAGCCCCACACGTAAGGATCTCCCAAGGGTAACTGCCAGTCTCCCATCATCTCCTTACTGCATTGCTGGCATCAAGTCCTTTGCTTGGTCTTTGTTCTATTTGTGTCTAGAACAGACTGACAAAGCAACACTTCGTGCAGGAGAAAACTGGGCCCACGGTTTCTTAAAAAATGCCTGTGACCCACTAGCCGAGCCGAAAAGGGATGGTAGCAGAGGATCAGGTCAAGAGTATTTTCAGGGAAAAGAGACGTGCTATTCCAGGGCCCTGGGGAGGCAGGGAGAAGTCCCTGGGGAGGCAGGGAGAAGTCCCTGGGGAGGCAGGGAGGAGGCCCTGGGGGCAGGCAGGGAGGAGGGCTGGGGTGGGGGGGCAGGCAGGGAGGAGGCCCAGGGTGCGGGCAGGGAGGAGCCCAGGGTTGCAGTGGTGACCAGCTTTGCTGGCTCTGGGTGGGGTGATCAGTCCCCACCAGAGCCTCAGCCGCCTATGCAAAATGAGCAAGGCCCTGGGAGAGGCCCGGAGGAGCTGCCAAAGTCAGGGCCCAGGGCTGGGCCTGAAAAAGCCCCTTCATTGGTCCTCCTCACATCACACCACGGCCTTTGAGAAATGAACAGGAAGTCCCTGGTAAGGCAGTTTCCTGAGAAGCAGCTGCAGTGGCTGATAACTAATGGATTCCTCTTGTCTCATTGAAAGGCAAGACTCAATGGCTTGCAAATAGACTCATCTCCACTCCTGCTGCCTCCCCAACACCCGAACCCTGCAGTCGAGGTTCCAACTCCAAGGGAGCAGACAGATGACGAGCCCTGCCTTGACCTTGGTTGCTGCTCAGCCATTTCCAGAGGGCTCTCGGGCAGCCTCACCTCCCTGAGCCCAGGGGTAATGGGCATGCGCCAGGCAGGGAGCCAGGAGTGTTGCTCATGTTACTCCCTTAGGCCTCAAGCCCCAACTTCTGAGGTGAAGATGCAGGAGCTCAGGAAGCAAAGTCCTGGGCTCCAGGTGGCAGAGCCAGGATCAAATCCAGGTCCATCTGCCTCTAAGGACTCTTTTCTCACGTGCCACACGCTTCCTGCCGTTTTAGAAAACCGAGCAGTCTGTTGGATCAGCTCCTTGCCCATGGTCAGTGTGGCAGCTTTCCGAGCAGGCCTGGTGCGGACCGCCCTTGAACATACCACGCTCCTTTCCACACCAGGGCTGCCTCCATTCGGGACTCAGCCTCAACATCACCTCCAAGAGGCTTTTCCCAACATCACATCCAAAAGAGCTCTCCCAGCCCTGGGCCTTCCCTGGGTCATTGCCCTGTTAGATCTTCATAGCAGTCATCAAGGTTCGTCATCAGACTGCGTGACGTACCCACTTGTTTATGGCCTGCGTCCCCCGCTGGAGCATAAACCCCAGTTGGGAAGGCCTGCACCTGTCTTGTTCGCTGCAATAAACACAGTGCCTGTAACGGGGCCTAATAAGATGGCTCACGAGGGAATAAATGGACCCAGGACCCCACAGCTGCACACACTCTGATCTCATACTTTCCCACTGTGCAGTCATGACCAGACACTTGTCCTCTTCCGCGTTTCACACAACTTGGCTTCTGCCTCTGGAACACCAAAAGCCTTCTCCGGCATCCCCACGCTGGTGGTTGCTACAGCTGCCACCTGCTGAGGTGACGCAGGCGAGCCACGGGGCCATGGGAGTGGCTTGCATACATCAGCCAGGCATCTTTACCAAACTTCGTGAGGCAGGTCCTTTTTTAGAGATAAGAAATCAGGCGTAGGTTGGCAGAGCCACCTGCCCACTATCACACTCGGGAATGAGCTGAGTAGAGTTTGAGTCACATGTGGCTACCTTGAGCATTGCCCGCTGTTCATACAAAGGCTTCCCTCAACATGAGTGTCCTCCTCCCTGAGAGTTGATTATATTTTGTGTCTCTCCCTTCACATTGCCATAAATGTGTCTCAAACGCTGGCAGAAGGTTTCCAGCACCTGCCGGGTTACAGAAATATCTGGCAGGTATAAGGCAGACCAGGATTCAAGGCAAGGGAGGGCCAACCCAAACTTTGTCTTTGGACCAAGAATTGGAACCAGGCTCTATCCTAGTGTAACGGGAGAGAAGCCAGAGACTTTCCAGGAAGAGGACCCGGGACATGGGGAAGAGAAAGGATTGGTAAACAGGTGGAGAAAGCAGAGATGCACCCGCCTCGGCAGGGCAGGTGTGTGAGGTGGGGAGGTCAGAACACCCTGATTCTGAAGCGCTTGTCACACTTCGCTCTTTGCCAGTTCCTGCTTCTGCCATCACCCAGGTCTGATGCCAGTCAACTTCTCCACAGGGACATTTTCCCTGCCCCTGCCCCACTCTGGGTACAACTCACAGTTGCTCGCCATCCACTGAGCACCTGGTGCCAGGATTTGTTTATGGCCGTGCCCATGTCCTCTGGGGAGCAAGGCTAATCTCTGATCGAATGCTGCACAACTGGGCACTTTGCCTAGGATTTGGGAAGTGCAGCACGGGCAAGCACAGGGCACACAGTGCAGTAGGTGGCAGCCCTGCGGACCAGAACTTTATGGAACAAGTGATCTAAGAGTGTGGAGATGCACAGGAGGGATCCTCGCATTCTCCAGTGGAAATGAAGAGCAAGACAGGGATGCTGACTTCCTTTCTGCAGCAGAGAGAGGCAGGCAGGGCAGGAAGCCCCTATGCCATGTCCCCTCCAAGGAAAGAAGCAATGGAGGCTGGTGGGGCAGTGCTCTGTGGCCAAAGAGCCCCGCAGTGAGAGCCTCCCCCATAACACAGGGTCCATGCACTACCCTGAGGGCAGAAAGGCAGGGCTGCACAGGAGACAGGCCCCTACAAAGGCAACCTGGGCATGAAGAAATTGATGCCATTCTCCACTTTCATCTCAGAACTGCTTCCTGGGGATGCTGAGGCTACAGCCACAGAAATTGGACAGCTCCCACCCAGATCTCAGCTGGGGAGATGGAGCTGCCCTCCAGGCCTGGGAATTCATAAAGCTGGGGCTGGAACCCAGGTCTCCTGCCTCTAAATACTACAACCCTCCTGCCCCGTGCAAAGGAGGCCAGAGTTCCACTTTCGATCTGTTGCGTTTTCACAAGAATAACATAGGAGCAGGTTGAAAGGTGGAACAAACCTCTGGTCTCTTCTCACCTTCCCTTGATTCTAAGAGGTCACCAATGCAGACCGGGCAGGAACAGTTGCTGAGACAAGGGCTAGGGGTAGGGGGCTGATGTCTAGAGGCAGAGGGTCCAGATCCAAGCCCCAGCTTGAGAGAGAGCAGGGGGAGCACATCCCACAGCTTCAGGTCTCTGTCTGTGAATAATTCATCTCTGTGTCTGGGCCCAGCTCAGAGCCATGGAGACACTCAATTAATGTTTGATGAATTGTCGCTGAAGATGAACAGTTCTGCAGTGGTGGGACTGCTGTGAAAAGAGCAGACACGCTCTTAGGGCGCGGGTGAGGGTTCCTTTTGCCCACAGCAAGGAAAAGGCGAGAGAAGCACCGCAGTACCAAAGGGAAGAGATCAGAGGTAGCAACAGGAAGGGAAGGAAGCTGGGAGGGGAGGACTTGAGGTCAGATTCTGAGTTTAAGTCTGAGCACTGCCACTTAAGCCAGGTTTGATACCTCAGAGCAGTGAGAGATGCCTACGGGGCTGATCCGAGTATGAAATGAAGTGATACATATGAATGTGTTTTGTAAGTTGCAAAAATCAAGCAACTTGCATTATTATAGGCAAGGTCAGGGTTTAGCTTCTGTGGAAGGACCACGTAACAGTTGCCCCATCCTTCTAGGGAGATGGATCTTGACTACCTGGATCTTTTGCTCTTCAAAAAAAAGAAAATGCCCTATTGAGGCCCCTGATTGTCCCGAGAATGGCTTCCCTGACTTCGAGGATTGTCCCAAGAATGGCTACCTTGACTTCCGACCTGTTTCCAGCCTTGTGTTAGGAATGACTGCACTGTGATGGGCTCAGAACATTGCCTGGGAATGTTGCAGGGAATCCAAACTGTCTTCTGATCAGTCCCTCCCCAGACTGTGCCTGGTCCATAAATTGTCACTCCCCATGCTCTGGGGGACAAACCATCACCCCAAGGGGCAAAGCCACTTGCTCAACAGCCTAGGCAAGGGTCTCTGGATTTCAGTAGCCTGTTCCTGCTTCTCTCTTTAGGTCCCCTTTCCACATGCCCCACCCACCCCACGCTGCTCAAGGCCTTTTTCCAACCTGGTCCTGGACAGTTTAAAAAAACAAAACAAAACAAAGAGAACCCAGCTGCTCACTCCATCATCACCATCATTCAAATCTGTATCCCCAGTTCGTGTATTTCATGCCCCAAAAGTCTTATTTTAGAAGACAGGAAGCTCTGGGGACAGGGATTGCTTTTACGTGTTGCTACACCAAATAAAGCTAGCATAGATTTAAATTTTTTCTTCAAATTCCTCTTTGCATACTTTCCATTCTAGCTGTTTCATAATACTTGTTCTTATTCCCGTTTGCCTGATAACACCCCATTGCATTCATCTAGTGGTTACAGTTGCTGGGTGCTTTGCCACAAATCAGTCTCATTGAAACAGGTACAGGTGTACCTTATAGATGAGGAGATGGGGCTCAGTCAAGTGACAACACTTAGTGGATGAGCCCAGTAATGACATCTTTCTTCAATTCTAGATCTGTTTGCAGCCCCGGTTGGCTCCCACCCTAGCTTATGAAAGTAACAAAGCAACCAACATCCAAGATACCAGATTTATAGTCCATGAAAGTTATACAGAAAGCGCTGGAGCAGGACCAGAAATGACGAGACTATTACATTTTTATGAGACAGAGAAAAGGTCAGGGAAGAGTAGGTCATTCTAGTCCTCTGTTAGGAGAGATGTGAGCACTGATTTTTGGAGGGAACTCAGTGTTAAGGTCAGGTAAGCACTGAGAACATCCAGAACAAGGAAGAAATAAATCAATCTGATATGGTAATTAAACCAGAAAGGTCAAGGCAATTGCCAGACTAAGCGTTCACATAAGAAAATATGTTTAACAATGTGGAATAATCAGACCAAATTCATCGTATTTGACTTTTCCTTCTGGAAACTTTTTGGTGAGGGCCTGGACAGGACAGGAACCTTCTACAATTTACCTATGAAATCAGAAACAGACCAGCCCAAGTCCAGCAACATATAGTGGAAAGATCCCAGCCAGGATCCAGAAGGTCCTTTACTTAGGAGTTACATTAACCCAACCTCCTCACTGGGCCGCGTAAAGGTCCAGGTGAGATAGCACTGAAGGTATGTGAAACATACCCACCTAAGTTCTAAATAGCATCACAAACCCACTGGGCTTAAGCAATGTCCACAAGCAAGTAAAACAGGATGGGACTGAAAGCTGTAGGGAATTTCAGTATCGCTGACCTTCCCAATCTTAGATAAGCCCTGGCCCTGCTGGCCCACACCACCTGTCCATTGTCCAGCTTGGGTTATGGTGGCCTGGTCTGGCCTTCCCCTAGGCCTGTCTCCATGAGATGCAAGAGGTGGGGAAGTTAAGGGTCGGGCCTACACAGCTTAGAGAGCAAAAGCCCACCAACAGTTGGGCATCCTAGACCTCCAGGTGGAATGATCTACGTCAAGTTCATCCCTCCTTTCTGCCTCTCTCCTATTCACTTTCCCCAATTTCTGTATCCCATCAGACCTTTTTTCTCTGCATCCAATTCACTACCACCACCAAAAGCCGCCCTTTCTTCCCTCCTTGCCTCTGTTCTTTTCCTTCTGGCCCATTCGAATCCATGGGATACCAGCTGCATCCTTAAATAAATGCCAGGATTTCAGACTGGGGTCCCCGGTGCGGGTAGCTGGTGCGGGGTAATCACTGAGCCACGCATTTGGTGGGGGTAAGGTGGGCAGCAATGGCTCCAGAGAGGCCCACAACCTTTAGGAGTGCAAGATGAGGGAAGGGTGTTCTTGGCAGGATTTAAAAAGAGAGAGCCATTGAGTTGAACGCCCGAGAGTAACCTCGAGTGCAGACGGACCTGTTGCCAAGCCAGTCTAGTGCTGCTAAATCCACCGGCTCAAGGCCTCACTCGACCTGGGCTTTGCAAACCCCAGGCCGTTCTCCTTCCACCAATCCCGGACGCCGGTCCCCAAGAAGGCCGGCTCGAGCTTGGGGTGAGTCTAGATAATCCCTGGAGCGTGGGAACCCGAGCTGCTGGGCGGTTTTTCCCAGGTGGCCATTGAGGAACTTCTTAGACAAGAGTCCCAGCAGGAGCGATCTCCGGCCGGGGACGAGCTTTCCTTCTCGCCACCCAGTCTGGATGGAGAGTGCGGGACAAGCGCGGAGTCCCACACCTGGCTGCCTGCGCTCCCGCTCCTTTCAGCGGCGCGCAGGGGCGGCCATCTTCCCCGCTGGGGGCGCCAAAGCCGTCTGGCCCGAGCGCCCCTCTTGGGGAGTCCCTGCCTCCAGACAAACCCCGAGGAAGGGGAGGACGCGTGGGTCCCGGCGCGCGCGGTAGATGCTTGCCCTGTTCTCCACCGCTGGGACTTTCACCGCAGCGCCGCCTCCCCGGGTCCCAGATCCGGTCTCCACCCCAGTCGGCCCAGAGGAGGAGGAGGATTGGGGAGGGGGTACGAGTGCAATAGATGCACTTTCCTTCCCTACAGGACGTCCCAAGCTCCATTCAGCGCCGGAGGTCTGTTTGGCCCACGGGGAGCCAGGGATCCTGACTCCGCCTGCAGCAGAGAAGGGTGGCTGGGGCGCCCCCAGACCCTTACCGTTGCATCTTCTCCAGCGTAGTGCCCGATGACCCGCTGGCCCCCCGGGTGCTGGATGGACCATTTGGTGATGTTGTAAACCTTGCGGTCAATGACCAGCCACCTGTCGGTGCGCAGGTTATGCTTCTGAATCTCCTCCCAGCTGAAGGTGGGCACCGACACCTCGCGCTCGGCGGCCCCCTCGCCCTGGTTCCCTCCCTTCCCCATGCTGCCTGCCGACTGTGACGCCCCGTGCACTGCGGCCTCCCCGCGCCGGCTGCTCGCTGCACAGACGGCTGCCTCCCAGCCGGTGTGTGCAGCCCGGGCCCTCTTCGCTTTCGGCTTTTGTCTTCTCCTACTCCTCCCACCGCGCCCCCTCCCCCAGCCTTCTCGCCTGCGCTCGGGAGTGTCCCTGCCTTCCTGGCGGAGGATCCCTGGCTTCCCAGTGCCCCCAAGCGGTCCCCTTCCTCCGCCCCTCCCTCAGCCCTCCCGCTATGGACTTTTGCCTCCAGTAAAAACTCCCCGGGAGCTCAGGGCCTCGACACCTCCTCTGCCCGCCCCTCCGGCTCCCCCCGCCTCGGGTTCCACATCCTCCCGCGTTCCCCGCCGCCCGAGTTTCCACAGCGATCAGCAGAGCGCCTGCACCAATCCGGTCGCGTCGCCCCGCCTGCCATTGGCCCAGGAGGATCTTTCGAAGGCCAGCGGGCTGGAGCGGCGGGTCCCCGGCTCCCCCGCCCTCCCGCGTGGAGTCGAGCCCTGCTGCGAGGCAGGCTACGTGTCCGACCTCCTCCCTCCCCCACTCTCCGGCCCCGGGCGCCGGAGGAGATCCTAGAGGAGATCCCGGTGGGGGCAACGAATGGGCTCCGCGCGCTCCGGGGCGCGTGCGCGCACGCCCGGCGCTCTGGGGGTTTGCACCTGATGCCGACACAAAGCCGGCGCGGCCACCAGGGTGCCAGCAAGCGGCCGGGCGGGTGGACCGGCGGGCTGCGGGGCACTCAACTCCAGGGCCGGCTTGGCTAGGTGACGCCCTTCCTTGGCGCGCGGCAGTCGAGACTCCAGTATCCCACATTGTCCGCGCCATCCACATTCTGGCGCCTTTCTGCAACCTCCCTAGAGACACAAGCCGGCCTTGGATTAGAGGGCTTTGAACCCTCTAGTCAGACAATCTTAGAAAAGAATTGCGGAACCTCTGCTCTGCTTTCTTGGTCTGGGCGCCATGGCTGCGGTGAGGGGGAAGGGAGGGGAAGGCAGAGGAAGGGGGCGATGAGGAACTGGCGCGGTCCTTGCCCTGGTCTCAGTAAGCTCAGTCTCTTTGGGAATCGTGGAAGCAGACACATCATTGGGCAGTGATGTTGTGCAGACTCCAGCAAATAAAGACTGCCGTATCGAAGGGATAGGAGGAGGGTTAGGTCTTTTAGGCGTGGGGCAAGAGACAGGCCCCTCAGACCCCAGCTGGATGGGGCGGCTTAGTGCCGGGCGTCCTGGGGGAAATGGGCCTGACTGCATCCGGAGGGCTAACGGGACACGTGGGAAGTAAGGATGAACAGAGAGGGTGGGGTGCACGAGGCTTGGGAATCACTAGAGGAGTTATAGGGCCCTCAGATTTCAATGGGATTTACAGGTGCCTGTGTGCTAGCACACCCTAATCATTAGATTCTCATCACAGGCTGAGAGGTAAACAGGACGCATATTATTACATCTCACTTGAAAATGGAGAGCCTGAGATTGAGAGAGATGGTCAAACGGGCCCTGCCCAATCTAAATTTCACAGCAATGCAGGGGTGGTGGGGGGATCACTCTGCCCAACTGGTGGGGTTGTACTTGGGGGGGCAGATGGGCTCCCTTTCCTCACATTCACACAGTCCCCAACCTCTCCCATCACATTTCATGCTGGTGTCAGCCCTGAGCATCCTTCATTCACTCCACAGACTGCAGACATAAAGACAGTAAGGCCTCTCTGTCTTTGAGTGTGAGCAGACATCCCAAACAAAAGCCTTCTGTACAAAATAAGAGGATGAAGCAAGACCTCCAGAGAGTATGGTGGCCTTGAGGACTGTCAAACGTTGACGGAAATGGAACCAAGAAAATTATTTTCTCAGAAATGGATTAACATACCATATAGATAACTTTAATGAACATTTGTAAAGGGTGTGGAGCTCGGAGCAGGGAGTGATAGCTGAAAGGCAGAACCAGGGAGTATCTCACAGAGGCTTTGAAGGTTCAGGCCCTAAAAGGGAGCACGTATGGGTGGCCTGTGTAGGGTGGCTGAGAAGCGTGGACCGGCCAGGGCCTGGGGTCCCCAGCGGCTCCCAGCACAGTACCAGCCAGGGTAGGTCCTGAAAAAACATAAAAACATGTGTTGAAGACACAAATGAATGAATGAAGTTCAAAGAATGGCTCCAATGAGGCCGGCGGTAGATGGGGCTCAAATTGAGAAAAGCCCCAGCAGCCTCAGTAAGGGGTAGGAAGGGAGGACTTTACCATGGAGGAGGCTTGGACATCCGTAAAGCAGGTGTACTGTGATCAGATCCATGGTGTAGAAAGATAACTCCAGAGGCTGGGGCTGGACTGGGATGTACGGGAGAAACTGGGGAACAGTGATGAGTTCAAAGATGAGGGCAGTGCTCGAGGAGAGGGGAGGGGAGGCCTGAATTAAGAGAGAACTTTAGGGGGCTGACCCCACACTGGACACTGCCATGTGCCTCCCTGCCCTCTAATTTTTTTTTGAGATGCAGTCTCACTCTGTTGCCCAGGCTAGAGTGCAGTGGTGCGATCTCTACTCACTGCAAGCTCCACCTCCCAGGTTCACGCCATTCTCCTGCCTCAGCCTCCCGAGTAGCTGGGACTACAGGCGCCTGCCACCACACCCGGCTAATTTTTTTGTATTTTTAGTAGAGACGGGGTTTCACCGTGTTAGCCAGGATGGTCTCGATCTCCTGACCTCGTGATCCACCTGCCTCGGCCTCCCAAAGGGCTTTTTCTTTCTTTTTTTTTTTTTTTTGAGACAGGGTCTCACTCTGTCGCCCAGGCTGGAGTGCAGTGGTGCGATCTCAGCTCACTGCAACCTCCACCTCATGGGTTCAAATGGTTCTACTGCCTCAGCCTCCTGAGTAGCTGGGATTACAAGCACCCGCCACCATGCCCGGCTAATTTTTATATTTTTAGTAGAGACAGGGTTTCACCATGTTGGCCAGGCTGGTCTCAAACTCCTGACCTCAGGTGATCTGCCCACCTCAGCCTCCCAGAGTGCTGGGATTACAGGCGTGAGCCACCCTGCCCAGCCTAGAATATCCTTTGGAGGTAGAATCAAGACCGCATTAGTTGGAGGTACAGGGGCAGGGGTGATGGTAGAGATGAAGGAATAAGAGAAATAAGTCTGATTCTAGCATTTGAGTTGAGCAAATGAATAGATAATGGGACCATTTACCAAGATGAGGGAACAGAGTTAGTACAGGGGTGAAAAATTAAAAATTCTATTTTAACGTTATGTTTGAAACACCTAGGCTGGGAGCAGTGGCTTATGCCTATAATCCCAGCACTTTAGGAGGCCGTGGTGGGTGGCACCATGCCCAGATAATTTTTGTATTTTTAGTAGAGATGGGGTTTCACCATGTTGGCCATGATGGTCTCGATCTTCTGACCTCGTGATCTGCCCACCTCAGCCTCCCAAAGTGCTGGGATTACAGGCGTGAGCCACTGCACCCGGCCAACACCTGATTCTCTCTTACTGCAGAAGGGTCTCCTCCATGTGACAAAAAAATATGGCTGTATTTGCTAAGCTACGCTAGCAGAAATAATTCTCCCCCATTCCCTGCTCCCAAGGATTAATTCCAGTTTAATGGGCTCTGCATCAGATGCTAACCATTGGGCCACTGTTATCAGACGGCTGAGTTACTCTATTAGGTGTAGGTCATAAGCCAAGCAGCAGACCTGGGCTTTGGGGAACAGGGTCTGTTCCTTTTTGTGGGAAGTCACAAACCAAAAGCAATTACAGACCGCTACAGTATTCCTTTCCCATACCTACCATGTGATGTTAGACCTCTGTCTCTGACCTTCAGTTTCCTCATGATAAAAAGGAGACAGTGATTTTTCTTTCTTTCTTTCTTTCTTTCTTTCCTTTCTTTCTTTCTCTCTCTCTCTCTCTCTCTCTCTCTCTCTCCCTCCCTCCCTCCCTCCCTCCCTCCCTCTCTCTCTCTCTCTCTCTCTCTCTCTCTCTCTCTCTCTTTTTTTTTCCCCCAAGATGGAGTCTCACTCTATCCCCCAGGCTGGAGTGCAGTGGTGCAATCTTGGCTCACTGCAACCTCTGCCTCCCGGGTTCAAGCGATTCTCCTGCCTCAGCCTCCCGAGTAGCTGGGATTACATGGCATGTGCCACCACACCCAGCTAATTTTGTATTTTTAGTAGAGACAGGGTTTCTCCATGTTGGTGAGGTTGGTCTCGAACTCCCGACCTCAGGTGATCTGCCCACCTCGGCCTCCCAAAGTGCTGGGATTACAGGCATAAGCCACCGCACCCAGCGGAGATAGTGATTTCTAACCTATCTCATCTATTTTAATAACGAGGCTCAAAGGACACAAGGTATGTGAAAGTGCCATACATGTATTTTCTTAACTAGCAATATTGGTGAGGTCAAACTTTAACCAAGCTCACTAGATAATGATTTATTAATATGTGGTGAAAGTCATAACTATTTTTAAAAAATGAATAATTTTCAACAACAAAAATGGCATCAACTTAGTAAGTGCATCAAATTTAGATGCCTTAAATGACAGGCTGGGGACCCTATCTAAGAAACTGGGTTAGGCCAGGCGTGGTGGCTCACACCTGTAATCCCAACACTTTGGGAGGCCAAGGTGGGAGGATCACTTGAGCCCAGGAGTTTGAGACCAGCCTGGGCAACACAGTGAGACCCTGTCTGTACAAAAATATAAAAAATTAGTTGGATGTGGTGGTGCATGCCTATAGTCCCAGCTACTCGGGAGGCTGAGGTGGGAGGAATGCTTGAACCGCAGAGGTGGAGACTTCAGTGATCCATGATCGTGCCACTGCACTCCAGCTGGAGTGCAAGACAGAGCAAGACCCTGTCTCAAAACTCAAATAAAATAAGCTGGGTTATTATCTCTAGGTGGACATTGATAAAAGGTATGGTATGTTAGGTAAAACTTTAAAGCACAGATTGCTAGTGCTGGAAAGCATCTGGACAATCTCTTCACTTTACAGATAAGGGATCCGAAACCCATAGAGGTGGACATAATGTCCAAGATTACACAGCAGTAGGTGGACTAGCAGGTCCAGGTTGCAGGTGTCTCAACTACAATCCTTATTCTTTCCATTCTACCACATTGCCTCCCTTCCTTGGTACATTCTACTGAAACTTGATGGATCCTTCTCCAACTCTGAAGTGCACAGAGAATAGAATTTGAGATCTTCACATCCCAGAGTCTAGTGCTTCGTTGCTGCATCTTTAGTGCTCATAGTATTGGTGGAGAGGTACTTGGTCAAGGAGCTGTAGGACACCATTCCTTTCCTGTTCTGGTGATAAGAAGTGCAGTAAAACTAAGGAATGCATACTAAGTGCTCGAGGAATACCTGTGAAATAATTCAGCAGTAAATTGGTAATTTGGCAACAAATGACAAGAGACTAAAAATGTTATTACCTGATCCACTAATTACACATGTAGAATTTATCCTAAGAAAATGTTCAGAAATAGAAACCAATATCTATATACAAAAATATCCATCGCAACATTTATACAAGCGAAACTTCTACACAAATGTCCAACAATAGGGAAAAAGTTAAGTATATTGGGAGTATATATATGTGTGTTTATAGATATATGATGACTTACTATAGTGAAGTAAATATTCTCATTATAAAATTTTAAGCTTAGCTTTTTTGTTTTATTTTAAAGAGAGATCATTTGTACTGGAAAGTTACATTAAAGGCCCAGCAAAATGCTTACAACAACGCCTAGAGGACTCCAGACCCATTCCCCGGGCAATCTGAAGATCTGGGACCTACCTACCCAGGCCTCCCTTCTCCCACTTAATAGAGGCAGGTCTGAGGGCCTGGGAGGAAGAAGGCACCGCAGAGAAGCAAGGACAACAGCCTTCTCCTCTTTGAACCAGGGTGGCCTTATACCAAAACATTTATTGAACTCACTGCTAAGGAACTCATGTAGAGAGGAACTAAAAGTTATAAATAAGTTCTGGGGTAAATTCTAGCCCCAAATATACTAAATTTCATGTGTGGCTTCAGCTCTTTGGATCTGTCACCTTGTCTATAAAACAGTGGGTTTAATATATCTGTCCCTAAGGCATCTATATTCTATACAATGATAAGAAGACTGGGCCGGGCGCGGTGGCTCACGCCTGTAATCCCAGCACTTTGGGAGTCTGAGGCGGGTGGATCACCAAGTCAGGAGATGGAGACCATCCTGGCTAACATGGTGAAACTTTGTCTCTACTGAAAATACAAAAAATTAGCCAGGCGTGGTGGCAGACGCCTGTAGTCCCAGCTACTCAGGAGGCTGAGGCAGGAGAATGGCGTGAGCCCTGGAGGCGGAGGTTGCAGTGAGCCAAGACAGCACCACTGCACTCCAGCCTGGGTGACAGAGCGAGACTCTGTCTCAAAAAAAAAAAAAAGACTGCATTAAGGAAATCCCGTGAATTCCTCCATGAGCCTGCCTCTGCCCCATCCCAATCTCCCACACTCTTAGAATGCAGCAAAATGAGAGTCCTGTTTCTAGCTCTCGCTCTGCCTCTAATAGAGGTATGATTGGGATTCTCCCTTTAGTTTAAGCACTATATGTCATAAATTATTTTTAATATTACTTAACATTAATCTGCAGAATTATTACAGATGACTTTTCTTAAAACAAAGACTGATTCTGTCAACTTTATTAGTGCCTACTGTGTTGTAGTCACTGCACCCCCATAAGTTATCCAATTTCACAGAAATCCAGATTTTTCAAAAATGGTTTTGGTCTTTAATGGCCTGAAGGGCTGCTACTGAGGGGAGGCTGCAGCAGAGGCTGAGCACAACCGGTATTGCTTCTCCTATATGTGTTGACTTTGTAAAGGATCCAGGCTATTGGCCAACTATTATGTTTAGGATCTTTTGTTAAAATGGATCAAAATTTGAACTCACAATTCAGGTTATTCCAACAGCCACTGGCAGTTAGGTTATTCAATTATGGCTTCATTACAATCGGCATTAAGGTCTTTTTTTTTCTTTTCTTTAGAGAGAAAATGGTGGGACAGTTAGGAAGGGGTCTCACTATGTTGTCTAGGCTGGTCTCCAACTCCTGAGCTCAAGTAATCCTCCCACCTCAGCCTCCCAAAGCACTGGGATTATAGGCACGAGTCACTGTGCCTGGCCTGGCATTAGGGTCTTAAGCTCATTTCGTTCTGTTCCTTGAGGATTAATTTGGCCAGAACAGTTAGTATTCACAAGTGGCAACCTAAAATTAAGTATGTGATTCATATCCAGGATGAGGCAAGTTCCCTTAGGATCAACAGGGCCTGCAAGGCAAAGGTTTCCTTTAGTTGACCTGGATATGGGTTTATTGCAGTCTGTGTGACCACCTGTGTAGGTGGGTAAGGAGATGAGAGGGCAACACGACATTTGCCTAGTGGCCTATAGGCTTACTCACCTGTATTTTTTCAGGTTGAAATCATCAGTTGATTCAGCAAATTTTTTATTTATTTATTTATTTAGAGACAGAGTCTGGCTCTGTCACCCAGGCTGGAGTGCAGTGGTGCAATCTCGGCTCACTGCAACCTTTGCCTCCTGGGTTCAAGCGATTCTCCTGCCTCACCCCCACAAAGTAGCTGGGATTACAGGCACCCCCCACCACACCCGGCTAATTTTTGTATTTTAGTAGAGACAGGGTTTCACCGTGTTGGCCAAGTGGGTCTGGAGCTCCTGACCTCAGGTGATCCGCCCTCCTCACCCTCCCAAAGTGCAGGGATTACAGGCATGAGCTGCCACGCCCGGCCAATTCAGCAAATTTATGTGGGATTCCACCTAGAACTCCAAACCAAGGTGCTCTGAATATGTATTGGTAGTATAAACAGAATCCACAGCCCTATCCTGGATTATAAGCTCGTTAGGGAGGTAGCAAAATACATGACACTGACCTAAGAACACATGAAAAGCAAAGAAACATGAATGCAAAGTCATGTCATATAAGCTGTTTAAATCCTGAGTAAGATGAATTTAATTTGCATCTATCCTACTGACCTATAATCCGTGACTCACTTGTCTCTCTCCTCCAGTAGACATGACTAGGCATGACCCATATAGTACTGAACTTTGTATTCCCAGCACCTTACCAAAGTAGGTGCTGGGAATACAAAGAGGAGACACCCCACAAATGTTAAATAAAACACTTAATGAATGGTTCTAGGTAGGTGGGGTTGATCAAGGAATTATCTTACAAGTGGTATGGGTTTTTTGGTTTTTTCTGAGGTGCAGTCTCACCATGTTGCCCAGGTGATTCTCCTGACTCAGCCTCCCAAGTAGCTGGGATTACAGGCACTAATTTTTGTATTTTAGTAGAGACAGAGTTTCACCATGTTGGCCAGGTGGGTCTCGAGCTCCTGGCCTCAGGTGGTCCACCTGCCTCTGCCTCCCAAAGTGCTGGGATTACAGGTGTGAGCCACCGCGCCCAACCTAGTCTTTTTATAGAACAGTTATCTCTGTAGCCAAACTTACATCATATTATTTAATTTTCCTTGATTCGGGGGAGGGGGGAGGGATAGCATTAGGAGATATACCTAATGCTAAATGACGAGTTAATGGGTGCAGCACACCAACATGGCACATGTATACATATGTAACAAACCTCCATGTTGTGCATATGTACCTTAAAACTTAAAGTATAATAAAATAAAAGATTTACATAAAACATTTTTCCTTGATTCTGTATTAAAGGAAAGATGACATTATTTTCAATGTCTGCAAAATATTTCACTGATGGGCATTTAGAGTGTTTCCATTTCCCGCTATCATAGATACTGCTTTAATGAATATTTTTTGTTTATAAATAGTTTTCTTTTTTTGTGTGTGGATATAGAATCTTGCTTTGTTGCCCAGGCTGGAGTGCAGTGGCACAATCTCGGCTCACTGCAACCTCTGCCTCCCGGATTCAAGCAATTCTCCTGCCTCAGCCTCCCGAGTAGCTGGGACTACAGGCGCACGCCGCCACGCCCAGCCGATTTCTTTTGTTCAGGCTGGTCTTGAACTCCTGAGCTCAGGCAATCCGCCTGCCTCGACCTCCCAAAGTGCTAGGATTATAGGCGTGAGGCACCCCGCCTGACCTATAAATATTTTTCTAAGAACATTTCCTTAGGCTATATTCCTAAACATGGAATTATTGGGAACATTTTTATTTTTCTATTTTTTTTCATCTCTTCAGTATTCAAAACATTCCTAAATTCTGGCCGGGTGCGGTGGCTCACGCCTGTAATCCCAGCACTTTGGGAGGCCGAGGCGGGCAGATCACGAGGTCAGGAGATCAAAGCCATCCTGGCTAACATGGTGAAACCCCAACTCTACTAAAAATACAAAAACAAAATTAGCTGGGCGTGGTGGCGGGCACCTGTAGTCCCAGCTACTTGGGAGGCTAAGGCAGGAGAATGCCATGAACCTGGGAGGTGGAGCTTGCAGCAAGCTGAGATCAGGCCACTGCACTCCAGCCTGGGCGACAGAGCGAGACTCCATCTCAAAAAAAAAAAAAATCTTAAATTTCTATATAAGTTGTCAAACTATTTTTTCCAGTTTAATCAACTTACACTTCTACCAGCAGTATGAGAGCTTTTATCCCACTGCACAGTCACATAGGAAAAATGGTTTATGTAAAGGACCTCTCTTCTGTTATTTAATACCCATGAATTTCTTATATAGTTGTAATCAGCGAACCCATACTACTTTGGGTTCTGCTTATTTCACGGGGAAGGATTCTATATCTATCAATATAGTTCACATTCTAGCCATTTAAAATCATTCTTTAATTCTTCATTGTGTTAACAGATCCCAATAAGCTTGGCGATTTTCTTATTGTCAGGACTCGGGTTTATTTCCAGTTTTTGCTATTAAATTGGCTATTTCTGCATCTTTGCACAGTCTCCCCTACTTTACCAAGAGTGAAACTGCTTGATCAAAGAATAGAAAATGTTTTGTAGCTCGCATTAGACACTGCCAAGTTGTTGGGCAAGGTTTTTAAAAAAGGAATATTGGCTGTACAGAGGTGCAGCTGTGTGGACCATCATTCCTGAGCAGGGTCCAATAGCCTGGCATCTTACCTGGAAGTCAGGACATCTAAACTTCCCTATGGGAACTTGGTAAGCCCCTTCCCCATTTCGAACCTCAATTTTCTTATCTATAAAATGAAGAATTTGGATGGAATGAATTAATCCTTTTCTACCAGAAATCTAGCCATATTTCACCTAGTCTATTCTGTATCACCCTCTCCTGACTCCTACGTGCTCAGAATCTAGCTCAGTGCTTGGGACAGTTATGTTTCCTTTCCCTTTGAAGTGCCCAAATACCAGTGTAATGAGAAATATGGCAGAGCCTGAGAGTTCAGAGCACAGGCCAGGGTCAAATCTCAGCCCTCCACTTACAAGCTGTGTGACAAAATAACCTCCCCCGGGCTCAGTTTCTTCACTGTAAATTAGGTTAATTGTTCCAACCTCATAGGGTTGTTAGGAGAATTAAATGAGTTAAGGTTTGCAAAACGCTAAGAACAGTGCCTGGCACACAGTAAGTGCTTTATAAAGTGTTTGTTGAATAAATAAAATTTTGGACCTAAACTCTGGGTCTCTTCAGGACTGCAACAGCTTTGTAACTGGCAACCCCACTTTTAGGTGCGTTCCCACTCCTCTAAAACCCAGAGATCTAAATGCCAAATCTCTCTGCTTAAAAAGTCTCCCAGGGCTCCTAGGCGCCTCCAGGCTAGAACAGAAATGCCTCAGCTTGAAGACCCAGGCTTTTCAGGTGAAACACCTAAGGGTCAGGAGACGCTAGGATCATCACTCAAGGATCCCAGTGAATTTTTCCAAAATACAATAAAAATAAAAACAAAAAGAGGCAAACAGGGTTATAAAAATTGTGGGGCATTTTAAATGTTTCATTGAACAAATTAAAGCATTAACAGCCCTCCCCCAACCACCACCAAGCCCAAGAGACCGTAAATATGCTGTTCACAAGATAACTGCAACTTTCAAGGGCTCTCAGGCTGCTACTTCGGGCAGCACAATTGGCGGCACGACGTGGCAAGCAGGCAGTAGTTTCCAACCCTGGAGGGTCAGCGTCTGGAGACCCCGGCCAAGGCATCCACAGCCTAAAGATGATGTCCGCGACCGCCCGGGCAGCCTCGTGCACGGAAAAACCTCAACCCCGGCCCCGCCCACCCTTCCTGCGGCCACCCCGCAGCCCTGGCCCCTCAGTCCATTCACTCCTGCAGCGCGGCCCCGCACCCAGGGCCTGCACTAGAACCGCTGTTCCTACCGCGGCGCCCCCTGGGAGCCAACGCCGCGATGCCCGCCTGACGTCAGGAAGTCGAATCCGGCGGCGACGCCTTTAGGGAGCCCGCGAGGGGGCGCGTGTTGGCAGCCCAGCTGTGAGTTGCCCAAGACCCACCGGGGGACGGGATCTCGCTCCCCGCGCCACGAGGCTCGGCCAATGGGAACGCGCGCTGCGAGGCCCGCCGGTCTGCCCTGCGGTGCTGAAAACCCGGCGCGCAGGCGGCTGGCTCTGGGCGCGCGCCAGCAAATCCACTCCTGGAGCCCGCGGACCCCGAGCACGCGCCTGACAGCCCCTGCTGGCCCGGCGCGCGGCGTCGCCAGGCCAGCTATGGCCCCCGACCCGGTGGCCGCCGAGACCGCGGCTCAGGGACCTACCCCGCGCTACTTCACCTGGGACGAGGTGGCCCAGCGCTCAGGGTGCGAGGAGCGGTGGCTAGTGATCGACCGTAAGGTGTACAACATCAGCGAGTTCACCCGCCGGCATCCAGGGGGCTCCCGGGTCATCAGCCACTACGCCGGGCAGGATGCCACGGTGAGCGCAGCCAGGCGGGGGCACAGGAGAGGGCGGGACCGGAGGCTGAGTGCAGGGGAGACAGAGTTACGCACTCCGAGCCAAACACCGACTAATTCGGAGGAAAGCCCGGAGGCGCCTGATCATACCTGTTGCCCGGTGATTGGGTGTCCTGCGGATGCGGGATGAAAAGGCGGGAGAGAGGCCTGGAGAAGTGGAGTCTGGGGAGTGGGGATGGAGGCCAACAACACGCACACACAAACAAAGGGTCCCGCCTCCCTGCCGTGCATTCCATCTGCAGCCCCGAGCCTCAGGTCTCTGGGCGGGGACAGAACCCCGAGCTGGGTAGGCTAGGAGGGAGGAGAGCAAGGATGCAGGCCGCCTGGGGAGGGAGGGGGTCAGTGGCCAGGGGAGGGAGTCACATCCTGTCTCGATGGCTAGGAGAGGCAGCGCAGCCGCGTCTGGACCTAGGTGCCGGTCTCCACTCGCCAGCAGGAGCGGAGAGGGAGCAGGAAAGGAGCCCATTCTCGAGGATGGGGCTGAAACGGGAAGCTTGGGGAGACCGCTGCCTTGGGGACCCCTGCGTCGTGTGAAGACTGGAGGACGCGGAAGGGACAGCGCTGGCCGGGGAGGGCAAGCGGCCGCTGGCGTACATAAGGGATTGGGAATGGCATACACTTAGCGAGGACCCCCAGAGCTGTTCTCGAATCGCCGGGGAGGCCACTGAGCCGCAGGCCAGCGAGGTCTTCAGCTATTCCGCGGAGCGGACCGCTGTTTACGCTCTGGGGCGGTAGGCCCTTCGCGGGGTCCTGTCCCTTCTTCCCTTGGTCTCACTGCGGGGTCGGCGCGCGCCCCAGCCCCAGGCCTGCTGCTTCCCTTTCTAGACCACAGCCCTCAGAGCTAAGGCCCCGGCGCCTCTCTGCTGGGTTGGAGTCCTGGGGACTCAGTCCTAGGGACTCGAAAGTCGGGGCGTTCCCTTCACCGCGTTTCCCCCTTGGCGGCCAGAATGGCGTCCCCTCCCCTTGCATCCCCCTCTGATCCCGTGCCCTGCAGCGTGATGCCCTCCACTGTCCCTATCCACTACCCTGGCGTCCCAGAGTGTGCCGCGGGTCACCAGGTTCCCATAACGTCGCAGCAGAGCTTAGACGCTGCGGGGCGAAGACCCGCCCCACCCTCTGACGCGACCAGCCTAGTGGGCGAGGCCAGAGCTTGCGCGGGTCAACCAGAGTGACCACTCGGGAGCCCTGACTGCGGCCAAGGGCGCAGGCGTGTCCCGGCGCATGCGCAGACGAAACAGGCACCAACGCTGGAGCTTCCCGCAGTGTGATTTGGGGCCGGGAATGCCGCGGCGGGGACGGCGATTGGTCCGTATGTGTGGTGCCACCGGCCGCCGGCTCCGCCCCGGCCCCCGCCCCACACGCCGCATCACTTACAGGGCCCGGGGCTGCCGGACCTGCCAACGTGAATCTTATCGCCATGGACCTTACCTTGCACAACCCAAAGTAGCTGCCTTGGGGCAGGGGGTGGCCAGAGTGCTTAGGGAAATGTGGAGCCCTACCCAGAACAACGGTGGAGGGAAAGGGAAGAAACGCAGAAGTGCCCCAGTTCGGACGTAGGGAAGTCTTCCTCTTCGTGGTTTTTGGAGAACCCTAGCTAAGAGAGGAAAGGGACTTATTGAAAGACCCGCAAGAAGGGACGGAAGTCTCATAGCCCTGAGAGGTGAAGCCAGCTGGAGTTGATGGGTCGAATGGGGACCTAGAGAACTTTTCTGTATCTAGAGGTTTGTAAAATGCACCAATCAGTGCTCTGTAAAAACGCACCAATTGGCGCTCTGTAGCTAGCTAGAGGTTTGTAAAATGAGCCAATCAGCAGGACGTGGGCAGGGACAACTAAGACAATAAAAGCTGGCCACCCCAGCCAGCTGCTGCAACCCGCTCCAGTTCCCTTACAGGCTGTGGAAGCATTGTTCTTTTGCTCGTCACACTAAACCTTGCTGCTGCTCATTCTTTGGGTCTGCAAAGAGTGTTATTCCTTTAAGAGCTATAACAGCGGGAAGGTCCACGGCTCCATTCTTGAAGTCAGTGAGACCATACCCGCCGGAAGGAACCAACGCCCGACACAGCCCCACCCATCTCTCCTGTTTCTCACCTATACTGAAATTCTTGGGCAAAAGCTGTCTGTGGACACACCCAGGGGAAAGGCCAGCCCAGGCAGGTGTTTCTTAGTGGTTCCCCTCAGCCAATGCTTCCCATTCCTTGATGCATCCTTCTAACTAGAGCAGATACTCGGTGATCTTAAACTGTGGACACCTGGGAGCACCCTCAAAAGGCAGCTGGGCCTAGGGAGATGGCCTGTGCTTCTGTGTCAGGAGTTGGTTCCTTCAGGTGGGCTCGTGGTCTCGCTGACGTCAAGAATGAAGCCATGAACCTTCGCGGTGAGTGTTACAGCTCTTACAGGTGGCGTGGACCCAAAGAGTGAGCAGCAGCAAGATTTATTGTGAAGAGCAAAGAACAAAGCTTCCACAGCGTGGAAGGGTACCCGAGCAGGTTGCCGCTGCTGGACGTTGGGGGGTGTGAGGGGGAGCAGCCTTTTTTTTTTTTTTTTTTTTTGAGACGGAGTCTCCCTGTCGCCCAGGCTGGAGTGCAGTGGCGCGATCTCGGCTCACTGCAGGCTCCGCCCTCCCCCGGGGTTCACGCCATTCTCCTGCCTCAGCCTCCCGAGTAGCTGGGACTACAGGCGCCCGCTACCTCGCCCGGCTAATTTTTTGTATTTTTAGTAGAGACGGGGTTTCACTGTGTTAGCCAGGATGGTCTCGATCTCCTGACCTCGTGATCCACCCGCCTTGGCCTCCCAAAGTGCTGGGATTACAGGCGTGAGCCACCGCGCCCGGCCGGGAGCAGCTTTTATTCCCTTATTTGTCCCTGCCCATGTCCTGCTGATTTGTCCATTTTATAGAGCACTGATTGGTCCATTTTACAGGGTGCTGATTGGTCCATTTTACCTCTAGCTAGCTAAAGAGCACGGATTGGTGCATTTTACAAACCTCTAGCTACAGAAAAGTTCTCCAAGTCTGCACTCGACCCAGGAAGTCCATCTGGCTTCACCTCTCACTTCAACTTGGGTACAGCCTTCTGGCGGGCAGGAGGATGGCCTTTGGTGCGAACACTGCCGGAGTCCAGGGGGCTGGCTCCCTCACCTTTCATCTTCTCCCGGCACTTGCAGGATCCCTTTGTGGCCTTCCACATCAACAAGGGCCTTGTGAAGAAGTATATGAACTCTCTCCTGATTGGAGAACTGTCTCCAGAGCAGCCCAGCTTTGAGCCCACCAAGAATGTAAGACCCTGTGTTTGCTATGTCGCAACTATTGGTTGTTGAGGGGGACAGAGAGGGGGTGG
Source organism: Homo sapiens (assembly GCF_000001405.40). NCBI lineage: Eukaryota > Metazoa > Chordata > Mammalia > Primates > Hominidae > Homo > Homo sapiens. Next base: position 61,813,180 of record NC_000011.10, on the reverse strand, counting down.
AAGGAGAGTCTAGATGGGATCACAGTCATAGTAATCACAGTCAGTAGTAGCTCTGGGGAGTCTTGAGGTCCCTGCTTCTCTTGCATAGTCATGAGGTCACAGGCCCAAGGGAGCATGGCTTTGCAACCTATGGCTCCCCCAAGGCTGCCACTACCATGGCTGCCATCATTGTTATCATCATTGTTATCATATGAGCACTTACTATGCACCAAGCATAAACTCATAACTCTTACACATTTACAGATGAGATAACAGGCTCAGGGAGGTTAAGCAACACAGCCAAGGATCACACAGTTAGTAAATGGCAGAGCAAGGACTTAGTCCCCTGAACTCTTAGGCACTATCCCATGGCACCTCCTCCTGTCATCCTCATTGTCGTGGTATCTTTGCCTAGGACTGTGGACTTCCCACAGCTACCTCAGTGGGAGGTCCTTGAGCCTGAGAGGGCCCTTGTCTCCAGTAGCATTGGGGTGCAGATGAGAAGAATAACAGCTCCTCTTCCTCTTCTGCAGAAAGAGCTGACAGATGAGTTCCGGGAGCTGCGGGCCACAGTGGAGCGGATGGGGCTCATGAAGGCCAACCATGTCTTCTTCCTGCTGTACCTGCTGCACATCTTGCTGCTGGATGGTGCAGCCTGGCTCACCCTTTGGGTCTTTGGGACGTCCTTTTTGCCCTTCCTCCTCTGTGCGGTGCTGCTCAGTGCAGTTCAGGTGAGAGCCTTTGGCTTGTCAAGTGCACAGCAATGCTCAGCATCCCTGGGGAAAGCTCCTTGGGTGTTTGAGGAAGGCCAAGAGTGCCTGCCCTCCAAGCAGGGCAGATCTGAAGGTATGCAGGAGTGAGTGCAGGAACATGCATTCTGCTGTCTTGACCTGTCTGCTCTTTAGCCACATGGACATCTTCATTTCTCTCACTGCCTTTTTAGCTGCTTCTCCAAGGGTTCTCTTCTTCCTATGCGGTTTGTTCTCTGCCACAGCCCACCTGTGCCAGGAGCCAAGTTTCTGGTTTCTTAGCAAAGCTTGGCTCCCTCCCCACCACTGACATTGCCCAATATGTTAATAATGATTGAGCGCTAATTCTTGACTGTCAGGACCCATTTGGCAAGCCTTCTGCTCATGTTTCAGTCCTTTCTGTATTCTAGATGTCAGTCCATCATAAGTCATGAGCTTCAGGCCAGGTGTGGTGACTCATGTCTGTAATCCTAGCACTTTGGGAGGCCAAGGTGGCCGGATCACTTGATCTCAGTTCAAGACCAGCCTGGCCAACGTGGTGAAACCTCTACTAAAAATACAAAAAGGCCAGGCACAGTGGCTCACGCCTGTAATACCAGTACCTTGGGAGGCCAAGATGGGCAGATCATTTGAGGTGAGGAGTTCAAGACCACCTGGCCAACATGGTGAAACCCCGTCTCTATTAAAATACAACAGTTAGCTGGGAGTGGTGGTGGGTGCCTGTAATCCCAGCTACATGGGAGGCTGAGGCAGGAGAATTGCTTGAACCTGGGAAGCGAAGGTTGCAGTGAGCCGAGTTGGCACCATTGCACTCCAGCCTGGGCAACAGAGCGACACTCTCAAAACAGGCCAGGTATGGTGGCTCACGCCTGTTATCCCAGCAGTTTGGGAGGCCAAGGTGGGCAGATCACCTGAGGTCAGGAGTTCGAGACCAGCCTGGCTAACATGGTGAAACCTCGACTCTTACTAAAAATACAAAAAAATCAGCCAGGCTTGGTGGCGGGCACCTGTAATCCCAGCTACTTGGGAGGCTGAGGCAGGAGAATTACTTGAACCCAGGAGGCGGAGGTTGCAGTGATCTGAAACCGCACCATTGCACTCCAGCCTGGGCAACAAGAACAAAACTGTCTCAAAAAAAAAAAGTCATGAGCTTCGGAGCTGGCGAAACAGAAGAACAGAGAAGGGATGGTGATTTGCCCCAACTCACGTGTGAGTCAGTGGCAGAGGCAGAACTAGGACCCATGTTTCCTGACTCCTGAGGTGCATCACAGGCCTTGGCAGATGAAGGAAGTGGGAGAGGCTGAAGGAGGCATCGAGGTCAGTGAAGGCGACACTGGGGCTGGTGGGCTGCTCTCAGTGTTGACTCTTCTCACCTAGGCCCAGGCTGGCTGGCTGCAGCATGACTTTGGGCACCTGTCGGTCTTCAGCACCTCAAAGTGGAACCATCTGCTACATCATTTTGTGATTGGCCACCTGAAGGTCAGTGGGATGGGGAGGAGCTCTCTAAAACTCCAGGCAATGAAGGGCTGCCTTGGGGGAAGCTTTTCATACTCGTGTCCCTGCTTTTCTGTAGGGGGCCCCCGCCAGTTGGTGGAACCACATGCACTTCCAGCACCATGCCAAGCCCAACTGCTTCCGCAAAGACCCAGACATCAACATGCATCCCTTCTTCTTTGCCTTGGGGAAGATCCTCTCTGTGGAGGTGCGTGGAGGTATCAGTGGAAAGGTCTTGGGGAATAGGAGGCAGCCAACATAGGGGAGTTGGGGAAGATGCCCACGATGTTGTCAGTGTGGGCAAGACACTGGGGCTGGGCTGGCTGGGGCTTTTGCCATTTTGGAAGTTCTGGAAGGCAACAGGCAATAGATGGGGGCTGCCCAGGAGGGAGTCACCATCCTCCCTAGAGAGTTCAGTCAGCAAACCGTTACTGCATAAAAGGCACCTCATTTTGCAAAGGATCCAGCGGATGACCAGAAGGATCCAAATGATGAGATAGCCTATCCTTGAAGGTGCTGATGGCACCTCCTGGAGGTGCTTTTTTGACACTCTTGCCCCAGGCAAGTATTCCCCTTGCACTTTGTATTTCTCTCCCACACTTAGGTATCCTTCTTGTCACAGTCTTCTCTGTCCAGGGCTGGACTGTCTTACTCTTCTTTCATGTCCAATATCTGGAACATTCATTCACTGAGTACTTCTTCCCACCCTGCTGATCCCCAGCCTGATTTCCTGGGTGGTCAGCGTTGGGTTTGAGATGTCGTCTGAAGTTGTAAGCAGAAATAATGTAGCTGCTGAAGGAATAATGCCTGGGGGTGGAGATCTGGTGAGCTTTTAGTGAGCATTAGGCAATGGAAGGTTCTAAAAGGCCAGCAGAATTCTTTGAAAAGTTCATTTAAAGCCCTTTGTCCCAAGGCTGTAGGCTGCAGAGTTCTTCCAGGTCCACCTCCTCCACTTTGTGACATTTCAGCTTGCGAGGAATTAAATTGTCGTTAAAACACATTTCAGTTCTAGGCATGAGTTCAAGGTAGCCTGGCGTTCCTCTCGCCCCTGGCCATGAGAACTTTGAAAGGGCTTTGGCAGCACTGGTTGGCCTGGCATGAGGAGCTCATAGCTTGAGGCTCATGCCCCACCTGTCCATAATGTTCTTATTTTCCCATCATGAGCATGGACTTGGGTTTGTTACATGTCCGATACCATTATGGTCAGTACTATGCAGATGACGAAGCAGCCCTGTCCCCCGTCTGACTCCCATGGCTGCTTCAAGGGCAGTGTGGTTATTTGCTGGGCAGTGGCATGGGGCTTGTGCATTTCTACTGTCACTACAGAGGGTTTAAAAAAAAGACATGGGCAGGTTAAGTGGAAGGGAACAGTCTCACACCACTACCTTTATTGCTTCTTGGTACTTGGGTTTTCAGGAAATTCCTATCAGCAGACATCAAAAACAGAGAATGAAGGGACGCAGTTGGCATGTGCCTGTGGTCCCAGCTACTTGGGAGGCTGAGGTGGGAGCATCGCTTGAGCCCAGGAGGTGAAGGCTGCAGTGAGTATGATCACGCCACTGCACTCCAGCCTGGGTAACAGCGCAACCCTGTGTGTAAAAATAATAATTTTTTAAAAAGATTAAAACCAAAAAAAAATTGTAAACAGAGTTCAACGTAACTTACAGATTAAAAACAGTAAAATATGACAGAAACTGAGAGGTAGTCATGATCAGATATGGCCTCCTTCGGGTGCCGACATCTGAACTGAGACCTGAATGATGAAAAGGGCCAACACTGCAAAAATTCAGGGAAGGAACATTTGGAACAGAGAGAACAGTCAAGTACAGAGGCTCCCGGATGTTCAGGGACAGTAAGCAATGAGAGAATGAGAAGACCAGAAAACTAGGGAGGGGCCAGATCATGTAGGGCCTTAGAAAGCCATGGTAAGGGTGTGGTAAGAAGTTTGGGTTTTATTCCAATAGCAATGGGGAGTCACAGGAGGGTTTCTGGTGGGTACAGCAATCTGCTTTGCACTTTAAAAGGCTTGCTCTGGCTGGAGGTGGAGAGGATGAATTATAGAGGGTAGGTATAATCACAGATATAACCTCAGTGAGGCGGCTGGAGCGAGTCCAGACCAGACCACGGAGGAGCAGGTGAAGCCAATGGATTTGGGATATGTTTTGGAGGCAGTGTAAGCAACGCTTGCTGAGGACCTGGATGTGGTGGTGAGAATCACCCCATCTCGAGCAACATTAACTGAGGAAAAAATTGAAAAAGGGGCGCCCTTGCTTGGGGGCTTCCTATTGTGGAACTGTTATGGAAAGGAGCCCCATCCATTGCTTCCTCCTTGAATGGCAAATGCCTTTATGATCCCTATAACTTGTCCCATTATGTTTAGACCCTTGGTGGTCAGAAGGGTTCTATTTAGGGCAGTGTCCCCTGCCCCTCCTTGTCCTCCAAAAATTTTGGGAGGCACTGACGTGGATGTCATGGGGTCAGCACAGGCATCAACATCCCCAGAGGGATGGAACCAAGCAGCCTATTGCCCAGGCATTCACTAACAGGCAGCCCATCCTCAGCCTCATAGCTGGCCGGGGAGAAGAAAGGCTATTTTGGGTCCCAGATCTTTTTTTTTTTTTTTGAGACAGAGTCTCGCTCTGTCACCCAGGCTGAAGTGCAATGGTGCGGTCTCAGCTCACTACAACCTCCGCCTCCCGAGTTCAAGAGATTCTCCTGCCTCAGCCTCCTGAGTAGCTGGGACTACAGGTGCGTACCACCAAGCCTGGCTAATTTTTGTGCTTTTAGTAGGGACGTGGTTTCACCATGTTGCCCAGGTTGGTCTCAAACTCCTGGGCTCATGCAGTCCGCCTACCTCAGCCTCCCAAAGTGCTGGGATTACAGGCATGAGCCACTGCACCCGGTCTCTGTTTACAAATTTATCACCAGCTTCATCCCCTAAGGTTATAAGCTCCATGAGGGTGGGAAGTCTGTATTGTTCACCTCTGTATCCTAAGCATCTAGAACATAGCCCGGCACACAGTAGGTGCTGAAGAACTTGAATCTGTTAATGTAGAAAGGATGTTTCATCTAGCTGAAGTGTCTTGTACAGAATAAACTCTCAATAAATGAACTGTGGACACATGGAAGGGTGAGCTAGAGCTCTGCTCAGGGGTTGAGTGCTCCTCTTGTGCCCTTGTGGTTGTCTGGTTACCTGAACTAATTGGAGTGCGATGCAGACATAGTCATGGAGTGAGACAGCAGAACTTTGCTGTCTTGTTTGTGAGCCCACATCAGGGGTTCTAGACTGGCTGGTTGACATGGTGGCCCCAGCCTGTCTCTTCAGCAGCTCGGCTTATAAAAAATAACCACCACCTACTGGGGAAAACTGCTGGAACCTTCAGATTGCCAAATTGTTCTTGGTGTCTTTTCCAGAAATATTTGCCAAACTCGAATTAGCCTTCAGGAGATTTGATAAAGCTCATGTTTAAGTCAAGAGACCAAAAGATTTTGATGGGGAGAATTAGGGGCTGGATATAGAGGGAATACTTAACCTGTATAGGGGCAGATATGGTTGTCCATGGAGATTCTGGTGTGAAAAAGTACGATGGCGGCCGGGCGCACTGCCTCACACCTGTAATCCCAGCACTCTGGGAGGCTGAGGTGGGTGGATCACCTGAGGTTGGGAGTTCAAGACCAGCCTGAACAACATGGAGAAACCCCATCTCTACTAAAAATACAAAATTAGCTGGGCGTGGAGGCACATGCCTGTAATCCTAGCTACTTGGGAGGCTGAGGCAGGAGAATCGCTTGAACCCAGGGAGGCAGAAGTTGTGGTAAGCCAAGATCGTGCCATTGCACTCCAGCCTGGGCAACAAGAGCGAGACTCCGTCTAAAAAATAAACAAAAAAGTACGATGGGAGAAAGGGGAGAGGGCAGTGGGGCCTGGAAACCTCATGACAAAGAGAATGAACACAAGAGGGCCTGTGGTCCTGTAGACTCTGTGCTGTGCACATCCCTCATGTGAGCATGGGCCATCCAGCTGCAGGCCATGGTGTGACACACTCTGCAGATTACAGTCTAGGGCTTCATGTTCCATGTGCTGGAGGTAAGGCTGGGCCTCTTGGAGCTTTCCAATAGCACCAACAAGCTGTCAGCCCTGGAGGAGGCCTAAACCTCCAAGCAAGGAAAGGTCAAGTCACAGAGGGAGGAATCACTGGTCTCCGAATGCTCATGTGTTTGCTTTTCTTCACAGCTTGGGAAACAGAAGAAAAAATATATGCCGTACAACCACCAGCACAAATACTTCTTCCTAAGTGAGTGTCCCCATCCAACACAGGGGAGCTGCCTCAGGAGGGAATGCTGAGGGAATGAGGAGGATGTGGCTGTCCAAGGGATTATGGTATTTTAAGGAAAGGGGCTAGAGGAAGTACCCCACTCCCACCCCCAGTTACTCCCTGCATGACAGCAGTTTGCCATCTCAGCTGAGCGAAGTGAAGTTAGGCTGATGATTGGTTGAAGGCAAACTAGTTCTTCCCATCCAACCCCAGTTTCCACTGGGAAGCTGGGTGTTTGGGGTGTAGAGGGGCCTCTTGCTTTATCCTCAACCTTATCTTTTTTTTTTTTTTTTTGAGACGGAGTCTTGCTCTGTCGCCCAGGCCGGACTGCGGACTGCAGTGGCGCAATCTCGGCTCACTGCAAGCTCTCCGCTTCCCGGGTTCACGCCATTCTCCTGCCTCAGCCTCCCGAGTAGCTGGGATTACAGGCACCCGCCACCGCGCCCGGCTAATTTTTTGTATTTTTAGTAGAGACGGGGTTTCACCTTGTTAGCCAGGATGGTCTCGATCTCCTGACCTCATGATCCACCCGCCTCGGCCTCCCAAAGTGCTGGGATTACAGGCGTGAGCCACCGCGCCCGGCCCCTCAACCTTATCTTAAACTTTGTCAAGATGGGCCAAGGTAACCTGGTAGAGCCCAGTCCAACCCCCAGAGGAACAAAGGTACAGATAGTTCTGGAAGGATGGGTCCTGAGGAGAGAATGGAAGAGCTGTTAGAACGAAGAAGATCTTTCTGATGACTGCCACATATTCCCAGCTTTAAAAGTCTGTCCCAGCTACTAAGGAAACTGAGGTGGGACCATCCTTTGAGCCCAGGAATTTGGGGCTGCAGTAAGCTCCGATTGTGCCACTGCACTCCAGCCTGGGCAACAGAGTGAGATCTTGTTTCTTAAAACAACAACAACTCTGCTCCATAATGCCTAAAATGAGCTTTAAACGCCTTTAAATTTTCAAATTTTTTAAAGAAGGAAGGGAAGGAGTCCACTGATCTTATTTTAGTTTGAAGGAATTCATCCTAACTGCCTATCACCAACTATCACGAATAGAGAAAGGCGATGGGGCAGAAGGGTAGAGCAGAGACCTCTGGAAGAAATAGTTTTAGAATCCATGGCACATCAAGATGGAGGAGCCATGGGTGAGCATTGTCATGCTAGGAGTTATGGGTAGCATCAGGTGCCACAGAGAAGGGCTACAGAAAAGGAAATGAGGAAGCATGTAGAATGCAACACTTCTTCAACTCCCAGTTTTCTTTCAAGAGAGGCCCCTCTGTTCCGTCCCACAGCTGACCTCCAGGGCTTCAGATTGGGGTGGCACAAGCCCATCTCCCTAGTTTAAGGAAGTGAGCTTCACAGCCTGTGAAGGATCCACAGGGTCCCTCCCAACACACACACACTTTCCTGCTCCTGCCCCTTCACCTGCATGGTGGAGCTGCCAGGAACAAAGGGCAGATGACTGTAGGGACAGGGCTGTGGCCAAGGTAAGTAAGAGAGTATTAGCACCCTTTTAAAAGTGTGGGATCCTTGGAGTGTGTATGTAGAAAAGAGAAGAAAAATGAAAAATAATAAAGGTGTGGGAGCAGAGCAAGTCCCATGCGTGGGGCCTGAGTTCCCAAGCACCTGTCACTGAAGAGTGCCACTCGCACCCCTCACCTTCCCTGGCATCCTCTTGGGAGTTTTTGCCTTCCCCAGACTTGGATTTATGCCCACCTTCAGTGCCTGCTGGTTCCAGTGGATTGCAGAGCACTCAAGCACCTGGAGGGGAGACAGAAGGGATGGTTGGAAGAGGCAGCCCCCTGCTAGAGGCCATCTCTCCCAACATCAACTGGCCCTTTCATGACCTTCCTGTGCTCATGCCTCCTCTTTGTCTCGGTTTCCTCCCCAGTTGGGCCCCCAGCCTTGCTGCCTCTCTACTTCCAGTGGTATATTTTCTATTTTGTTATCCAGCGAAAGAAGTGGGTGGTGAGTATCCATGGCCCAAGAAGCCCACATCCTTGTCTCCAGCACCCAGAGTGGGGGATAGGGGTTCCCCAGGGGAAACTTGAGACTGACTCTAGGCCTAATTTAGAACAAAATAATAGAACCAGACACAGATCCTCCTTATCTCTAAGTGGGACGAAATGATTTGAGCTTAGCAGGCAGCCTGATTCCCAATGTGTAATTTCATGCGGTCAGTGTCTCCAGAGGTTCTTGTACTGGGCATAATGCCAGGGGGCTGAGTTGGGAATGGGGAAGATGAATGAGAGACAATACCTACTTTCAAGGAAACTTCTGATGAAGCAGAATGTGGTTATTAATCAGAAAAGAGGTACAGGCAATAGGTTCTGGGGACTCCAAAAGGGGCCTGACTGCACCTGGCTTTGTGAAGTCACTTTTCTAGCTGGCCTTGAGGCTGGGCAGGGTTTCTGACAGGCAGAGGTGGAGCAGGGGGGATGAACTCTGAGCAGAGAAGCTGGAAATGAGGGGTAAGTTTGACCACCAGACATATTGTGGAGGACTAGTGTCAGGGGAAGAGTATGGTGCTTGGTTCAGTGATGAGAGATTTGATCAGGGCACTGGCATGGACTGAGCCATGGTCCTGGCAGATTCATTTGGCGGCATGCTGAAGGATTTAGATTGGCTAGGAAGAGCTAGAGGCAAAGAGACCTTGTAGGCCTTGGTACTTTTGAAGGGGACATGCAAGAAGGGCTGGGGGGTGCCAATGGGAATGGAAGAAAGGAGCAGTGGCACTAGATACTGCAGGATTGGACCCCTGAGAAGCTGAAGATGAGTGAGTCTGGATAACCAGGAGAATGGCTGCACCATGCAAACAAAGAGCTGCTGAGAGGAAGAGGAAGAGTTGTTCGTGACTGTTATGCTCGCTGCTTTTCTCACTATAGGACTTGGCCTGGATGATTACCTTCTACGTCCGCTTCTTCCTCACTTATGTGCCACTATTGGGGCTGAAAGCCTTCCTGGGCCTTTTCTTCATAGTCAGGTAGTATTCGGTGGGGGCGGATAGGGACTGGTGAAGGAAATGTTGGGGAGTGACCAGTCTGGTCTAGGGGCCGTGCTGGGGCTTTGGGTAACAGTGGGTGTTTCAGGAGTTGGCTTGGGAAAGTAGACAGGCTGGAGCAGTTATCTGAGGGGGGAATCAGAATTCTGGGCTCTGTGTGTACTGTTTTTGTCTGTGTAATACATCTAACAGGTTCCTGGAAAGCAACTGGTTTGTGTGGGTGACACAGATGAACCATATTCCCATGCACATTGATCATGACCGGAACATGGACTGGGTTTCCACCCAGGTAAGGGACAGTCACTCAGAAGACTGGAGCATAACACAACTATTGAAAAGGATGCGTAGGTGAAAACAGCAAAAACAAAAAGTCCCCCAAACAGCATTTTCTCATTAGCCTGAGGCTCTTGTTCTGCAACCATGTGAAGGGAGTGACCAAGACAGTCTCATGTCCCTTCCTCAGCCAGCTTTACCTGGAGAATGCTGGGCTGGCCTTTCCATCTGATATTCAACATGCTCTCCCCTGACCTTTTCCGCCAGCTCCAGGCCACATGCAATGTCCACAAGTCTGCCTTCAATGACTGGTTCAGTGGACACCTCAACTTCCAGATTGAGCACCAGTGAGTAGGGAGCCTGGGGAAGCAGGGTCCTGGGGAGGGTGTAAGTGTTGGGTACAGGTGGGAGCAGAGAAGCAGGAACCACTGACTCCCCCGTTCTCCCTAAAGTCTTTTTCCCACGATGCCTCGACACAATTACCACAAAGTGGCTCCCCTGGTGCAGTCCTTGTGTGCCAAGCATGGCATAGAGTACCAGTCCAAGCCCCTGCTGTCAGCCTTCGCCGACATCATCCAGTGAGTATCTGAGACCAGGAAGATGGCTAGTAGGGAGGGAAGAGGGCAGGGCAATGGAAATGATGACATGTAGGGTGGGGAGTGAACAGAAGGTGTTCCCAGTCGTGTGGGATGGAGTTCACCATGGCAAAGGCAGGATTCTTTATTGGACCTGTGGCCAGGTCAGGCCTTTGCCCTCATTGGGGTTCCCCTCAGTACCATGGCCCAAGCTAGCTTTCTCTAAAGTAGAGGGGAGGAAAACCTCCAGATGGAAGAAGGCCTTAACCTCACTGCTCCATCTCCGGTGGGTTCAACTCTGCTTGTCTCCCTCACTGTCTGCCCCCATTTTGTCCCTGCAGCTCACTAAAGGAGTCAGGGCAGCTCTGGCTAGATGCCTATCTTCACCAATAACAACAGCCACCCTGCCCAGTCTGGAAGAAGAGGAGGAAGACTCTGGAGCCAAGGCAGAGGGGAGCTTGAGGGACAATGCCACTATAGTTTAATACTCAGAGGGGGTTGGGTTTGGGGACATAAAGCCTCTGACTCAAACTCCTCCCTTTTATCTTCTAGCCACAGTTCTAAGACCCAAAGTGGGGGGTGGACACAGAAGTCCCTAGGAGGGAAGGAGCTGTTGGGGCAGGGGTGTAAATTATTTCCTTTTTCTAGTTTGGCACATGCAGGTAGTTGGTGAACAGAGAGAACCAGGAGGGTAACAGAAGAGGAGGGACCTACTGAACCCAGAGTCAGGAAGAGATTTAACACTAAAATTCCACTCATGCCGGGCGTGGTGGCACGCGCCTGTAATCCCAGCTACCCAGGAGGCTGAGGCAGGAGAATCGCTTGAACCGGGGAGGTGGAGGTTGCAGTGAGCTGAGATCACGCCATTGTACTCCAGCCTGGGCGACAGAGCAAGACTCCATTTCAAAAAAAAAAAAAAAATCCACTCATATAAAAGGTGAGCTCAGCTCACTGGTCCATTTCTCAGTGGCTTCTCCATCCTCATTTGCAAACCTCAGAGGGATAAGGCAGTTGAACCTGATGAGCAAGAATTATAACAGCAAGGAAACATTAATGCTTAGAATTCTGAGATCCAGCACAACTCAGTCTGTGGGAGCTCAGCTCGCTGCCCAGGGATAGGTATGACCTATGTCTGCCTTAGGCTGCTGGGAGATGCCATTCTCCAGTTTCAGAAGCAGGCAGGGCAAAGGTCAAGACTGTGGTATTGGGGTCTTTTGGCTCTGAAGGATCCTGGAACCACTGATTTTGGTTTATTCCCTCCAGGGTCTAAAGAGAACAAGAGGTGCTAGCTCTTACCAAAACAGATGGTAGAGAGAGTTGCTGGCTATTTAAAAAGCTCTTTCATCTTTTAATTCACCTCTTCTTTTCACCTCTTTAACCACTCCTCAGGAACAGAACACTTCTAGGACTGGGGGTCTTTTAGCTCCATAAGCAAGTGAGCAGATGGGACAAGTTAGTCTTTTCTCCCTAGAAACAAAGGGGATGCCCAGTGGTTTCCCTTTGCTTCCCAACCTAAAATTTCAAGTTTAATAAAATAGCAATTAGCAGAAGTGACCAAATTGGGAGATAATTATCAGTCATGAGGAAAGACACAGATTTCGGTCATAAAGAATGTAAGGGCTATAAGTAGAAACTTTCTATAACCTAAATGATGTTATAGAATTATTTTTGAGCAGGAGCAGAAAGATTAAATATGATCACTTCATACTTCTAAATCAGAAATAGGAAGATTAAAACCACAGAACAGTTTGTGATTTCTATTGCTGTAGCTAGGTATCTTACTCTGTCCACTCTTGTTCAAGTATCTAACTCTTCTGGAAACCAAATAGGCTTTAGAAGAGATTATCCTATATTCCTATCAGTATAATACTAAAATGTAACTTTTTAATCATCTGGTTTTTAAAAGATAAACAGTTTAGCCCATCTCTCCAGAGAGCAAACATAGGAATATGACTCAGGAGCCTCCTAGGGCTTATCATCAGCCCTCACACCCGCTTCCCCCTCCAACCCACAGCCTTTGCTTCCAGGTGGCAGGATTACTACTTTGCCTCTTCAGCAGCATCTACTCTAGGCATATTGATCATTTTAGACACTGGGAGAAGAGAACCTCAAACTAGGAGGAAAAGACAGAGCCTCCACTTAGTTTTGGGAGGGGATGGCAGACAGTCAAGGAGATGAGCGTCCTAAGGCATGTTGGGATAGGGTCAGATGCACCACCCATGGAGAGGTTTGTCAACACAAAGACATGGAAGGTTAGAGGTTTGTCAACAAAAAGACATGGAAGGTTAGGTTTGTCAACACAAAGACATGGAAGATTAGAGGTTTGTCAACACAAAGACACAGGAAGAATGGGCTGCAGAAGATTTAGATGTTTTCCATTTGGGCACATTTTACTTAGCTGGAGAACTAGGTTTAAAACAGCCTGGGTAGGAAAATTAGAAGCAAGCTGGATGCAGTGGCTCATGCCTGTAATCCCAACACTTTTGGGAGGTCCAGGCAGGAGGATCACTTGGGCCCAGGAGGTCAAGCCTGCAGCGAGCTGAGATCACACCACTGCACTCCAGCCTGGGGTGATAGAACAAGACCCTGTCTCAAAAAAAAAAAAAACAACAAAAACTTAGAATTGAGGAGTTGTACCTCCATTGGCTTCCTCACTCCAAAATAGGTGCTGATCCTTCCTATTCCTATTCTTTGCCACCTTTTGGGTGTGGTGTCACCAGCCTGTTTAGCCAAGTAGCTTTGGGCATAGGCTGCCCAATCTGAGCAAACACCAGTGAGGCTCTATTGAGCCAAGACCAAGTCCTCAAAGCACCTGAACCACTGTGGCCTTCTCAGCCTACAGCAGTGTGGTCTCTTACATGGCCACAAAGGGACACACAGTGACAAAAGGCTCGGAATGTTACAATGGTAAAATGAGTGATCTCAAATCCACTGACAGATATAAAATAGGCTTAGAGAGGAAAAGCTGCCTCTGGTCAAGTAGATCATGGCAGCATGAATTCCAACTCACTTTTTTACAACTCCAACTTCTATGTTTATCTTTGTTACTTTCACTTTTTTACAACCTGGCCAGAGGCATTTTTTAAATCAGGCCCAATATCAGTATTCTTTTTGTGTGTGCCAATTTTGTTATCACATCCCTATGAAGTTGAAAAATAAAGTTAATTTTGACCAAAAGACTTCATTTGTAACCCATGATGTTCATCTGTGTGTGCACAGGATTCCTGAGTGCCTCTGCTACGAGTTACTGTTCACCTCTCTGTGCTCTTAAGTTCTTGAATCACTAGACTCCCCTTTGTATTGGGCAGAGGAAGAAACATCAGGACCCTCCAGAAAACACCAAGGCAAGGGTGAAGTATGGCAAGGAAGAGCAAGGCAAAGTCCTTCTGATGACTCCCGTGTTCAAATGTGAGATTGTCAATAATCTCACCAAGTTTCACACGTATCACTTCCTCCTATTCATGAGGCAATGCCCTTGCCCTTTTGTCCTTCAGCTTTCCATTTTGAATTATTTTCTCTTTATTTTTACACTTACTTGTTTTGAGACAAGGTCTGGCTCTATGGCCCAGGCTGGAGTGCAGTGGTGCTGCCATCTTAGTTCACTGCATTCTCTGCCTCCCGGCCTCAAGCCATCTTCCCACCTCAGGCTAATTTTTTTTTTTTTTTTTTTTTTTTTTTTTTTTTTTTTGAGACCAGAGTTTCACTCTTGCTGCTCAGGCTGGAGTGTAGTGGCGTGATCTCAGCTGATTGCAGCCTCCGCCTCCTGGGTCCAAGCAATTCTCCTGCTTCAGCCTCCCGGGTAGCTAGGATTATAAGCATACACCACCGCGCCCAGCTAATTTTTTATTTTTAGTAGAGACAGGGTTTCACCATGGTGGCCAGGCTGGTCTTGAACTCCTGGCCTCAGGTGATCCACCCGCCTTGGCCTCCCAAAGTGCTGGGATTACAGGCGTGAGCCACTGCGCCTGGCCTCTCTTTACTTTTAAACTCATTTCTAGTTTCCAAATAGTCTCCCTAAGTCCTATCTGCCTAAATCTTCCTCTGCAAGTGTGATCCCTCAGAGCTTGACTGCAGAGCAGTGCCTCTTAACCATCCAACTAGAACAGCTCTGAGCAAAAACATTTGTAGGCATCATTAATCTTCCCTGCAGTGTGCACACAGAAAGTCAGATTAACAAAATTCTATAGGAGACAAACTTACCTTCAAAAGACAAAAGAAAACCACTACATTCTTGACCACCACAGGGTATAAGCCCTTAATTATTAAGAGCTACTGCACTGAGGCAATAACTCCTAAGAAATCTTAACATTTCGCCAGGCAAGGTGGCTCATCCTGTAATCCCAGCACTGGGAGAGAATGGCACACGTAATCCTAGCCTTTAGGAGGCCAAGGCGGGAGGATTGCTTGAGCCCAGGAGTTTAAGACCAGCCTGGGCAACAGTGAGATCCCATCTTTACAAAAAATTGAAAAATCATCCAGGCATGGTGGCCTGTGCCTGTAATCCCAGCTGCTTGGGAGGCTGAGGTGGGAGAATCACTTGAGCCCAGGAGGCTGAGGCTGCAGTGAGCCAAGATCGCACTACTGAACTCCAGCCTGGGTGACAGAGCAAGAGACTCTGTCTCAAAAAAAAAAAAAAAAAAGAAATCTTACCGTCTTTAGTTCCTATCACCATTACTGCAGATTTAGAAGCAATCTACCTGAATCAGAAAATAGAGCTCAAATAAGTTGTGTGGCTTGGTATAATCTGGGAAAATCAGTTTCAAAAGTTACCTGCCCTTGGGATAGAACTTTTTGTCAACACCAGTTTTCAAAAAGTACCCTAGTTATGAGGCCGTTGCTGGGTAAACTTTATCCCATTCCAGCTTCAACCAGAGGAACCTGTACATCCTAAAGTTTCACATAAGATTACACTTGAAGAATAGGTTTCTCCATTAAAAGACTTGAAAACTACTGGTCTTCAGGCTCCCTACCTGTTTAATCTGTCAAGACATTGCCAGCTTAA